>NC_000005.10:172427990-172731020 GCF_000001405.40 Homo sapiens | reverse complement strand
ACTATATGCTTAAAATAAGTAAGCCAAAGAAAAGGAAATGTTTTTAAGAAAATCATAAAGAAGAGAAAATACAGTTACTGTTCATTAAGCGGAAGTGGATCATCATAAAGATCTTCATCCTTATCCTCCTCACGGTGAGTAGCCGGAGGAGGGAGAGGCAGAGGAGGGGTTGGTCCTGGTGTCTCAGGGGTGGGAGAGGCAGAAGAACATCCATGTAAGAGGGGACTTATTCAGTTCAAACCTGTGTTATTCAAAGGTTAACTGTACACCCTTTATCACCTAACACACCCAATGGGGATCTTCATCCATAAACAAACACACAACTGTTTCTGCATCAAAACATGCACGTGCAAAGTGGAAAAAAATAAAAACTATCAGTATGTAGCTTCCCATTAGTTCAGGCCATGCTAAGGCTCTTGGACTTTATCCAGAAGGCAATAGGGAGCTACAGAAGACTTTAGAGCGTGGAAGTGGCATGGTCAGGTAGATGCCTTAAAAGAGTGGTGCCCAAACAGAGTGTGCATCAGAAGTCCCTCGAGGACTTGTTAAATGCAGAATCCTGGGCCCCCACAGTCACTCAGGCCTCCTGGCTGCTGGTGAGGACAGCACGGCGACTCTCCCGTGTTTCAGATTTTACAGGACTGTGGGGCTCAGAGTGATGACATTACTTGTTCAAGGCCTCATGGCTTGTGAATGGTGGAGCTGGGTCATGCCAAATGAGCTTTGGGGCCAAACTTATGAACTATCTTTTGGTTTTCAGGGTTTTGGAATTATGGGTAAGGGATCGTGAGCCAGAATGGATGACCCTCGTGTCGGGCTTAGCGAGAGGCCTGTGACAGCGAGAGAACATAGGCTTTGGGGTGCAGATCCTGGTTCTACCGTTTCTGGATTGTTTCACTCCAGCCAAATGACCTTGCCTCTCTGAGCCTCAGTTTCCCTATACGAAAATTGGGATTAGCGGTTGTTCTTTGGTGGGGTTGAGGGAGGAAGCACTGAGACGAAGGGTGCTGGGAACCCCACTGGTGTTGATCGTGGATTCTGCTTTCCTCTGGGGTTGTCAGTCTGCGCCTCAGAATTCCCCAGGCCCCTCCCCAAGCCCACAGCCCGACGTGCCCAGGCCTGGGCCCTGGAACGAGGAGGAACCCTTCCAGCTTGTGTTACCCAAATATTGCGGAGGCCTGTTGGTGCCTCTCCATGGTGACAGTGCCCCAAGCTGCATGGGGGCGAGGGAGTGTCCTCTGTGTCAGGCACCCGCAGGTGCTGTCCCCGTCCCTGGGACACTGCAGGAAACAGCCGGCTCGCACAGGCCAGGGCCAGCCAAGTGAACCCGTAGGAGCAGCTAGGTCTCGGGTACTGGCACACAGGCACTTTCTTGAGAACCTGCAAATGGGTGTGGAAGACTCCCACACTGGGTCATGGGTAGGGGAACGTGGGGAGGGAGGAAAAGAACTTGCATGGGTTGAAGGCTTACTGTGTGCAGTACTCAGTACGTTATATTCTGACTGCTCCAGGCAAGAGTGAAGTTACCCAGGCCCCAGTGTCCATTTGGTTCTAGTTCAAATCCCCAGACTGCTGGTTCTTAGCTGTGGACCTGTCTGACCCTCAGGTTCCTCATCGGTGAAAAAGGGATATTAACACCCACTTCATACAGTTGTTAGGAGGATTAGGCGGGATAATGTGAAGTAGGTCCAGGGGCTGCTCTATAATGGTGGCAGTGATCATGATTCTTCTGTTTTATACATTGGAAAGTGAGACCCAGGGCAGGCCCAGGGCAGGTAGACCAGCCAGTCTTGGGGAGGCTCTGTAAGACCAAGTCCACGTGCTCCAAAGCTACACTTTCCATCTCAACCCTGGAAGCAGTCGTGTCTCAAGGTCAGGGACTGACTCTGTCTCTCTGTGTCTCTTTCTCTTGAAAACCCTACTTCCAAAGTTCAACAACATTTGTCAAGCACCACAGTGAACTGGAGCAGATTGGCGAGGTCAAAGTTTCCAAGGCCAGAGGTCTGGGTTCAAATCCCAGCTTGGCTAATGACCAGCTAGGTGATCTTGGGCAGGTTACTTGACTCTCTGGGCCTCAGTGTCCTTATCTATAAAAGAGTTGACAATTATATCCTTCTAGTGGCTCAGATCAGAACCTGGGGGACATCTTTAACTCTTCTCTTTTTCTCACGTCCAAATCTGATCCATCAGGAAGTGCAGGTGGCCCTACCTTCAGATATTTCCGGAGTCCAGTTGCGTCTTTCTCCTTCCAGTTTATTTCCCTGCTCAGAGCCATTGCCTCTCACCTGGCATATTGCAGGGGTCATCGGCCTGTTTTCTTTGCTCCCCGCCACAGCTCCCAATAGCTCATTCCCAATGCTCTGCAGTGATTACCTGTCTCAATCAAAGTACAAACTGCAGTCCTCATGTGGCCCGTGGTCTCTCCATGTGGCCTCCCCTCACCTCCCTGCCTCGTCTCCTACCACCCCTCTCTTGCTCTCTCTGCCTGGGCCACACTGGCCTCCCTCTCACCTGCAGGGTCAAGTCCTGCCCTGGCACTTTGCACTGGCTGTGCCTTCTGCCTGGAATGTTCTTCCCCAGACATGGGCCTTCACTTTTACACCTTTGTCAGGTCTTTGCTTCAAGCATCTTATTTGACCCCCATTTTTTTTTTTGAGATGGAGTTTCGCACTTGTTGCCCAGGCTGGAGTGCAATGGTGTGATCTCAGCTCATCGCAACCTCCACCTCCTGGGTTCAAGCGATTTTCCTGCCTCAGCCTCCCTAGTAGCTGGGATTACAGGCATGTGCCACCACGCCGGGCTAATTTTGTATTTTCAGTAGAGATGGGGTTTCTCCATATTACTCAGGCTGGTCTCAAACTTCCAACCTCAGGTTATCTGCCCACCTCAGCCTCCCAAAGTTTGACCCTCATACTTAAAAGGCAGCTCCTATCCCCCCCAGGACCTCTCTGTCACCCTCCTTGTTTTATTTTTCCATGTAACTCCAATAATCACGGAATATCTCCTAGATTTTACTCAGTGACTGCCTCCCCTCACTAAAATGGAAGCTGCAGAGGGCAGGGTTTCTGTGTGTTTTGCTGTCTGCTGTATCCGTAGCACCTAAAAGAGTGTGTAGCCCACAGTCAATATTTAACTAACACGTGCTGAATGAATGAATAGCACCTACCCATAGGTTTGTTGTGAGATTGAATGAGTTCATGAGCAGCACCTTGGCCATGTCCTGCATGGGCCAGTGCTCAGCATAGCTTTGCCTTTGCTGCAGAGGCTCGGGGGCCCAGCTAGACGAAGGGTGCGCTGTGGTAGGAAAAGCCAGCTCTGCCCTGCCAGGAGGGTGTCCTGGAAGTGGCTCCACACACACAGACTTGTGAGGTTGTGAAAGGGCTCGGGTGCCCCGGGATGCTAGGCAGCCAGGTGTGGCAGAGCAGGTGTGGGGGAGGGAGGAGTGGTGGCAAATGAGACCAGAGCTGTCACCAGTTGGGATCCTGGTATGTCAGGCTAAGGGGTTTCTCTGACGGCCAGGGGGAGCCTCAGGAGGGCTTTGGAAAGTTGGGGAGGATGAGAACCAGGACCTGTTCCCTTTGAGGTCTTAACAGTGAAGGTCATGACCTTGAACTGGAACCTTTATTTTACCATGGGGGGTGGGGGGATGGGGACTGAGGGGCTGAATCCTCCCCAAAGGGACAGTCTCCATGACCACCCCCATGGCCAGGAGGGGCCCTTCTACTGCTCAAGAAAATTCCCCAGTGGCGCCCTCCTTCTATCCCATGCCTAGCGCAGTGCTGGGGAGGAGGTAGTGAGCTGCCTGTCTCTGGCGTGTTCCAGCAGAATTCCTGGGACACATGGAGCGCAGCTGAGCTGTGGGGCTCCCCTACGGGCAGACGGGACACAGATGAGCTCTCACCGAGGAGGACCAGTGAGGTGGGCTCTGTAGGCTGCAGGCTTCCAGGAAGGGGCTGTTCTCCAGCTCCTCCAACACAAGCTCGGCCAACACCTGCTGCAGGGCGTCGCTGGGCACTAGGTGTGCAGTGGGACACCGCACAGGCAGACCCCTGCCCTCCTAGGCTGACAGTCTAGGGCAGGAGGCAGAAAATCAACCAATGAGCAGAGAGTATTTCATTATAAATGTGAGCCCCACAATGAAGAGAATTTGCTTTCGTGGGAGAGATTAATTTAGACTGGAAGATTGGGGAAGGCTTCTTAGAGAAAACGACATTTGAGCTAAGGTGAAAAGGGTCATTAGCAGGAAGTCTTTATACACACAGTGAGGGAAGGGCATTCCAGCAGAGGGAACAGCTGTGGCGAGGCTCAGAAGCCAGGCCCTAATGCTGTCCAATAGGATGTTGGGTTTGGTCAGAATCTGCATTCAGGGATCTACTTTCAAGAGCAAAGCAGTGATAAGTGAAGCTCAATGGCATGCTCACTGTGGTCTCTCCTGCCCTTCAAAAAACAAAAAGCACTTAATCAAATTCTCCCCTGGAGTAGGAGAAAAGGGTTTGGCCAAGCAAGGACTCAAGAGGAAGAGAGGCAGGTTTCACATTTTTCCTCTGAAGATGAAAGCAATCTTATCAAAGAGCAGAAGGAAAATGAATTAATGAAGTCATTTCATTGATTAAAGTATGTATTGAGCACATACTATGTGCCAGACATTGTTCTAGTGCAGGCTGTATGACTGCAAATAGGACAAAGTCCTCATCTTCACAAAATTTGCATGCTAGCAAGAGAGGCAATTGCCAAGTGAGCAAATGAAAATGTCATTTCGGGGTGTGATAAGTGCTGTGAAGAAAATAAGACGGGTAGGATGGCGGGGGTGGGGGTTGGGGTGGGGGTGGTGGCCGGATTGGACCTCCCTGAGAAGGTGATCCTTGAGCAGAGACCTGAAACAAGCAAGAGAGGAATGCCAAGAGGATGTGAGGTAAAGTGTTCCCAATAGTGGGAATAGCAAGTGCAAAGGCCCTGCGGCTGGGGAACTGGTGGAATGAGCCTGAGGAGCAGCAGGGAGGCCAGCATGGCTGCAGCGGGGTAAGGGAGGAGAACAGTGCTAGGAGAGGAGGTCGGAGAGGTACTGAGAGCCAGGCCAGGCAGGGCTGCTGGACCCCTGTCTTTGGGGCCCTGGGACTGCCACGGATGTTCTAGCAAGGCTGGGTTCAAGTCAGCAGTCTGCTCCCAGGCAAGGCCAGATAAAACACCTGCTTTGTGCAGAGGGACTGAGATCCCACAGACGCCCCCTACCCCTTTCTCCTCCTTTTTGTCTGAG
Organism: Homo sapiens; assembly: GCF_000001405.40. Taxonomy (NCBI): domain Eukaryota; kingdom Metazoa; phylum Chordata; class Mammalia; order Primates; family Hominidae; genus Homo; species Homo sapiens. Next base: position 172,725,766 of record NC_000005.10, on the reverse strand, counting down.
TCTCTCCTTCTGCAATGTTCCATCAGTCCAGTTTGGGATGACCATGGTGACTGCAGGGGTGGAAGGCTGCAGTCAGGGATCTCACTGCCTTTGGAGGGGTGCATTTGGGGGCCTGATGTCCCCTCACTCTCAGATGTGGCTGTTCTGTCTGACTGAGGTCCTAGGACCCCAATCAATATTTACTTCCCATCCCCTCTGTCCAGCTCCATCAAAAGTCTCCACGTCCCACACTGGATCCACTGGGAGCTCCAGTCCCGGCCGTGGCTCTGAGCCGCCCTCTGCACTTGTCCGCCTAACCTTTGCCCTTTGGGTCTGGCTTCCATTGCCAGCCTCGCCTCTGTTGACTTGACGCTGGCTCTATTGACTGGTGACAAGGCCCATCTGATGGCTGATTAACTGATCCCCAGTTGTAAGTGACGGTGTTGTGAATTTGCTCAGCATTGGTGCACATCACTGTGGCCAACCCCCTTTGCGGGGCGATGGAGATGAAAAAGTCATCTACCCGTAAGGCGCTTGATGGTGGCGGGGGCGGCAAAGCCGTAAAAGCTCAGCCAGGAGAGTAAATGACCCTCCATTGACCCCGCTCCCACCACCTGCAGCCCTCTTCCTTTGGTGTATAGCCGAACATTAAAAAATTTTTATTTGGAAAAATTTCAAAAGTTCCAAGGATAGCTCAATAAACACCTCTCTGTCCTTCACCAGTGGCTCTCGGCCATCGGGTATGCCCGCTCCCCACGGGGACCTGTCTGCAGGCAATGTCTGGAGACATTTTTGGTTGTTACAACTAGGGAACGCTGCTGGCGCCTTGTGGGTACAGGCCAGGGATGCTGGTAAACATCATACAATACACAGGGCCAGCTGTCCCCACAACACAGGATTATCTGGTCCAAAATGTCGATTGTGACAAGCTTGAGAAACTCTGCCCTAAATTGACCAATGGCTAATGTTTGACTTACTTGCTTTCTCTCTCTCCCTCTGTACACACACACACACACATATACACACACACATTATTATTTTGCTTAACCCTTTGAGAGTAAGTTGTAGACATCATGATCATGGCTCTTCATCTCTAAATATTAATACTTCAGTATCCCCCGCTGCTTAATCACAGTAGAAATTTGATAAGGCTACATTGCTCCAGTATGAGGATCGTACATACAGTTTCCATTCAGACGTTGCCAATCTTGTCTCAATAACACCCTTGATAGTACTTCTTTCTCCCACCCAAACTCCAGCTCGGAATCCAGCCGATGCTCGGCTGCCACGCCTCTTTCCCCGCCTTTCATCTGGAGTAGTTGCATCCTCAGCTCTCTTCCTCATTCACAACCTTGACATTTTCTGCAGAACACAGGCTCATTGTTGTGGGCATGTCCTCCAGCTCAGTTTGGGTCTATTAGATTGTTTCCTTGTGATGAGATTCAGGTTTCTCATTTTTGGCAAGGATTACACAGCAGTGCGGCCGTGTCCTAAGCACATCGTGACAAGAGGCGCACGACGTTGGATGGTCCCAGCTGATCCCTTGGTTAAGCTGGTATCTGCCAGATTTCTCCACTGCCAAGGGCCACTTTTCCCTTTTGGGATCCATAAGCGGTACGGAGGATGATGCTCCGAGACTGTGTATAGGTCCTGCCCACTTCCCAACAAACCTCTCTCCCTTACCCAAATCAATTTTGACTTTTACGGAATCTAATGATTTTCTAGCTCCACCATTCTTGGGTGATTCTGACCTGATGATCCCCCGGCATCCACTGATGATAAATGAATTAATGTTTACTGCGATAATTAACAAATGAGGATTGTATAAACCCATTTTTCCCTCTTCATTTATTAGGTGCCATTTTTCTGTTAGGAAAAGCTTTTCCTTCCCCCTTCCTCCCTCTTTCTCTCCTTCCTTTTTTTCCTTTATTTTATATTTACCAGGGTGAATTCATGGGTTCTCTTTCATTTAACATGCTATAATCCACTGCCATCATTATTCAATGCTCAATTGTCCACAATGAGTCAATGCCCAAATTGTTCCACAGTTGGAACAGTGGCCTCTTTAAACTGGCTCCTGTGTCCTTTTGATGCATCCCCATCATTCTTTGGTCACTTCCTTATTTCTTGGCAAAACTCGATGTTCCAGGCTCATCTTGTATCTTTCCTCCTTCAGCCTTGGACTTGTCCATTTCCCCAAATTGCCCTGGTTCCTTTTGTTGGGGAAGGAGATTTAGAAACCAAGATTAGGGGCCAGGCACGGTGGCTCACACCTGTAATCCTACCACTTTGGGAGGCCAAGGTGGGTGGATCACTTGAGGTCAGGAGTTCGAGACCAGCCTGGCCAACGTGGTGAAACCCCATCTCTACTAAAAATTCAAAAATTAGCTGGGTGTGGTGGCATATGCCTGTAATCCAAGCTACTTGGGAGGCTGAGGCAGGAGAATCGCTTGAACCTGGGAAAGGCAGAGGTTGCAGCGAGCCGAGATTGCACCACTGCACTGCACTCCAGCCTGGGTGAGACTCCGTCTCAAAAAAAAAAAATAAAGAAACCAAGATGGGGGTGGTAGGTGGTAGGTGGGCTCATTGACACGGGGGTGTCACTGGGCTCAGGCCCTTGCAGCAGACAGAGTATGTTTGGGTATATTTAAGTCATGAGCTCATGCTTTTACCTCAAATTCCAGTCCAACACCACAGGCTTCTTTCTTAACTCCCCTTTTCCATATCTGCAGCTTCCTTGCTGAAAACCTTGACTCTCCAACATTAACATGTTTGCTCATTTGCTGAAAGCTACAATAGCCACAGAATGGTTTCAGGCCTGGTGAACAATAAATCTATTAAATAAAGTTCAAGCCTTCTTTCCAGTACTGTTGCCTTTACACCAAGGGTAACGTAGCGTTCAGGTCGTTAAGCGCTTATATGGATTTGCTCGTTTTCCCCCTCTCTGTAGTATGACAGTGATATGATATTACTTTGCTGTACAGGTAGTTAATTTGCTTTTATTGGTGATTAATTTTTGGTTTTCGCCTATTCTTATTAAGTGGATTTAATGTCTTTCTTAATCCCTGTCTGTGGCTCTGCCCATCTCGATGTTGAACAATGTCCTGACCTAAAAAATGCCAGGGGCTGGGGGTGTGGATGGGGGGATGCAAATGCTGGTGGTGCCGCTGGGCGCTTCCTCTGCTTTGGGCTTTCACAAAATACGGGTTGCACACTGCTGGCTCCAGGAAAGATGCTTTTATATACTCTCGGCGTTAAGGACATCAGTAAATCCCGCAGTGAGAAATTTGTTTTTTCTGGCTGTCCTTCCATTTTCTGATTGCTTCAAGGAGAAAGTCTCAGCTTGTGCTACTCTGGTTTTAACGCCTCTTTACCACTTGCTGATCTAACAGATAGCGTGACAGATAGCGGTCCCAGCACAGAGCCTGCAGGAGGCGGCCACCTTGAGACAGAAGAGGTGACCTTGTTTTATTTATCTGTCTTGTTTCTTGGAGCCAGGCTGCCTTGTTTCAAATCATAATGCTGCTGCATTCCAGCTGTGACCTTGTGCAAGTTACTTAAGATCCCCGTGCCTCAGTTTTCCCCTCTGTATAACTGAGATACAGTGGTGCCCATCTCATAAGGTTTTCATGGGGATGAATGAGTTAATGTTTGTAATGTGCTTAGCAGAGTGCCTGGCACATGGTAAGCACTTGTTATATTCATTTTTGTGTTGATGGGAAATGATTCCACTTTTCCATTCGGGGTGGTGATGCAACGTTTCCTTTTAAGATACATTTAGTTCAGTGAGCCAATTAAAAACAAATATTAAGTTTGAAAACAAGTGCTCTGCAGATTTAGCAAAAATCATCAAAGCGCGCTGGAACTGACTGAGTTTGGAAAATAACGCTCTGGCGTTCATTGAACCGGTTCCAATAGCTTTAGCTTTGCGCTATAGCCATTCATAAAATGCTTTATAAAGATTTGATTTATTTGAAGTTTTGTAACAACTCTGGGAGGTAGGAATGATGATTGTCCCTGTTCTTCGGATGAGGGGATTGAGGCACAGAGAGGTCAGTTAACTGGCCCCAAGTTGCACAGCCGGGAGGTGACCTTGGGCCACCTGGCTCCAGAGTTTGTGCCCTTGGCCACGTGGCCAGGCAGGCCCCTTTTGCAGAAGAGAACACTTGAGGTGTCAAGGGACACCAGTGAGTCTGGGACGGATGAGGGGCTGAGTATGAGGATGTGCCCAGTGCTGCTGAGATGGACTCCAAGTCCGGGTGAGATACAGGCCCTTCTTGTCCCCTGAATGGCTCACCTCGCCCCGTTGGGACAAACGTGCTCTCCTTTCTCACAAACAACAAGAAATATTTCTCATGTGACATTTCTCATAGGCTAGACCACTGCTCCTTTGTGGAGAAATGTGGGCTAGCCTGAGAACCTCAGGAACCAAGAAGGTGGGACCCTGGGACCCACCCCTGGGCCCCTCCCACTGGGCTAGCCTCTTAAACTCTGTCTCCCTGAGTCTTCACAACCACTCTGTGATGGAAACACAACTCTTCCATTTTACAGGTGGGGAAACCGAGGCCTGGAGAGGTGGAGTGACTTGCCCACGGTGACAGAAGAGGCAGGGTCAAAGTTTGAACTCAGGAGCTGGGGACACTTGTTGGCTGCCTACCCAGCAGCCATTCCTTCTAACAATCCCCAGATCTCCTTCTAAGTACCTACCACCACCCCCCGACCACAGCCAGCATGCTTGGAGGGGAGCCCCCTCAACTCCAAGGAGGGCTCTGATGGGCTGGAACCAGATAATGCCTCCCATTCCCTTGGCCACAGGCATTGGTTCAGGGGTAGTCGTGTGACCCAAGACTGTCCAATGAGAACAACTGCCCAATGGACTCCTGGATGGATATTGGAATATGTCCCCTCCTATAGCGGAATGAGAAGCATGTGCCATGCGCTCAGGGTAACACTGACTTGGGAACCTATGAAGAGGACAGAGGTCCTCGAAAGCTTCACCCAGCTCCTTGACAGCCTGCACCACTCTGAAGATTCAGCTCTGCTCACACCAGCCAACAAGCTCCCTTGTTATCTAAGTCAGGTGGAGGCTTGGAGTTGGGTTTCCTTTCCTGCAGCTAGAAACGTTCTGAAACTGCAGTACTTCTGGATTCCAAAGCTTGAGTCCTTTCCCTAGCATAAGGTGCTTCTCTGCATATCCATATTCCAAAAGTCGAACACTTTGGCACCATTTTCCTCTATGTTTTGAGTTCCAGACACCAGGTTTACAAAGGATTGCTGCATGACAACTTTGCTTGAGGTGAGGACCCTTCCCAGCATGTTTCCTTGCTGCCCCAAGTTTAAAAATAATTACATGCATGAAAGAACACTTCACAGACTGTAAGGTGCTCTCTACCTTCCCTCCCTCCCTTCCACAAATAATAACTAGCTGCTGTGCCAGGCATTACAGATACGGAGGTGAATAAGTCCCAAAGCTCATTCTCTTGGAATTCACAGTCCAGCTGGGGAGGCAGACTAGTAACCAGCTAATTATCGCCTATGGTAATTGTCTTGATGGTAGAGTTCAGCATAGCATGTAATTGGGGCAGAAAGGAGTGGGACTACCTTGCCCCGCCTAAACGTAAGTGGGTGGATCAGAGACAGTTGAGGCCAGAGCTACACCTTGAAGACACCGTAGGAACTACTGGAGTGAAGAAGGTTGGTAAGGTGTCCCTAACAGAGGGCTCAGCCTGTGTAAATGTGTGTGGGCCTTAGAAAGCACATATGGTCTGTTTGTTCAGGAAAACGTAAGCATGTCAGGATGGTGGAGGGCAGGGTGCAGAGAGTGGAAGGTGGAGGCACAAGGTTGGAGAAGTCTGCGGGGCAGGGGATGAAGGAACCAGAAGGCCAAGCCAGTGTCTGGGACAGGATCCCGCACCACTGGGGAGCCACCTAAGGATTCCAAAAAACAGCGTGACACAGTCAGATTGCATTTGGGGAAGGGCACTCAGGGCACTCGAGACATAGCTTGGAGCGGCAGGTCTGAGTCTACACCTGAGGACCCTTGAGTCCGGCCTGACAGTCCCGTACCCCAAGCCTCTGGCCCCTCCAGAACCATTTGACCCCACCAACTCCCACCCAAGCCAACTGTGAGCCATTTTCTGACTGGGTGGTCTTGGACAAGTCACTTCCCCTCTGGAAGCATCTGTTTCTCCATCTGCACCATGAGTAGAGTCCCACTGGCTTCAAGGACCATGGTTGGAAGCTCAGTCATGGCACCACAAGTGAGAGTCCTTCATGCCTATACAGAGCCGTGTTCATGCATGAGGTGGGTGTTTGCGCCCAGTTTCTCAAACTCCCATGGCTCCTGGCTGAGTCAGAGCCTTGACGTGCTTTGCTGCCCTGGTCCCAGCTTCAGGGACTACACCCTCTCCCTGTTCTTTACAAGAGATGCTCCAGGTCACGTCTTGGGGTTTACTCATCATTGCTCTGTGCACATTAGATGTTGCCAGAATTTGCTGATGGCCCATCCCCAGCACTGGCACCTAACCCCTTTTCCCCACCATAGCCCCACACTGGAGGACTTATTTACCTGGGTCACTGCTGCCATCTTTTATTCTGACCTCCTTCCTGTGGGTCAAAAAGCAAACACAGGCTTAGGTCAAGTAGTCTTTCAAACATCCATCCATCCATCCATCCATCCATCCATCCATCCATCCATCCACCCTGTCCAACCATCCATCCATGCATCCATCCTGTCCATCCACCCACCCATGCATCCATGCATCTATTCATCTATCCATCCATCCATCCTATCCAATCCATCCATCCTATCCATCCATCCATCCAATCCATCCATCCATCCATCCTGTCCATCCATCCATCCCTCGTGTCCATCCATCCATTCATCCATCCATGCATCCATCCATCTATTCATCCATTCATCCATCCTATCCATCCATCCAATCCATCCATACATCCATCCATCCATCCATACATACATACATCCATGCATCCATCCATCTGTTCATCCATCCATCCAATCCATCCATCCATCCATCCATCCATCTACCCATCCATCCATCCATCCATACATCCATGCATCCATCCATCTATTCATACATCCATCCTGTCCATCCATCCATCCATCCCATCCATCCATCCATCCATCCATCCACTAATCTTCCTTCCACCCATTCGTCATTCATCCATTTGTCCACCATCATCATCCATCCATTCGACTTCTATCCATCCACCCATCCATTCATCTATCTGTCTTTCCATCCATCCATCCATCCACCTATCTTCACTGAGCCCCTTCTCCATGCACACACTGTGCTCAGCTGTGAGGAGAGGGGGATGAAGATGGGTCTGTGCCTGCTCTCATGAGTGGTGTGCTTGTTCAGAATGGTGTAAGCACATCTGTGTGGTGAAGGGTAGGGTGAAAGGTTAGGGGGGTTGAGGCAGGAGGCTGGGGAGACCCACTGGGGTCAGGGTATAGTCTGGTGGGGGAGATGAATGTACACAAGTAGGTCTGATAACTTTAGATGGTCAGAGTGTCATGAAAGGAGGAAACAGGATCCAGCCATCCAGGGAGAGATGGGGATTCGTGGGAGTGCTGGAGGTGGAATAGAGCAGGATCCCCGAGGGATGTGGAGTGGATTTGCTGACAGGTGGGCTCAGGGGCAAACTGAAGCCAGATTATTTGTGGGGCCCAAGGAAAATGGCGTTCCAGAGGGCTCTGAGGCTTCTGGGCACAGGGGGCCACCTGCCCAAATGGGGAAGACCTGGGTTCAGGTCTCAGGGTTGCCAATCCCCGACTGTGACCTTGGGCAGGTCACCTCCCCTCTTGGATGCCAGTTGCATGACCTCTAGAATCCTCCTGATGGTGACAATGTACCTAAAATAGCATAAAGCAGCCCAGCCCACCGAGGACGTGCCAAATGCATGCCCACTCTCACTGAGCATTCTCTCTTCCTTCTTCCACCAGTGGCCCTGGGAACTCCCAGGGCCCCTGAAAACACTGTTGGCTGCGGTCCCTTCTGCAGTTTCCCCACCTATAAAATGGGACAATGCCAGTGCCTGGCACCTAGTAAGTGCTCAGTAAGCATTAGTGGTGGCTGTGGTTGCTGCAGCAGTTGACCGGCCCTTTAGTCTGTACCTCGCAGACCCGCTTCTGATTCTGGCCACATCTGCCCCCACCCGACTGCTTCCTCTTGTCTCTTCTCCCTGATATGCTGGGCTGCGTGTCCGAGGGTCCTTGCTCCGGCGGCCCCCTCCACACCGGCCCTTCCCTCTGACCACCTCCCGCCTTCTCCTCACCCCAGCTCCTCCGTCCCTCTATCCCACCACCCTGTTGTATTTTCTCCCGATGCTTGCCAGGATCTGAAAGCATCTTTTTTTTTCTTCTTTCTCTTGTTTATTTCTGTGTCCTCACGTAGTTTGGAGGTTCCAGAGGGCACAGCCTTTCAAAGGTCTTCTTCCCTGGGCATCTCCAGTTCATCGTACAGAGCCCAGCACACAGTAGGTGCACAGTGCCTATTTGTAAGAAGGAAGGAAGGAAGAAACGAAGGGAGGGAGGAGGCAGGAGAGACAAAGGGAGGGAGAGAAAGGCAGTGGAGGCCTGTTGGGGAGGGCGGGGTGGCTGGTGGGGAGGAGCCCCAGGTCCGCAGCCCCAGTGGTGGACCTGAGAACATTGTTGGGGTGTTCAGGAAGCATCTGCCCAGGGAATTAACAGAGCTGGAAACCATCCGGGCGTCTAAGTTTGGCTTCTTCCCGATGATGTGAAGACCATGCTTAGCGCTCTCTTGGGAGCCGACAAGGGGGTCTCTAGCGCCACCTTCCGGGCATCCGGGAAATGTCCGTACAGTCCCACCAAGGCCCACCTGCCGCCTCGACATTCATAAATAAACGCCAACAATGACAGCGACAGCAACAACAGCTCCGCTTTATTAAATGGTTACTCTGCGTCAGACAGCGTACCAGGTACTTGAAAGATATGATGTCCTAACCTCCAGACCCCTTGAAATGCGGCTGGTTATTACCCTCATTTATTTACGCAGACAGATGAGGAAACTGAGACTCAGAGAAAAAGAACCGCTCAGCCCAGGTCGCATAACCAGTGAGTGGCAGGTCTGGATTCTAACTCAGGTCTCTCTGGCCCCAAAGTGCAGAGCCCCAAAGGGCTGAGCCGTGCTCTGGAGAAAGGCAGAGAGGGAAAGGGAGGGTGGGCAGGGCTGGGGCTGAGGGCACAGCAGGCTCCCAGGAAGGCCCCTAGCGGTCACTCCCTTGCAGGGACTATGCTGTCCCAAGGCCTTGCTCTGAGCCCTCCTCAGGACCCCTCCCAGCCTCCCTGAGCATGAGCTCCTTCATCCAATGTCACAGTTGGGGGAACTGAGGCGCACAGGGTGGAGACCCTGGAGAGGTCACCTCCCCTCTTGGATGTCAGTTTCATTACCTCTAGAATCTTCCTGATGGTGATAATATACCTAAAATCTCATCGAGCAGCCCAGCCCACCTAGGACGTGCCAAATAAATGCCCACTCTCGCCATGCATTCTCTCCTGTGTCTCACCTTCTGCCTTCCTGGCAGTGCTGGGCAGAGGAGAGCGTGACTCCAGGCCCTGGCCTGGTGCTCTGGGTGATGCAGGGGGTCGACTGGAGTAGGGAAGGCAGACATTCGCACAGGTCTCCATGGCCTATGTCAACCCTCTCAAGTTTGGGGGCCTGTGGGTGAGGTTGGCAGAGCGGGCTGGGAGGCCCTCTGTGGGACAGGTCCTGTGGTGTGTGCTTGCCAGGCAGAGGGCCCTGTCTGCCACTGTTCGGAAGTCTGGTTACTGGAGAACGTGTTGCTGAAGTCAGAAAGCCCAGCGGTCTTTCCCCACCCCACCACTTTCTAGCGCAGTGATCCAGAGCCTCTGTCAAGGATCTTGAACTGCCTTCACCTCACTGAGCCTCAGGTTATCCCTCTGTAAAATGGGAGTCGCAGTCCTGATCTTTTCAGGCTCACCTGAGAGAGCAAACACATACACAAAGTCCTGAGCCCACTCTAACTGCTTGATAAATAAGATTTTGAAGGACCCCACAGACACATACCGGCCATGCCTCAACGCCTCTTCGATGCTGAGAAGCAGATGTTGTGTGATGCCGCTGTAGAATTGGGGAAACTGAGTCACCAGCCAGGAAGTGCCTGGGCTCAGGCTTCAGCCTGAGTCACAGCCCTAGTGCTGGGAAATCTCCTAGCAGCCACCTCTGGACATGCTTTGTGCCTCTGTCTACGAGCATCCTCTCCTCCCGGCCCCTCTCACTCCCTGGCCCACCAGCCAGGGGGATGCTGGCCAGAGCCCACCACAGCCTGGGCAGGCTTCATCCCTAGAATGAAGCACAAAGTAGGAGCTTACTACGCATCTGATGAGTGGGTGATGCTCTGAGATACACATTTTTAATCCTGCTTTACAGGTGGGGGATTTGGAGGGGCGTGGTGATTTGCCCAAGGCCAAACAGCTATGCTGGGGAAGGACCCTGAGCTTGGTGCCCATGGTGGCCACCAGAGAAAGCTCTGGGTGTCTGAACTCCCTCTGGGCCGGCTGTCCAGGGTCACTCTCCCAGATCAGACCTGGGATCAAAGGTGGCTCAGCAGGAAGCCCTTCCCATCCCACTTCCCCAGAACTAGGACAAGCTTTGACGTCAACACGTCCACATTCCTGCCCTGCAGCCCTGGGGCTGGGGCACTGAATTTCCTCCCTCCAGCGCTGGCATCACAAACAGGAAGCTGGGTCATGTGTGCAGGGCCAGGCCAAAGGCCTCGGGAGAAGGAGGAGGGGGCTAGTGTCCAATCCGGGCGTCAGTTCCCTTCCTGGGGCACCCAGGAGTGGGGATTGGAGGGAGTCCTGTAACACTGTGCCCACGGAGCCATGCTGTTCCTAAAGCTGCCTATAGAGGGCCTTCACAGACTGCTCTCCTCAGCTGGCTCCCACCAACTGGGGCCAATCTCACCGATTGACAGTAACAGCTATCAGGGATGGGGCCCTTCCGCCATGGACTTTACATGAGGTCTCTCATCTGATGCTCGTGAACACTACTCCCCTTATCTTCCTTTGACAGATGAGGCCACTGAGGCATTGGCAGGTTATGTCTGTTGTACAAAGTCCTGCAGCCGTGGGGATGGGGCAGGGTAGGAATTTGGACCCAGGCGGTCTGGCCCAGAGCTGGTGCCAGGAGCCCACCAGGGACAGCCTTCTCATCAGCTCAGACCCTCAGGTGCAATGTTGGAACATGCAAATCTGATTATCTTGCCTGCCTGGGATAATGCCTTTGCCCCAGGGACAAAATCTGTGCTCTGAGGATGGCATTCATTGCCAGTGATCTGCGGCTGGTCCCACCCCCAAGACCCATTTCCTGCTCTGAATGTCCCAAGCCACCTCCGATTCTCTAAACCACTCTCATTTTCTTTTTTTTCATAATGACCGTCTTCTATTCGGGAGCAGTCCAAGGATCAAAGGAGGGACAGGGTTTGTATTAGGTCACAGATGTGTTAGAATTCACACCTGGCTCTGGCTGGTCCAAAACCTCCAGAGCCTGCAGTTCTCCAATGTTAGGATGCAGAGGAATGGCTGGGGACCGGTTCAGATGGCAGCTGTCCAGGCCCCCTCCGGGGGAGGCAGGGGAGGGTCCTGGGAACCTGCATGGCCAGTGCTTGCCAACCCTCTGCAGCCCTCGGGCTGTCTGTTGGGACTTGAGTGGGCACAGAAGGTGCAAGGTATCTTCTGGGGCTTTTCCACCTGGTGGGCCCTGCCCACCCAGGGGGCTCTGGGCAGCCTGGGACACTGGCCTCACCTCTCCCATGGAGCAGCCTCACCTCTCACTCCCCTCCCTCAGGGTCCCGCCTCACTGTCCTCACAGTTGTGTTGCCCAGGCCCGAGAAAGGGCTGGTGCAGACCAGAGGTTCTCATACTTGACTGCACATCAGAATGTTCTGGAGTGCTTTTAGCCACAGGTTGCTGGGCTCAATCCCAGAGTCTCTAAATCAGGAGGTCTGGGTGGACAGGAGCTGCTGCTGCTCCAGGTACCACACTGTGAGAACCACTCATGTGGAGGCAGCTAGATGCAGGGGTGGCCAGTAGGCAGGCAAGGGGTGGGAAGGCATCACCAAGCTCCACTGGGTACAGCTGTGCCTCAGTTTCCCCAAGTGCAGACATGGAGAACAGCAATGCCTACCTACCTATGGGAGTTGCCAGGATTGTAGGCATGTGAGAGTAGGGGACCAGTATTTGTTTTTCTTTCCCACTTAGAAGTCCCCTTTCAGGCTGGCTCCATCCACGAATGTTTGCTGTGCAAACACATCCCTTCCTACCTCAGGCCCTTGGGCTCAGTTCCTACCGGGCAGCAAGGATTTCTGCCATCCCCCTGAGAGGCAGGGTGTCTGCTGGTCACAGCTGAGAAGCTGCCGGGGAAGGAGTCAAACCAGGCCTTAGTCTTTATTTGTCCACAGTGTTTTTCAGGGAGGCCACGGCGCCCACCCACTGGGCACCCGGCCCCTTCCCCTTGCTGGGGAACCCCCCTGGAGTCCACGCATCAGGCGGGCCATTTCCCGGGTTTTGGCGCCCTCTGGCGGTCAGCGAACGAAGGAACAAAGGCGAGGAAGGCAGAGAGCCTGACCCCAGGGCTTTGCAGCCCCCCATCTGCGGGGATGCATTCATTTCTTTATTCACCCATCCATTCCACAAACATTCAGTGCCACTGGGATAGGCACCGGGGACCACAATGGACGAAGCTAGACACGATGGCTGCTCTGGCCACATTCATAGTCCATCAGGAAACATATTCACGCGCCTGCACAGATGTATTAATACAGCCTTTGTTAGAAATGCGTGGAGGAAAAATTCAGGGTGCATGAAAGCATATACCCGAGGGACTGCCCGGTGGCCCAGGCAGCCAAGGACCCTGGGGGAGAGGGTTGATTGGAAGTTATGAGCAGGGGATGGGGCGAGGTTTCCTAGAGCACACAGCATGTGCAAAGGCCCTGGGCAGGGAGGAAGTCTGGTGAGTGTGAAAGCCAGAGACGCTGGATGGGAGGAGGCAGCTGTGGAACAATGTCTGGGAGGCCAGCAGGCCTGATTTCACAAGGCCTTCTCAGCCTCAGTGAGAAGATTCATTTATCTTCTTGGCACATCGGAGTGATGCCTGGTTAAGGGGGTGGTCTCTGGCTCCAGGCTGCCTGGGTTTGAGTCCTGTTTTTGCTTTGGTCAGCTGGGTGACCTTGGGCAAGTTGCTTAAGCTCTCTGTGCCTGCTTTCTCGCTTGGGTAATGGAGTGGTAACAGAGGTCCCTTCATAGGGCTTCTGTAACAATTCCATGAATCTGCACAAGCAACATGCCTGGAACAGTGCAGGTTCTTGGCAGTGCTCAGTGAGGGCTGGCAGATTTGTTATTGGTTTTTTTGTTTTTGTTTGTTTGTTTTTGAGACAGAGTCTCCCTCTGTTGCCCAGGCTGGAGTGCAGTGGCACGATCTTGGCTCACTGCAACCTCCACCTCCTGGGTTCAGTAATTCTCCTGCCTCAGCCTCCCGAGTAGCTGAGACTACAGACGTGCACCACCATGCAGGGCTAGTTTTGTATTTTTAGTAGAGACGAGGTTTCACAATGTTGGCCAGGCTGGTCTCGAACTCCTGACCTCAGGTGATCTATCTGTCTCAGCCTCCCAAAGTGCTGGGATTACAGGTGTGAGACACCACACCTGGCCGATTTGTTGTTGCTGTTATTTTTATTGGAGGGTTCTGAGCTGGGGGTGACAGGGTGAGAATCCTGGTGGCAGGAGGACTCCAGCCTCTGCATGAGACAGCTTAAAGCCGCATGGGAGCAGGGAGATCTGTTAGGGGGCTGCTGCAGCCCTCCTGAGGGGAGATGGAGGCCTTGTGGACAAGGATTCTGGTGGGCAGTAGAGAGCACATTCCAGATATAATTAGGAGGTAAAACCAGTGGCGCTTGGCTGATGGATTGAATGTGGGGGGATTAGGGAGAGACAGAGTCCAATGCAACTCCACAAACCAGGACTTCTCACCTGGAGAGAACGTGAGATGAGGACCAGGGTGTTGTTATTTGATTGATTGACAGATTGAGTAATTGATTGATGGGTGGAGGTACTGGGATTGAGGGTGGGTTTGCAGTTCCTAGGTGGTGGCTTGGAGGAGCTGTCCAGTGGCTGCAGGGTACAGTGCTCTGGAGAGTGGCCCAAGGGAGAAAGGGATTCTGGACTCAGCTGGGTTATTAAAGCTGCAAGGGGCCGGGCGCAGTGGCTCACACCTGTAATCCTAGCACGTTGGGAAGCCGAGGTGGGCGGATCACGAGGTCAGGAGTTCAAGACCAGCCTGACCAATATGGTGAAACCCCATCTCTACTAAAAATAAAATAAAAAAAAATTAGCCGGGCATGGTGGTGCGCGCCTGTAGTCCCAGCTACTCGGAGGCTGAGGCAGGAGAATTGCTTAAACCTGGGAGGTGGAGGTTGCAGTGAGCCAAGATCATGCCACTGCACTCCAGCCTGGGTGACAGAGCAAGGCTCCGTCTCAAAAAAAAAAAAAAAAAAAAACTACAGGGGAGGATGCCACTGTAAGAAAGAGTGTGCAGGTGGAGGAGGCAAGGGCTGATCCTGATCCCACCTGTGATGGCTGCTTAGATAAGGATGGGCCAGAAAGGACCCCGAAAAGTAGATTTTAAGACAAACATTACTAAGGGTAGAGACATTTCATAAGGGTAAAAATTGTAGTATACTACGAAGCTATAACAATTCTAAGTGTTTATGTTCTTAATGCCATAACTGCAAAATATATAAAGTAAAAGTCGACAGAACTAAAGGAGACATATTCAATCCACAGTCACAGGGGAGGACTTTTAACACAGCTGAAGCAGACGACAAATTTAAAAAAACAGATTTCAACCACATGATAAACAAACTTGACCTAATTCATGTATTTCAAACACCACACTCCACAATGTCAAAATATCCATTGTTCTCAAGTACACACAGAGCATTCGTGAAGATTTACCATGTGCCAGGGCAAAAACAAATTTCAAAAGATCAAACTAATACAGAGTATATTATCCAAACATTGTAGAATTATGTTAGGAACCAAAAGCCAAAAGATAATTAGAAAATCCCCAACTACTTAGAAATTAAGCAATGCAATTCTAAATAATCTGGGTCAAAAAAGAACTCAATGGAAAAGAGAAAATATTAATATTTGGAACTAAATAAAAATGGAAATAAAAACTAAATAAAAATGGAAATACAACATATAAAAAGGTATGAGATAGATGTATTAGATTACAGATTAGATTACAGATTAGATCACGGATTGGAAAGGAAGGAGGGTTGAAATAAAATTACCGAATATCTATGAGCCTGTGGGGGGTTTCATTATTTTAAAGACTGACCTATTTCTTTTTCTTTCTTTCTTTCTTTTTTTTTTCTTTTTTTAGACAGAGTCCCGCTCTGTCACCCAGGCTGGAGTGCAGTGGTGCGATCTCAGCTCGCTGCAACCTCTGCCTCCCAGGTTCAAGTGATTCTCCTGCCTCAGCTTCCTGAGTAGCTAGGATTACACGCATGTGCCACCACACCCGGTTAATTTTTTTGTATTTTTAGTAGAGACAGGGTTTCACCATGTTGGCCAGGCTGGTCTCGAACTCCTGACCTTGAGTGATCCACGTGCTTCAGCCTCCCAAAGTGTTGGGATTATAGGCGCAAGCCACTGTGCCCAGCCAGTCTGACCTACTTCTGATTTCCCCTTATTTCTAGGGAATTTCCCTTTGGGAGGGATCTCAACTGAAAATCCGGGGTGTTCAGGCGTTCCCCTCAGCCTGTGGCCAGTCCCGAAATCTGCATTTTGTCCTCATGAGACCCGTGGAAGCTCTGCTCGTCTTAGGCTTGCCACTGCTACTTGCTGCTGGGTCGCTGTTTCTGAACAGGCAGCTGCTCTCAGGGAAAGGCAGCCTCAAACACTGGCCCCGCAAGTCCTGTCTGCCTGGGTACTTCACTAATGTCTTTACCTAAATCAAAACGTATTTCATCCAAGGGCTGGGCATGGTGCCTCATGCCTGTAATCCCAGCACTTTGGGAGGCTGAGGCGAAAGGATCACTTGAGGTCAAGAATTTGAGACCAGCCTGACCAACATGGTGAAACCTCGTGTCTACTAAACATAACAAAAATTAGCTGGACGTGGCCGGGCGCGGTGGCTCACGCCTGTAATCCCAACACTTTGAGAGGCCGAGGCGGGCAGATCACGAGGTCAGGAAATCGAGACCATCCTGGCTAACACGGTGAAACCCCCGTCTCTACTAAAAATACAAAAAATTAGCCGGACATGGGGGCGGACGCCTGTAGTCCCAGCTACTCAGGAGGCTGAGGCAGGAGAATCGCTTGAATCCGGGAGGCGGAGCTTGCAGTGAGCCCAGATCACACCACTGCACTCCAGCTTGGGTGACAGAACAAGACTCCGTCTCAAAAATAAAAAATATATGTATATATTTCGTCCAGGTTCTCTAGTTGTTCTAAGTGGGAGGATTGATCTGAAACGAGTTAGTCCCCCGCCCACCACGAAGGAGACATCTTCATGTAGTCAGCGTCCTGCCACACGGGAAGTAGCTAATATAGAAAACAATAAAAGTTTACAAGGAATCAAAAAGAACACTTGAAAAAATAACGGAGATAGCTATTATGTATCTGGAGAGGAGAATTTAATATTTGAAAGACATAAATTCTCAGTAATTACCTTAGGATGTTTATGCGATTTAAATATAAAGAATAATAGGATTTGGGGAATAGGAAAATGCACAATTTCCCCATTGGAATAGAAAGTCAAATAATAAACTGGGAGGAATATTTTTAACATATATGACCAACAAAGATTTTCGTTTTTACCAACGCTCTTACTAACCAGGAAGACTCTGCTTCAAAATCAGCAAAAGACAAGGAAAGGCAATTCACAGGAAGATAGCCAATACTCAAATAATAAAATGTATATGCTTGTTAATAATCAAATAACAGTATTTTGCAAGAGCAATGAGACGCCATGTATCTAAAGTATCTAACTGATCAGAGATAAAAAATAAATAATACCCAGAATTGGTGAGATTGAAGAGAAGTGGATATGCTCACGTTGCTGGCTTACTTGTAAATTGTCTCAGTCCTCTGGGAGAGCGTTTTGGCAGCATAGGTTTATCATCTTAGACCTCTGCATAGTTTTAACCTAACAATTTCCATTCAAGGAATTTATCCTGTAGAAGCAATTGTGGGATGAGCCAAAAGATAGCTTTGGGACCCGTGTGACAGTGATGTTGGTAATTGATCATTTCTGCACACAATGAGAATGTGTGTTATATTAATAGGGGAATGCTGAATAAATTATGCAATACCCAATCAATGGAATACCATGTAAGTCTTTTTTTTTTTTCTTTTGAGACAGGGTCTCCTCGTTCTGTCGCCCAGGCTGGAGTGCAGTGGTTGCCGTCATGGCTCACTGCGGCCTTGACCTCCTGGGCTCAGGAGATCCTCCCACCTCAGCCTCCTGAGTAGATGGGACTACAGGCGTGAGCCGTTGCACCTGGCTGCAATCTTAAAATTAATGACGAGGACCTACAGCAGCAATCCAGAAAATGCCAATAACTCAGATGAAAGGAACTCTGAGGAGTAGCTGCCCCAGAGCCGCCACTCAGCTGGGGAGGCCTCGGAGTACACAGGAGTGGAGGTGGTGACAGCCCTCCCTGAGGCCCCTGACCACCCCAGCCCACCTGTCAGCCTTCATGGCCTTCCAGCAGCTTCTGGATTTCGCCCCCGCACTGCCCTGTACCACCCGCTAGCCATCCCCATCCTATCCATCTCTCTCTCTCTCTCTCTCTCCTCTTTCTCTCTCTTGCAGACACACCCACTCACATCCACACTCATCCACACTGACACTCACCCACCCACACATTCACACACACATTCACCCTCACACTCTCACACACCTACATTCATACACTAACACTGTTACTCACACCCCCCACACTCACATACACACTTGCAGTCACTTGCATACGCACGAACATTCCCACACCCTCAGCTCACGCACACTCACACATACCGCCACATCCTCATCCCCATGCTCACGCACATTTGCCCTCAGGCACTCACCCCACTCCCAGCCCACACTCCCCTCCCTGTGCAACCTGTCCCCTCTGAGTTCAGCAGGCCTTCATGCCCCACTCCTCTGAGCAGCATCTCCATCCCCTCCTCCGCCTAAAATGGGCTGTCCCCAGGACGCGGTGCCCTGGGTGTCTCAGGTGGAAGAAGTTTCCCCACACTGGGGCCCTGGGAGCTGGAGCGGATGTGCGGATTCTGGGCTCCTTCCTCTCCTTTGGGAGTTGTAGACATCTGGCTGTGCTGCTCTTTCCCAAGTCACTGGTGCCATCTGCCGGCCCCCAGGAGACCTCGTGCCTCTGCCCCGTCCCTGTATTTACAGAAGACTTGAGCTCACTGGGTGGGTGGGGGGATTTTAACCCACATGGGAGTGACCCACCCAAGTCCCCAGGCCTCACAGCTTCACCCCTTCCCCACCTGCAGCCACCTGCTCCTGCCGCTCAGCCACCTGCCCCATCACATCATTCTCCACCATTCTCAGAAGGGGCTTCATTTTTGATGTGTCAAGTCTAGGTCCCAGCTCTCGGCCACCACTTCCCACCCCTCCAGGCCACTTGCTCAGGATTCCTTGATGTCCCATCCCTGGTCCTCGCCCTCCAGCCAACTGGCCTCACCCTCTTCTCACCATCCATCCTGCCTGGCAGCCGTTATTTCCTGCTTTCCCCAGCTCAGGTCCTGGGGTCTGCCACCCATGCCTTTTTGCTTCCTCCCGCCCCCTGCTGTGCCCCCTTTCCTTCCTCTTGCTTGCCTGGCAAAGCCCTGACCCTGGATAAATCCACCCTTTCCCCTCTCCAGGGCACTCTGGAGCAGCTGAGTGTTGCTGGGTAAAATCCCACCTATCACAGTCAGCTTGGCTGCTCTCACAAAATCCCACCAACTCAGGGCTTAAACAGCAGACTGTTATTTCCTACAGCTCTGGAGGCTGGAAGTCCAAGGTCAAGGCGCTGGTGACTTGGTTCCTGGTGAGGGTTCTCTCCCTGGCTTGCAGATGGCCACTTTCTTGCTGTGTCTTCACACCATGTTGGGGAGAGGAGGAGGAGGGAGAGGGAAACGGTGGGGCGGGGGGTGTGGGGGTGGAGAGAGAGAGAGCGAGCTCTCATATCTTTTCTTGTAAAGGCATTAATTCCATCACAAGGGCTCCACCATGACCTAATTGCCTCCCAAAGGCCCCAAGTCCCAGTACCATCACATTGGGAGTTTGGGCTTCAGCATACAAATTTCGGAAGGGAGGAGACAAAAATACCACTGCCAAGCTGACTGAGTTCACTTTTAATTCAGTTTTATGATTCCCAAATGGTCTCTCATTGCCCTGCCCTCCTACCATGGTTCTCTAGAAGGTTTTCTGCTCATTCCTGAGAAGATGGTTTTCCTTTGTCTGTATATTCTCAGAACCCCTTCTTCTCCCCCACTCTCAGCTGAGGCTTCCACTCATTTATCACAGAACAATAGAAGGTCTCCAGGGGCAAGTTGCATATGCCCACCACCAAACCTACCTCCTTCCTGCATCTTCTCTCTGCCTGCCATACAGCAGCAAATGTCCTTCTCCCCACCACAGCCACCACAGCTTTTGGGCCCTGGATCTCCTCCTGCTTTCTTGGAAGCCTTGCTTGTTTGGTTTTCTCTCCCTTCCACATCACCAGTGCCTTCTTCTTTAGGTGATCCTCATCAGCACACATGCTAGAGCAAGGGCCAGCAAACTATATAGTTCATGGGCCAAATCTGGCCCACCAATTGTGTTTTTAAATAAAGTTTTATTGGAACACAGTCCCACTCATTTGCTTAGGAATTGTCTGTGGCTGCTATCAAACTACAATGATGGAATTGCATAGTTGTGCCAGTAATCATACAGCTTGCAAAGCTGAAAAACTTTACCATCTATCTCTTACAGAACAAGTTTGTTGACTTTTGTGCTAGAGCAATGGTTCTTAGTTGTGATTCAGCACTGCTCATGAGGAGGGCTTTGGAAAATGGGGGATGGCTTTTATTTATCCATTATTTTATTTTACTCATTTATTTTTTTGAGACAGGATCTCACTTGGTCACCCAGGCTGGAGTGCAGTGGTGTGATCACAGCTCAATGCAGCCTCAACCTCCTGGGCTCAAGCAATCCTCCCACCTCAGCCTCGTGAGTAGCTGGGACCACAGGAGTGCACTACCACACCCAGCTAATTTTTTATTATTTTATTTTATTTTTTGAGACAGAGTCTCACTCTGTTTCCCAAGCTGAAGTAAAGTGGTGCAATCTTGACCCATTGCAACCTCCACCTCCCAGGTTCAAGAGATTCTCCTGCCTCAACCTCCCCAGAAGCTGGGATTATAGCTGTGTGCCACCACGCCTGCCTAATTTTTTTTTGTATTTTTTAGTAGAGACGGGGTTTTACCATGTTGGCCAGCCTGGTCTTGAACTCGTGACCTCAGGTGATCCACCTGCCTAGGCCTCCCGAAGTGCTGGGACTACAAGCGTGAGCCACTGTGCCCGGACTTTTTTTTTTTTTTTTTTTTTTTTTAAAGATGAGGTCTCACTATATTGCCCAGGCTGGTCTCAAACTCCTGGCCTCAAGTGATCCCACCTTGGCCTCCCAAAGTGCTGGAATTACAAGTGTGAGCCACTGAGCCTGGCCCTACAATAGCTCTTGCCAAGCTCCCAGGACCTTCCTATTGTGAATCCAAAGGCCACATCTCTGTTCCCATCACAGCACATCTTTCAGCAGTGTCTTCACTGTTGACTTCCCTCTCCTTGAGAAACTCTTCCCTCGGCTCAGGGCCACTACACTGGCCTGGTTTCCCTGTCCCCTGCACTGGCCTCTTCTCTTCAGTATCCTTTGCTGGCTGCTCTTTCTCTATGTGATCTCAGAATCTTGGGCATCCTCAAGTGCAGTCCTGAGCTCCCATATTCTCTCCATAGGTGCTCTCTCCAATGGATCTCATACCATTTGTGATTTTCGGCACCGTCAATGTGCTGTTGACCCCCATACTTGAATCTAGATCTTCCCTCCGGCTCCAGACTCATAGTCTAGCTGCCTACACAACCCCTCCCTTAAATGTCTTACAGACATCACACCACGAATGTATCCTAAACATAACGTGTGGGTTTTCCTGTAATGCTTGCTCTCCCGCTGTCCCCTGGCACCACCATCCCACACAGGTGCTCAAGTGGGAAATGTAGGGTTCATCCTTCTTCTCTGCTCCACCATTCAGCCTGCCAGCACATTCTGTAACCGCCCAAGGGATTCACCTTGCCCGCTGCCTAGACAGAGCCGATTTGTCCAGACAGGGGAATTGCAACCGAGAAAGAGTAATCCACGCAGAGCCGGCTGTGTGGGAGACTGAAGTTTTATTATTACTCAAATCAGTCTTTCTGAAAACTTGAGGATCAGAGTTTTTAAGGATAATTTGGTGGGTAGGGGGCCAGTGAATTGGGAGTGCTGATTGGTTGGCTTGGAGATAAACTCACAGGGCGTCGAAGCTGTTCACTTCTGCTGAGTCAGTTCCGGGGTGGGGGCCACATAATTGGTTGGCAGGTCCAGGTGGGGCCATTTAGTTGTTAGAAATGCAAAAACCTAAAAAGACATCTCCAAAGGCCGATCTTAGGTTCACAATAGTAATGTTACCTTCAAGAGTAATTGGGTAAGTTGCAAATCTTAGGACCTCCGGAATAATGGCTGGGAATATTTAGAATTCCAGCCCCTCTCATCTTGACTTGGTGGCTGGTGGCCTTTCATTTGTTTTACAAGAACAGTTTAGCCTTTTGGGAAGGCCTATTATATAAACTATACACTAAATTCCTTCCCAAAGCGAGTTCGGCCTATGCCAAGGAATGAACAAGGACAGTTTCACGGTTAGAAGCAAGATGGGGTCAGTTAGGTGTGGTGTCTTTCACTGTCGTAATTTTCTCAGCTATGATTTTTGCAAAGGCAGTTTCCATTCTGTTTTCTCTGCCCCCAAAATACATCCTCCCTGCTATGGTCTGAATGTTTGTATCACCCCAAAATCCATGTTTAAATTCTACCCCACTGCCCACCATGTAATGGTGTTAGGAGATGGGGCATTTGGGAGGTGATTAGGTCATGAGTATGAAGCCCGTGTGAATGGGGTTAGTGCCCTTATAAAAGAGTCCCCAGAGAGATTCCTTGCCCCTTGCACCACGTGTGGACTCAGCGAGAAGTCACCGTCTATGAGAAAGTGGCCCTCACCAGACACGGAATCTGCTGGCACCTTGATCTTAGACTTCCCAGCCTGCAGAACTATGAGAAGTAAGTACCTGCTGTGGATAAGCTGCCCAGTCTATGGTATTCTGTCATAGCAGCCCGGATGGATAAGATGCATCCTCCATCCAGTAAGGTCTATTGGCTTCACAGCCCCTGAGCACAGACCACCTCCATCTCTGTCCTGGGCCACTGCACTAGCCCAGCACATCTCTGCTTGGCCTCCCTCACCCCAAGGTCATTATCCCAGCCTTCTTCAAAGATGGGTTGAGCACCTACCATGTGCCACATGCTAGGAATAAGAAGTGAGGGGGAGAGGGCTGCCCCTGCCCTCCCTCACCCTCTCCATTGTGAGGGGGAAACTGAACTGACAAAATGTGATAAATGCTCCAAAGAATAGAAACAGAGTGGCTGGACGCAGTGGCTCATGCCTGTAATCCCAGCACTTTGGAGGCTGAGGTGGGAGGTCCGCTTGAGACCAGAAAGTCAAGGCTGCAGTGAGCCCTGTTCTTGCCACTGCACTTCAGCCTGGACAACAGAGCAAGATCCTGTCTCAAAAACAAAACAAAACAAAAGAAGCAGTGTGCTGAGATAGACAAAGGTCTCCATAGTGTGGCTACAAAGGGTCCTTCTGAGCAAGTCACATTTCAGTTGAGACTTTTATGCAGGTCAGGCAAGGCCCTGCAGGCCCTGGTAAAGAGCTTAAAGTTTGATATGAGAATCTCTGAGGGATTTTAAGCAGAGGAATGATGGAATCTGGTTTTATGTTTTAAGAAAATCCCGGCCAGGTGCGGTGGCTCACGCCTGTAATCCCAGCACTTTGGGAGACTCAGGCGGGTGGATCACCTGAGGTCAGGAGATTGAGACCAGCCTGGCCAACATAGTGAAACCCCGTCTCTACTAAAAATACACAAATACACAAATTAGCTGGGCGTGGTGGTGGGCGCCTCTAATCCCAGTTACTCCGGAGGCTGAGGCAGGAGAATTGCTTGAGCCCAGGAGGCGGAAGTTGCAATGAGCAGAGATCATGCCATCGCACTCCAGTCTGGGCGACAGAGCGAGACTCCACCTCAAAAAAAAAAAAAAAAAAGAAAGAAAGAAAAGAAAAGAAAAAAAGAAAACGAAAAATCCCTCCTGTGGCTGCGTGGACAATGAATTTGGGTGGGGTGGGGTCCAGTGGAGCGGGGAGGCACTGATGGGCCGGGCCACAGTTCTTGGCCAAGCGAATGATGCGCAGGGACAGGGCGGGGCAGGGTGGTGCCCCTGACGAAGACTGAAGTGCTGTTTCCAAGAGGCTGGGCAGGAGAAAAATAATAGCTGTCCACTTCAGGGACCAAGGCGGTGTGTCTAAAAGCGAATATTATGCAAATAAAAAGCGTAAGAAAATAAAGGACCTTCTACACCTGGGACACGTGGGGCTCAGTAAATGTTGATGAACTGAAGAGCTGTACCAGGTGTAAACTATGGAGGGTTGTGCACGCCAGGCAAATAGAAATCTCACTTCCCTTCTGATTCAGGAGGAGGTGGAGGAAGAGGCAGGAACTGTCTGCTGTGGTTTCTTGAGGATGTGGCATTTGTAAAGCTGTGATCCATGTGCCAGTGCGAGAAAAGTCCTGTGAACACAAAACCAGCAGTGTCCGTACAGCGCCGTTTCTCTACTGTAATTCCCAGTCACCATCAAGGGGACTGACGCCCTAGCTTCGTCTCCCACCTACTGTGTCTTCCAAATGCCGCAAAATCCTCCCTCCAGCCCCAGCGGGCCTGCCTCTTGCACTTCTCCCCTTCTGCCCACCCTCCCCAGAACCCTCCCAAAAAGTGGAGAGGGGAGAAGTGGAACAAACTAAGCCAGCAGGACAGAGGCAAGAAAGGCTCAGCATGCACCCAGGTGGAAGGAACGTCCCAGGCATGGCCTGACGCCGATGTCTGTAGCCGTCAGAAAACTTCCTCTTAGGATACCTTCCCCAAGTCCTGTCTTCCTCATCTGCCATGTGGTCATTTGTTTAAGTGAAGAAATATTTGTGGGGTGCCCACTACGTGCCAGGCACTGTTCTGAGCAATAGGGATGCCACAGTGAACTAGATCTTGTCCCTGTTCTTGAGGAGCTGATAGGTACTGAAGGAGACAGAGAAGAAAATGCTTACAGATTAATCCAGCCCGGTGATGTGGGGGCAGGGGTGAGGTCTGTCGGGGGAGGCTTTCTGGAGGAGGTCATATGGAAACCAAGGTTTGGATGGTGAGCAGGTAAGGAGGCATGATCCAGGCTGTGTGAGTGTGAGTGTGTGTGTGTGTGTGTGTGTTCTTGGGGTGTGGGTGGGAACCTTCCAGACTGAGGCAGACACCTGTGTGCAACAGGTGTGAGTCTCAACCCATAAACTCAGGCATGCATTTAATGAGCTTGTCTTCCCAACAACTTCATTTCTATTTTGAGACTGCATTTCACTGGGGTGCCTTCCCTTTCACTCAAGGTCATGGCCAAGTTCCAGAGGTATAGTGCCAAGGCGTTGATGGGGAGTAGGAGCAGAACACTATTCTGCCTGCTCCCCTGGCAGCCCAGGCTGCTCCGAGAGCATCAGTTATGCAGTAAATCCGGAGTCCTTCCTGTTTGCTTTCTGCCCTGAGGCCTCTTTCCATTGAGTAGGGAGGGAGGGAAAGATTCTAGGTAAGCGGGGTGGGGTGGTGGGGCGGGGAGCGGGGGGCGGGAAATGCGAGGGGTCAAGGAGACTCAGTTAACACTTAGAACCATGAGCAATCCTTCTGTAGAGGCGGCTCGAGCTGGCTGGGGCACTACAAAGGGGCAGGGCGGCTGTGGGAGCTGTGGAGGAGTAAGGCGGGAGGCAGGAGGAGCCGTAGGAACAGACGTGACAGAGCTTGGGTGTCCTGCCACGGAGGCTGAACCTGGTTCTGACTCCCAAGGTGACTGTGAACACCGAGCCACACATCCCAAAGCAGCCCCGGCATTCCGTAGAGAAGGGCTGGGCCCTTTACACCCTCATTTATCCAGGAAGGAGGGGTGGGCCCTTCTCATTTACCCATGAAGGAGGGGTGGGCGGAGCCTGGCAGCTGTCGCTTCTCTCTACAGCAGGGGTGGGCTCTTTAAGGTCTTTAAGCTCTTTAAGGGGTGGGAGTCTCATAACTTCACTGGAGCCAGAGCATGCCGAGAGAGGCAAACTCTTGGCGGTTTGGGGTTATTCTCCACCGGTTCCTGGAGATCCGAGGGTAGCAAGTGCCAATGGCTGTGCTGGGGTCACAGAGCTTACAGAGCTCCTATCTTATCCACACCCAGGGCATGGCGCCTTCTTCCCTGGCAGACAAGTAGGGAATGGTAAGCGGTCCTTGGAAATTCTCTTGTGATTTAATTTGACTTAACTTCTTAGCATTAGTAGGTCAATTTTGCAATTTATTAGGCAAACCACACCCCTGGGGAGAGGCTTAGCAGCTGAGAGCGTGTTTTCTATTTTATGTGAGGGAGGAAAGGAAAGCCAAAAGAATTATTTAAAAAGAAATATTCAAAAGCAATCCTCAAGGTGGAGTTCAGCATCCTCTCCAAACCAGCTTCTTCTATACCTTTTGTTGTTACTGTGGTTATTGGCCTGATGGGCCACCCAAGCTGGAATAAGCTGCCCCTGGGCCTTCGCTGTGCTCTTCCATCTGCCTGGCAATCTTCCTTCCTCTTCTCCACCTGGAGGCTATCACGCGCCCCCTTCAAAATGCTCCTCCAAGTTTCCTCTTCCTGGACACCTCCCCTGACCCTCTCAGGTTAGTCAGGGCTCCCACGATGTCCTGGTTTTACCCTCGCCAGAACACTGGCCATTCTGTTGTAACATCTGCTTCCATTTCTGGCCCTGGCCCCTGGCAATGAGGATGGTGAGAGCAGAGATTTGTCGTGTTAGATTGATTTGCTAATTCACTGGGCTCTACTTTGTCCACTGTCTTTTATTTTTTATTTTGTGAGATGGGGTTTTGCTCTTGTTGCCCAGGCTGTAGTGCAATGGCATGATCTCAGTTCACTGCAACCTCCACCTCCCTGGTTCAGGTGATTCTCCTGCCTCAGCTTCCTCAGTAGCTGGGATTACATGTGCCCGCCACCACACCTGGCTAATTTTTGTATTTTTAATAGAGACGGGCTTTCGCCATGTTGAGCAGGCTGGTCTCGAACTCCTGACCTCAGGTGATCTGCCCACCTTGGCATCCCAAAGTGCTGGGATTACAGGCGTGAGCCCCACGGCTGGCCTGACCATTGTCTTTAGAGGACTGTCTCCTCTTGTCAGTTCTTTTTTTATGTCCTTATCCAGGCCTTTGTTGCATTAAACAATAATAACTTTTTTCTTATTATAACAATAAATGTTTCTTATAGAATTTAAAATTTTTCTTACATGTAGAGAAGCAAAAGAAGAAAATTAAACCACTTTTATTTCACCCTCATTGTACTTCCATCCAGATGACTTTTGTTAACATTTTGGTACATTCCTTCAGCCTTTTATTCCCATGACTAATTGTTCATGTATATTTTAATGTTATCATATGGTATATATGATTTTGTAGCTTTTAAATTTTTTTACTTAACAACGTATCGTTAATATTCTTCTCGTACTGAAGTTGGTCCAGGGAGATACAGTCCCAGATCTTGCTGTAAGGCTGGACCTCAAGCTGGGAGAATATGACTCTGGGCACGCCAGGGCTACCGTGTGCAGAGGCAGTGAGAGAGGAGGATGGTGCTATCATCATTCGCAACCCATTTAGTCCAACAGCTTTCAGCACCCCACAGCCAGTAAATACTTTGCACTGAGACTGATACAGGCCAGTTGTGCTGGGTTTCTGCTACTCCTGCTTGAAAGGCGGAACCTACAGAGGTTTCCAATCTACAGAGCTTGTCACAAACCCAGAGCAAACTTCTCTCTTTTTTTTTTTTTGAGACAGAATCTGGCTGTGTTGCCCAGGCTGGAGTGCAATGGTGCAATCTCGGCTCCCTGAAACCTCTGCCTCCTGGATTCAAGCGATTCTCCTGCCTCAGCCTCCTGAGTAGCTGGGATTACAGGCGCCCGTCACCACGCCCGGCTAATTTTTGTATTTTTGGTAGAGACGGGGTTTCATCATTTTGGCCAGGCTGGTCTCGAACTCCTGACCTCAAGTTATCCACCTACCTCGGCCTCCAGAAGTGCAGACGTGAGCCACCGTGCCCTGCCCCAGAGCAAACTTCTTTTGAACCAGCTGGGGCATAAATATCTCAAGCACTGGGGAGGCACTTTTTTTTTTTTGATGGCCAAAGGTGCAGTTTTAGCTGCATTGTCATTTCTGTCTATCTTTGAGGGTTTAAAAATATTGCATTTTCCTCCCCTACTTGTTTTATTCTAATGTGCCCGGCACAGGGTCAGACGTGCGGGTTAAACGGAGCGGGTCAGGTCAGTAGGACCGGAGTAAAGAAACGTCGTGTCCATGTGCCATCCTCCCAGCATTGCAGGGGCGGGGAGATCCTTTCCCAGCCCCAGCCCCAGCCCACCACACCCTCAGCTCCAGTCCACCCCCAAACGCAGACTTGACCCCAGACCCAGACTCAATGTCACCCTGACGTGCC
Source organism: Homo sapiens (assembly GCF_000001405.40). Classification (NCBI taxonomy): domain Eukaryota; kingdom Metazoa; phylum Chordata; class Mammalia; order Primates; family Hominidae; genus Homo; species Homo sapiens. The sequence goes on along the minus strand of NC_000005.10, from coordinate 172,697,865 downwards.
TCCTCAAGGTTACCCAGATCCACAAGGCCATTTGCAGGAGTCTGGCTTCCCGGTCGTTGCGGCTTCTGCAGGATGCGCTCGGGGGGATGGTAGGGGGTGTAAATCTGTCCAGCACCTGGACCTTGACCAATGTCTTTCTGCTCAGGTCTTTGCCACTTCTCACCGTGGCCACTAGAGAGCGACAGTGCTCCATCTTCTAGAAAGAAACCGTCCAATCCCCGCGCCTTCTGCCGAGGAGCCTGGCGAGCCACCTCCCTGAACTTCAGGACTTTCAGTTTCACTCCCTTATGGTGAGGGCGCGGAAAGGGAAGCCCGAGGGGACGGGGCCCTTACCCAGGATCACTCCCAGCCCAGGCCGTTTCATTGCCCTTTGCCTGTCCGTCCATCCTTTCCTGGGAGGCCAAGGGGAGCTTGCCCTGTGGGAGGAAGCCTGCTCAGGAGCGCCAGCCAGCAGGGTCGTGTGAACCTCTTGGAGAAAGGCTGGTTTGTTGCAGAAGGCAAATGTCTCTTGGGACCTTTGCCCCCACCCTGGAGGGCTCCTCCAGCACGGGGCCCATCAGCTTCTGCGTTTGGGCAGCTCCTTTCTGCAGGGAGTGCTCAGGAGGAGCTTCTGCCTGCCAAGGGCTGTCCAGCATCTAAGGTCCAGCTCGGGTAGTACCTTGCGGGAGGCTCCCCCAAGCCGGGTCTGTATTCATAACACCTCCAGATGAAATAACTCCAGGGTGGAAAGATAGCAAGGTCAGCCGGGAGGGATGGCCCTGGAGTAGGTTCTAGACAGCCCTGGGACCACCTGTCAGAGGGACAGAGGCAGAAGGGAGTCTGCCATTGCTCAGAGTCATGTAGGGAACTCTTTTTGTGCTGATCAGGGGTGGGGTGGCACCAGAAAAAGGAGACGGAGTCAGCGTGGGAAACTGCGGGCAGATGGGGAAGCCAGAGAGGGTTCCTGGGAACATCCTGGTGTTTCTTTCCTGGGGTGGCCGTGGCAATCTCTCAGAGCCCCATCTCCATCCCTCTGAGGTGGGGTGGTTGTCCCTGGGGAACCCAAAGTGGGCTTGGGCCAGCGTTGAGGCTGGGGGGGCCAGCGTGGCTGCAGGCAGCTCCCCGCTCAGCTCAGTTGGGGAAGGCTTGGTGCTTCCCACGCCCCTCCTGGAATGCGGGGCTGCTCCTGGGAGTTGAGCAAAAGTGTGGCTTTCCCCTTGGAGTCTGAGGTCGGTCAGCCTCCCAGGCCTGGGGCCAGCGCTCTTGACTGGGAACCAAGACAAGCAAGGGGCGGGGGCCTGGGCCAGCCCCGAGGCCTGGCACGACCCCACCAGCAGATCACCACTCCGGTTCATTCTTTGTGGAAGGGAGGTGTGCTAATGCCAGAAATTCCACGCTGGGTGTGGGTGAGGGGTGTACACACTAAGACTCTCCTGTTTGGTAGACCCTGTGTTGGGAGCCGGGGATGCGCCGCGTCACCTGCAGATGCTGCTGACAGTGTCGCAGGGCAGGCTCACTGAGGTGGCACGGGAGGCCCAGGAGGTTGTAGGAGGATGGAGGCAGCCCCTGGCCCAGATGGGACAGGGGAGGGCATGGGCGAGGGGTAGCTGGTGTAGCAGGGTCTAGAATACTCCTAAAAAACATTTAGCACCTGCTATATGCCAGCCACTTTCTGACACAATTTGACACCCCTCTTCCTTCGAAGCTGCAGAAACTGAGGTTCAGAGAGGGTATGTAACTTGCCCAAGATCCCACAGCACAGGCAGGCCTGTCCCCTCAGCTGGAGGGAACTCACCCACCACACTAGACCCCATCACACTGGAAACCCCAGCTCAGAGCTAAGATGCCAGGATGCAGCCTCCTAAGGGCTGAGGGAGGGTGTGGTCTTACAGGGCCCACGTAGGGGCCACGAGGGGGAGGCTCAGAAGGGGGCATCCCCATCGTGCAGCTACAGGGGGCACATTCACGTAAAGTTTGGTATGTGAGAGGCACCCTTAGGAAGCCCAGTGGGGAGGGCAGGTCCTCTGCTGGCTGGGGCAGAGCATGGATGTGAACTCAGTTAGGCCGGCCCAGCCCTCCTAAGCAGGCCCACATGCTCCTGAAAGGATGGCCAAGGTCTTCGCTGGCCAGTCGGAGAGTCAGGAGAGTCAGGCTGTCTGTCTGGGGAGAAGGGTTTAGACCTGGGAAGGCCCAAGCTGAGAGGGGAGGAGGCTGACGAAAGGGGATCAGGCTGCCTGAGGCATTTCGTTTTGATGCATCTCCTCCCCAACACACCCCACTGCTGGGCTTCTGGAAGCTTCTCCATAGGTGTATTTAACAGCCAAGGTCGGGGTTCTGTTCCCATAGCTCGATGCCTGGAATAATCGTGTTTTCCACATCCCTGTGTGGGAGCTTCCAAGAGCTGGGAGATCAGAGCCTGAAGGGAAAAGCAAATATTCCCTGTCCCTGGAATTGAACGGATAGGCATTGTGTGAGTCAGGACACAGCTGATGTTCTTCTAGAAAAAGCCCTTCGAGGTGCTGAATCTGGCTGTTTTTTTCTTGTCCTTTTCTTCTTACTCTCCTTCCTCCTTTCCCTCCCCCTCCTCCTGACAATGTACCCACAGACATGCTGTGATGTGGTGGAAAGAGCCAGGCCTGGTTCAAATCCTGGCCCCACAGCTCCTAAGCAGTGTGATGTGGGGCAGCCCCTTCCCCTCCCTGTAAAATGGGACCGTAATACAATGGGTGGCTGGTGGGAGTCTGTGAAATCACAGCTGCAAATGTTCTAGGCCCATTTGCACTTGGGAACCAGGGGGTCTAGGTCCAAGGACATAATTACAAACAGAAAGCGAAGAAACTTTTTGTCTTTGAGAGGCCATATAAAGTAGGAGAAAGTTACTGATTCCTTCTCAGTCTTGGCTTCTTGCCTGTAAAATGAAGGTAATGATGGAGCCACTTCAGAGAACTGTTGTGAGGATTTACTGATGTCATGGATGTCCTTTGCACACACTAAGTGCTTATTAAATGATCTGGTATTATTATCTTTCTGGAGGATTTCTTGTCCTGCAGGAACTCAGGGAATGAGAAAAAGGGATTTGCATGCACAATAGTGAACCCCCACCGCACCAGGCTAGGTGCACCGCAGGTGGCAGGGGCTGGTGAGGGCCAGCGCACGGGCTGTGTGCACTGCAGCATGGGAGGAGGAATTGGATGTGCCAGGGAACATGGCTCAGGTGTTGGTAAGAACACACAGGGCCAGGAGAAAGAAGGATGCCTAACTGCATCGCTAAATGATCCCGAGCCCTCGTGGCCTGAATTGGATCGTTCCCACAGCTTCAGAAGTGCACTGGTCTAAACATGTCTGTTTAGGGGTCTGCCTTCCCCTCCAGATTGGTTGGTTCTTGAGGGTAAGGGCCATACCATACCTAGTTTTGTATCAGGTGTGGGCATGTGACAGGTTCAGGGATTGAGCTTTTGATCCAAGGAGTCAAAGGAGAGACAGCACTGGGACTTTTCCCGAAACTTTTTTAAAGGGTCACTAAACTGGCATGATATGAGTCACTGGAGGTTGTTCTGGTTGCTGCAAAGGGAGAGTCTGCCTGAGAGTGCCATCAGCTCAGAGGAAGGCAGAACTGAGAGACAGAGGCAGAGGCCTGACAACATCATGTGAATACCCGGATCTAGCTGTTCCTGAAGCTAGACTGATCTGTTCTGGGCGTGAGTCAGTACATTCTGCCCGCTCTTTTTTTTTTTTTTCTTAAATTGGGTTTCAGTCTCTTACAATGCAGTGGGCCTAGATTAATATGACCTTTTTTTCTTTTCTTTTTTGAGATAGAGTTTTGCTCTTGTTGCCCAGGCTGGAGTACAGTGGCACGATCTCAGCTTACTGCAACCTCCGCCTCCTGGGTTCAAGCCATTCTCCTGCCTCAGCCTCCTGAGTAGCTGGGATTACAGGTGCACACCACCACACCTGGCTAATTTTTTGTATTTTTAGTAGAGACGAGGTTTCACCATGTGGTCCAGGCTGGTCTCGAACTCCTGACCTCAGGTGATCCACCCGCTTTGGCCTCCAAAGTGCTGGGATTACAGGCTTGAGCCACCACGCCTGGCCCTACCTTTTTTTCTTTATTCAAAAAAGTTTTGATTATCAGATAGCGTCTGTGAAAATGTTGCCTGGTCCAGTAGAAGGACATAGCGTTGTGGGAAGGAAATCTGGAAGGGGAGAAAGGATCCTGGGTTTTGGACAGACTCGGCCCCTCACTAAGACTTTGGTAAAGGGGTGCGAAATGTGTCTCTGAAAGATTTTGCCTTGACTCTGGAGCAGGCCCACCTGGGGGCCAATCCTACTTTGACTTTGGCCTCCTTGCCTGTAAAATGAGAACACTATTGTGAAGATCCATTGTGAGAATGTGTGAGAACCATGGTTTGTGCTGCTTGATAAATGCTGGTTTCTCTTATCCCATTGCTTCCTAAAACTCAGTGTCACCAAGCCAGGCTCTTCTAACCATCCAGAAGGAGCAGGCCTGGGCAGCTCCCTCTCCTTGTTCACCCCATTCCCCTACTCCCAGCTCCCACTCCTGCTACCACTGCCATGTTCCACCCCAGAAATTTGGGCCCCAAAACCTAGCCTGGAGGAAGCCCAACCAAACTGGTCAGCCTGGCCTGGCCTCTGCTAGAAACGTACAGGTCCTTATCTCCACCGGACTAAATTTGGATCTTAAACTCACAGACAATCAGCCTGGGAATTCCTGACAAATTCCAGCAAGGGCCAGCTGTTCTCTTTGGCTTTTGCAGAGTAGGGAGATCATTTTTTCCAAGTAACAAGTTTAAATGAAAAGTCATACTTGCTCATTATAGAAAATTTGGGAAATTTGGGAAATTTTCTATAATGAGCAAGTATGAGAAAAAGGCACCAATAAGGCCATCACTCAGACACAGCCCTCATGGACATTTCACTCCTTTCTTTCTGGTCTTTCCAATGCATGGGTAGGTTTTTGGGCTGTTGGTGTTTTTGTTTTTTTTTTCATCTGTGAGATCACGGTGTATGTGCAATTTTATATCTTGATTTTTTTTTTAACCACACTTTAACATAAACCCGTTCCTGTGTTACAAACTAACAATTGTTGCTTGGTGCTGGGTGCCAGATGCTGTGCCTGGCACATCACTGGTATGATCTCAATAACATTTACACCCATCCTAAAATCAGGAACTATTATTGTTCTTGCTTTGAAGATGAGGAAGCTGAAGCACAAGGACGTTAAGCATCTTCCCCAATGTCTTGGTGAGGCCTTGGCAGTCTGGCTTCATGCTCATGCCATTAGCCCCATATGTATCGGTATCATGGTTTCCCGTTCCCTACACAGAGGCCTGTTGTTTTTGCCCACGCTGCATTCTTCTTCTTCTTTTTTTTTTTTTTTTTTTTTTTTAGACAGAGTCTCGCCCTGTCACCCAGGCTAGAGTACAATGGTGCGATCTCGGCTCACTGCAACCTCCACCTCTCAGGTTCAAGTGACTCTCCTGCCTTAGCCTCCTGAGTAGCTGGGATTACAGGTGCACGCCACCACGCCCAGCTAATTTTTTATATCTTGAGTAGACGCGGTTTCATGATGTTGGCCAGGATGGTCTTGAACTCTTGACCTCATGATCTGCCCACCTTGGGCATGCATTCTTTAGGACTCATTTTCTCTGGAGATTGCGATTCCCCACTTTCAGCCCAGAGTTCAGACAGGGCAGCTATTGGGTGCAGGTGAGCACCCATCCTGGGTCTGACCAATCAGAGCCCCGTATCTCCCTGTCCTGTGACTGGTTCAGGAGCGGACACGTGATCTGAGCTGCTCCGTGCAGGGAATGCTCAAAGGCAGGATGCTGGTGGCCCTGCAGGAGGCATCTTGAGAACCTGCCTGGGAATGGGGCCAGATCACAGGGCTGAGCGAGAGGGGAGAGGCTAGTCCTGATGCAGCATTTCAGACCCTGGTTCTACCTGCACGTAGAGTGAGTTCTGCTACTGGACTTTTCAGTTCCCTAGTTCTTTATCCCCCTAAAACCTATCCGAGTTGGGTTTCTGTCACTTGTAACCAAGTCTTGGTGAATACACCCTGGTTGTTGGACATGAGGGTTGCTCACAGCTTTTTACCACTCTAGAAAATGCTGCAGTGAATATCTTTACACATAGATCTCATCCTTGATTAGAATGATTTCCTTGTGATTTTCACAGAAGTGAGTTATTTGGCAAAGGCATCAAACATTGTCGGGGTTCTATAGCCATTTTGCAACTTATTTCCTCAAGACTGGCAATGATTTGGATCCTCACCTTCACTCCCCATCAGTGTATGTAAGTGGGATTTTAAAAATTGAGTTCTGAAGACTTTTTTTTTTTTAACAAGCCAAAGTTGTATTTTTTTAAACAGGAAAATTATGTCAATATAAAACAGATAAAAAGACAAAAATCAAAACACACAACACAGAAAAGCACAACACTCAAGACCAGTGCAAACCCTTCCCAACCCACTTCCCAGGTTTTAAAACCTTGATTACAGATCCCCAAGGATTAGACTGTATCGGAGAGGTCACAGTATTGAATCAGAAAAAGAAGACATGTTTTAAAAGGTCTGTACACAGGTAGTGGTGTGTGGGGTGGGGGATGTACACTTCATCACTCCAACATCAAAAAACATGATGCAAAAAGGATTTCAGCGATGACCACAGATTTCTAGAACCCTACCACGTATGCTAGCCCCCCTCCCCATCCACTTTTAAAAGTTGCTTTTAAAAAGGATAAAAAGTGCACAGACACTTTCGTAAGGCACAGACAGATTGTCACACAAGTCGTTTCATTAGGGACTCGGATAAGACAGCGAGACAGTTAAATACCGAGAAATGCCAGGAGGCCGCATGTTCCTGAGCCGGTGCCCCCTGCCAGGACTGGGGCAGGCGCAGGGCCGAGCAATGGGAGGTTATTGCCTCTGCCTCAACTGGACGGACTCACCGGGGTTCTCCTGGGCCTTGGCGACTGATTTCCAGGGCCTGAAAGCAGCAATTAGCCAACCTCCTCACTGTGTCTCCCTGGCAGGACCTGAGGGTGATCACCAACCGGCGGGGCCTCTGGGGGTTCTACTTAACGCCGTTTTGGCAGCAGCTCACTGACTGCAATGTGCCCAGCATTTCCAATGAAGAGGAGGTTCTGTGAAGCGCACAGCAGGTTCTGGTCAAGAAGGCAGCCTTTGGGCACCCACCTCAACAGACCCAAGGCAGCGGATGGCCAAGAGAGCCCAGTGGATTCTGCCCCAAATATCTCATTTCCCTCTTAGTGTCACCTCTGCCAGCATCACAGCTGGGGCACAGTCCTCTCTGCTCTATCCTCACAGCACCTCACACGTACTAGGTACTCAGCAAATGTTTCTGGAGTATCTTTGTGTGCGTTATGTGGTGCTGTTTTATCAAACCCCTGAACACTCATAATCTGATTTCTGGTTTACTCAGCAAACCTCTACTGAGTAACTACTACGTGCTGGCACAGGACCAGCACCGGGGGTCAGAGAAAAGTTCACCCTGTGTCCTGAACACAGTCCATGCTGATTAGTGGCATCGAGGGACTGGAAACGTGGTGCTGCCGTGAGGGGAGCAGCTCCATCCCAGGGGACTCCCCGTTCTGAGAACCTGCTAGGACAAGGAGCTGGATTTGCTTTGCAAACAGCCCAGTTTTTCAGGAGTCTCCGAATGAATGGGCACAAGACCATGAACAACGGGGTGTTTTCAGGTGTCCCCTGTCCTCGCCCTGGAGCCCTGGCTGCTGTGGCCCAGAAGAGCACACCATGGGCAGTGAGCCTGGAACAGCCGAGGGCTGGGTCACGTGAGGGGGTGCTCAGGGGGCTGGGGCCCCGCTTGAGGGGGTGGTGATCACGGGGCCTAGGAAGGTGGTGGGACAAGGCCCCAGGTCCCTTCCTAACTGTGGACACCCCTGAATAACAAGAGAGGGCCCTTGGGTTGGAGTCCAGATCTCTCAGACCTCAGCTCTGCCAGGAGAATGCGGGCAGTGAGCAGATGAGCCTGGAAGGGAGGCCGCTTCTCCTCCCAGGGTGTGGGCAGCGGAGGGGCCTGGCTGGGGCTGGAACCCTCCACATAGGCACAGGTGCCCGGACTCTCTCCAGGTGAGTTTCAAGGGAGAAAACTCACAGTCTCGAGCTTCCTGGGACTTGGAGCCAGGCAGTGGGAGTGTGGGATGTGGCAGCAGACACTCCCGGGTTTGAATCCCAGCCCTGCCATCTCCTGTTGTGTGATCATGAGGTCACTTCACTCACAGGACCTCAGTTTCCTTACCTGCCAAGTGGGATAACACCAGCTTTCATAGATTGTAAGTAGCACAGTTTTTTTTTCACACGTGAACATCTCTGATTGGAAGGAACTGTACAGTTGTAGCATCTTAGTTAAGATTGGCAGCGTTTTTCCCTATGGTATGTAAAACAGTGTTTTATGACCAGCAGTGTCTTTGATGTGACTTATTATGGCAATAAGACCTGCCGCACAGGATTCACGCAGGAAGGTGCCTCTCTAGCCCAGTGCCAAGGCACGCTGTAGGTGCAAAATAAAGTACAGTGGCTCCTTTTCCTCTTTCTCTTGTCCCCTTCTCAAGACAGAACATAGTGGGGACGTGTGCATCTCCTCTGTAGCACTGAGTAACGCTCAGAGCATCAGGAAACGTCTGGTTTTTAGAAGATAAACACTTCCTTACCTCCTCTTGGAAACAGGGAGGCTATTTATAGCAGCTGCAGAGCAGGTTGAACGGGCCACTGACTCGCTTCTTCCCAGGTCACAGGTGGCCAGGAGATGCCTGGTCCACCTCTGGGTCCAGGCCTCAGTCACTGGTTTCCCAGTGGAGGCTGGACGTGACCCCGGCTGGAACCCAAAGGGGCAGCCAGGAAGGGCAGGAGAGTGGAGCTGCTTTCCCCCAGGCCACTGAGACCCCACAGCTTGTGGCTGGGTCGCAGTGTAGACAGGAGACGGTTGTCTGCAGCACCACAGGCCTGGGGTGAGGAGTCCTCCCATGCAGGGCCTGTGCGTGGCCCCGCCCACACCCAGCACATGCAGGAAACCAAATTCAGCCAGGCACCCAGGGCTGCTGGATTCTCAAACTCTTATCTTGGCAAACACTGTGGTTCCAAAAGCTGCTCAAAAGATTCTGCTGCAAAATTAAAATGTGGGAATTTCCCCAGATTTTCTAGGGAAAAGTAAATAATCAGGGATTCTTGATGGGGCAAGAGAGTGGGGACCTTAAGTTGGAATCAGGTCAGACAACTGTGATTACTCCCAGCTAGAGGAGGAACAGGAGGCCCCAAACCACCAGCAGCGCATGGGCACCAGCTGGTCTGTGGGGCTTGATCTGGTGAAGGCCTGGCCCAGCTTTGCTCTGGGCACCCAGACACCCAGCAGTGTTTGTTATATGAATGCATCAACTCCCCTGCCTTCCTCTCCCTCCTTCCCTCCTTCAGCAGGACATGAACAGATTAGGAATTGTACTCCAAATGATACTTGCTTTTTGTAAGGCGTCTCAGGCTTTTTAGAACGTTGTACTGGTCCTCCCAAGAACTCCTGGAGTTGTCAGGTTCTAGACTTCTAATTGGGAACTGAAAAATAGACAGGCCAAGGGACTTCCCTAATGGGACAGCACAGAAGAGGGCAGAGGTGGAGCCCAGAACTGGGGGCAAGAAGGGAGGGACAGGCCTGGGCCAGCCCATCAGCCCAGATGTGATCTGGGAGTCTGCAGAGATGGGCACGGCTGAGGGGGTGGGGCAGGGTCAAGGTCCCAGGAAATACCAGCAGGTAGGTCTGGGAAGGGAGAGAATCCCAGTGCCAGCATTTTTCGTTACTGTCTCGATCATTAGTTAACATACTTATCAGTGAACACTTTAGTAACCAGCGGAGGAAGATACACTGAGAATCAGAACAAAGACCAAAAGTTATAACCAAAGTTATAAAGCCCTCGTTCCTCCTCCTGCCAGCAGGTCCCCTGGGAATGCCAGGCCCAGGGGCCACCACAGGAAGGTAGAGAGCTGTCTGCATCGTGGAGTGGGCTTTCCAGCTCCAGGTGGGTCACCTGCCTCTAGGATTCTTTCTCTCCCACAGAAAAACAGAACTTACTGCTGGTCTTCTCCTTGGAGATAGGGAAGGGCATTACAGAGACTTGCCTCCAGAGACGGAGACAAGGTATGATGTGTGTATTATTAGACAGTCTGGGGGTGAAGGGGTGAAAAGATGACACAATCCAGAGGGGTTGGCCTCGGTGCCCATCACACCCAGCTCTAAGACCCAGTAAGAAATGAAGAAGTGAATTGTTCTTCACCCACCTTCCCCTCAAGGAGTTCATGCTTTGGAGCTGTAAACAATGAGTTATTTTTGCCTCCCCTTAGAAAATCTGAGCATCTCTTTTCTACACCACCCCAGGGAGTTCTGTGAGGGTCAGCTTCATACATTCAAAACCAGCTTATGTCCCATCCCCAGAAAGTGAACAACTTCTAGTCATGCCAATGTCGGGGCTCCGGATTGCACGTCTCCTCCCGGAGCCGGGACCCCTGGTAAAATCGCTACACGTTCATTCTCTCTCTCTCTCTCTCACACACACATTCTCTCTGTTCTCCCTCCCTCCCCTCCCCTTCTCTCACACTCAACCCAACCCCAGCAAGAAGCATTGCACAGACAGAGGACGCTGTTTCCCAGTTGAAAGGTCACCAAGGGACAGGGTGATCTGCCAGGCAGTTCCTGAGCTTGCTCTTGGGACGGCCTTTTGGGGGCAAAGCACTTTGGAGCCAGAAGCAACCCCTGCCTGGGCTGAGGCCCTGTGGGCCTCGCTCCACGACTGTCACACCTTGCCCACCACTGGAGAGATGGCCGCTGCCCGTGGACTCCCTGGCAGCCATGTGGTTGCCCAGCCCAGGGGGCCTTCAGAAAGGTGACCTTGCACCGGCCAAGGCCCGTGGGCAGGCTAGGCTATGGCCTGTAGATCTTAATGACGTCCTTGATGGGCCGCCGGCAGATGGGGCAGCAGGCCCGGGCCTGTCGCTTGAGCCGCAGGCCGCAGCTGTGGCACAGGCACATGTGTCCACACGTGTAGATGACCGTGTCCACCTCGCCATCGAAGCACACCGTGCACTCGCCATTCTTGATGCCTGCCGGCTCCGGTGGGGAGAACACGGGGGACACCGGGGGGCTCAGCGGGGAGCTGGGGGCCGTCACTGCCGAAAGGGAGAAGAGGACATATGTTAACAATGTCTCTCTCAGGTGGGCTCTGTTGGGGCAACCCCGAGAATGCAGGGCTTCTTGCTGGGACCGGTGGGAGAATACTTTTGGGAGATACTAATTTGAGTTTACCTTGCAGGTTTTGCACCTTTCTCTACTCTTCTACTCCCAAACACCAAGATAAAATGCCACCATCGTCACCCTTTGGAATGCCCTATCTAGACACTTCTCCTCCCTCCAGCTGAGCATACAGCTGAGGGAAGGAGAGGATGCGGGGGAAAGGCGGCCACCCTGCTCAGTCCCTGGAAGGCCACTGGCACAGCCGGAGGAGCCAGGCCAGCCGCCAGCCCCTGCCCCTGCCAGGGTTTGCATTTCCTTACCCAGGGATGACTCAGATGCCGAGGAGGACTGGTTGACACTGAAGGTCATATCTGAATCACTATCGTCCTGGGAGCCGCTGAGGGACCCTGATGGAGTCGTGGTCGCAGGGCTGGACTGCAGGGTACCTGAGGCCCAAAGAGATTCCATCAGGGGCAGTGGAAGGTTGGACCTGCCCTGCTAGTCCATGGTTCTTCACTGCTTTGCACCTTAGCTTTCCCGTCTAACGAGAGGACCAGAGGTATCTCCCAGGGTTCTGCTGAGGAGTGAAGAGTGCATCCCAGTGTGGTGCCTCTGTTCTTTGTCTACCAGGCCTCTATTCTCTTCTCTTTCAGAAACAGCCCTGGGATGTTCTTTTGGGATACTAATGTGCCCTCCCTCATAGGATAAGGGCCAGGCCAACAGGAACTTCCACTCTCTGGTCTCAATAGTGGTGGTTCAGGAAAGGGCACATAACCCCCGTAAGGCCCGAGACCCAATTCTGCAACTTTTACTGGAACTACTAGGAAAGAAGGAACTCATTCCATTCATTGGGAAGGAAGCCTGGAGCTGGAAGAGCCAACCCGTGGCAAAGGCCTGCCTGAGAGTGATGCCAACACAGAGGCAAGCAGAGCTTTGAGTTGGAAAGAGAGGTAGGATCCTGCTGATATCCTTCCAGTACCTAGATCCAGCTATTCCTGAACTCACCCAATATACTCCCAGACATTTCCTTTTTTGCTTAGGGCACTTTGAGTGGGGTTTTGCCCCTTGCGAGAAGATCCCTGACTACTAGTGCTCAACATGGATGAGTTTTCTTCCCCAAGCTTGCTGTTGGTTCAGACAATAACAGCTTGTTTCTTAGGATGAAAAGATGCCCCTTCCCTTGCCCTACCTGAGGATGAATGGACAGATAATGGGCACTTCGTCTCGGGCTGAAATGATGACTATGTCTGATGGTTCCTCAAAAACACAAAACAACACAACTTCCCCCTCCCCAAAAAACACTCTGACCAAATAACCACACTGCCACCCGGCTCCTCCTCTGCCCTCATGAAGACAGCAACAGCTGCTGTTGTTACTGTTACCACTGATTAAACCAGTGTCAGGCCCCGCTCAAGGCATTATATGCACATGATTTCATCCTCATGACAACCCCATGAAGCAGGTATCACTCTCTTTCTACAGAAGGAAACAGGCTCAGGAGAATCTGTGATTTGTCCAGCATCTTCAAAGCTGACCAGCGATGTGACCCTGGGATAGTCATTTAATCTCTCTGTGCTCATTATCTTATCTGTAGGTGGGGATAATGATACTGATTTCAATAGAGTCAAAGGGAGGATAAAATTCAATGAGGGAACATATGAGCTGTTGACTGCTTCTTATTGCTTGGACTCTACTTTTTGAGCCATGAAGTTGGAGCCAGGCTCTCTGGGAAGCCTTCTCTGAACATCTCCTTCACTCCACCAAGCTGGGAGAGGAGCCCCCGGCTGTAGCAAATGTCACACCGTGCAACTCTCCTTTAGGGTGTCTGTGAGCTCCTAACCGGCATGGAGTGTGTCCTGTCCTCTGCTGGCCCTATCCTGGTGCCCAGGGCCCGGCCCACAGCTGGTGGCTGCTCCTGCCTATTTGTGGCATGAATGAAGGCAAAAATTATCTCAAAATAGGATGGTTCAGGCCTCCATTCCACTTTCTGTGGACGATACTATTCTTATTTCCTCTTTCATGTGCAGTCGAATTTATTTTTTCCCTACACTTACTGTGCATTACATGTTAAAAACACCCTAATGTAACAAATCGTAACAACGGAACTAAAAATCGCACCGACCATTTACCGAGGGGATATAGCCTGCCAAGCTCGGAGATAAGCCGGTTACCTATCTAGGTCGGTGGTTTACAAAATGTGGTCCAGAGAGCCGCAACGTCAGCATCTCCGGGCACTTGTCGGAAATGCACGTTCTCGGGGCGCACCGTGCACCCACTGAATCCGGAACTCTGGGGTGGAGTCCGGCAATTTTGGACGGGGTGGATCGTGCCCGGGCGCTTAAAGTTGGGAACCGCGGGCTGGCCTCGGGCGGTGCAGCGCCTAGCGAGAGGGGCGGGGCCGGGGAAGAGCGCAGCGGGGTGAGACGGCACGGGACGGGGGAGGGGCGGGGCCTCGCGCACGCGGGGCCGGGGACTCACCGAGGAGACGCAGCTGGCCCGCGACGCCGCCGCGCACGGCGAAGAAGGCCCAGAGCGCCTGCGTGGTGTCGACGCACAGCAGGCGGCCGCGCGGACGCCCGTTGATGCCCAGGAGCACGTCGCCGCCGGGCCGCAGCGTGAAGCTGAGCGCGTCGCCGCCGCTCGGCACGGGCCCGGCGCGCGCCACCACCCAGTACTCTTTGCGGTCGAGCAGCGCGTCTGGGTCGGCGGGCAGCTCGTTGGGCCGTAGCACGCCCGGGTCGCACGACGTGATGCCGAAGGCCAGCGCGCCGGGCGCCGCCAGCCCCGGACGGCCCACCTCCACGAAGAGGCTCTCGCCGGGCCGCAGCGGGCGCTCGGAGAAGACCAGCGTGCGGCCGCCGTCGGGCCGCGGTGCGCAGGCCACTTTGCGGTCGGCCGACAGGCTCACGTCGGGCCCGCGTGTTGCGTGGAAGCGCAGGTCGGCCTCCAGTAGCGCCGGCGACGACGCGGGCCGCGGGCGCTCACGGGGCCCGCACGGAATGGCGGCGGCCGCGGCGTCGGCTGGCGGTGGGCCCGGGGCGCGGCCCAGCGCCAGGTGGCCCAGCTTGGCCACCACCTGGTTGTTCTCGAGCTCGTTGTTGTCGAAGTTGGCCGCGTCGTGGCTGCTGGGCGGCAGGCAGGCGCTGAAGCGGGCCTGGCTGAGGCGCGCGGGCGTCAGCGTGTCAGCGAAGGCGCTCTCTGTGCGGACAAAGGGAGGGACATGGAGGGGGAGAGGCCGCGCGTCAGGCTGGTCGCGAGCCCCTCCTCGCCCGCTGCCTCCTGCAGGCCTCCACGACCGACCCGGGCCTCGAGCAGCCCCCACCCCACCCCGGCTTCGAACTCTCCTTTTGTCCATCTGTGTTATTTAGTGAGTCACAGGAGCACAGAATTGCATTAAGCACCATCCTCGGTTTCCTTGACATGCTCTTACCTTTGGGAGCGGCAGATAAGGCCCTTTTTCCCCTGCCTCCTCCTTTCTCTTCTTCCATCCCTCCTTTTCTCTCCACCCTTTCCCCTTCTCTCCCTCTTTCCGAGGTTTCCATACTTTGATCATTAAAAGGGCATCTAAAAATCGTTTATTGTCCGTCTCCCCAACTAGAACATAAGCTCCAATAAAAAGAGCAAACCTGTACTCGTGGCCTTACGCAACGGGCACTTCTAAGCTTTCGCGCGCTACCTCATTTAATTTACACAACCACTCTGTGAGGCATGTACGGTTACTGCCTGCTATTGAGCTCACAGGGAAACTGAGGCACAGAGGGGTTGGGGAACATGACCAAGGGCACATGGCTACTAAGTGGCAAAGCCCCGACTTGAACCCATGAGTTGAACCCAGGCTGTCTGGCTCTAGAGTCTGGGCTCTTCAACACATGCTGCCTCTGAAAGAAGGGAGGACCTGGGTCTGTCCTCACTGCTGTGTTCACAGCACAGAGCACAGTGCCTGGCCCTGGATAGGTGTTTAAGCATTGACAGAAAAAAGTCTACGGGAGATTGAGTCAGTTGATAAAACTAAATGAAGGGAAAAGAAATTTTTTTTTTTTGAGATAGAGTTCCGCTCTTGTCACCCAGGCTGGAGTGCAATGGCGCGATCTCGGCTCACTGCAACCTCTGCCTCCTGGGTTCAAGTGATTCTCCTGCCTCAGCCTCCCGAGTAGCTGGGATTACAGGTGCCTGCCACCACTCCCGGCTTAATTTTTGTATTTTTAGTAGAGACGGAGCTTTGCCATGTTGGCCAGGCTGGTCCTGAACTCCTGACCTCAAGTGATCTGCCCACCTTGGCCTCCCAAAGTGCTGGGATTATAGGCGTGAGTCAGCACGCCCGGCCGAAGGGAAAGTTCTTTAAAAGTTACAGTTATGAAAATATTTTAAAGTACTTTTTAGTGATTTGAAAAAATGTTCTTCATATGACATAGGTAAAAAAGCAAAAATAGTGTTTATCATTTGGGTAATACAGGTATTCGTACTTTAGTAGATTACCTGTTTATTTTCTGCCTCCCTAGCTGGAATATGAGTCTCTTGAGGGCAGGGTCTGTGTCAGTCTGGTCACCACCATGTTCTCAGGGCTTGGCAAATAGCCTTCACTATTAATAGTTTATTGGATGAATGAAGGAACGACTAAGGTCTAGAAGAGACTGCTATGCTAAATAACAACAACATCAGGAAAGAGTCATTAAAATATTGTGAAGGTGTTTTTTAGTGATACAAACATTTTTGTTTACCATAATAGGAAAATAAGTGTTTTAGACTTTTTAAACAGACCACTTTGAGCCAAGATTTTGTTAAATGTTACCATTCTATAGTGTCTTGAAAAATATTTCCTCTTTAGTTTTCCAAATATGAAATGAAATCATAAGAATGCACATGCTTTTTCGAATTATGCCCCAGGCCCCGGTGGGTCCAAATGCACCCCCTCAGACACCTTTCACTTAAACTGGATTTATAGCACTTGGGAAACCAGTAAATCTGGCAGTAGGACCTGAATTCTGCCCTGGCCACAATGGGCTAAAGAAGCTTGCCCTTGTATTGAGGTGGTTTGATCTCTCTTGATGTGCCTGAGGTGGCCCTCTTCAAGGTCTCAGCAAAAGGGGTCAGCTACTTGTTTGGACTCTGGGCATCTGAGTGTGTATGCTTTGCCTTAGCGAGGGTGCTTCCCATAGCTCGAGGGAAGAAGTGGGGTTTCAGTTTGTTTCTTTAAAAAAGTACATATGTGTGCATTTGTCTACATCTGTCTGTATCATTTTATTTATGTGCATAGGAAATCAAGTGATGGAGAGACAAAATATTAATAGTAATTATCTCTTGGGGTGAGATCATGAAGGACTTTTCTTTAGATTTTTCTGTATTATCTAGTTTTCCTTCAATAAACTTGTATGCTACTGATATGGTTTGGATTTGTGTCCACCCAAATCTCATGTCAAATTGTAATCCCTAGTGTTGGAGGTGATTGGATCATAGGAGTGGACTTCCCCTTTGCTCTTCTCATGATAGCGAGTTCTCACGAGATCTGGTTGTTGAGAAGTGTAGCACCTCCCCCACTTCACACTCTTCCTCCCTCTCTGGCCGAGTAAGCTGTGCCTACTTCCCCTTCACCTTCTGCCATGATTGTAAGTTTCCTAAGGCTTCCCCAGCCGTGCTTCCTGTACAGCCTGCGGAACCAAGAGCTAATTAAACCTCTTTCTTTTACAAATTATCCAGTCTCAGGTGGTTCTTTATAGCAGTTCAAGAACAGACTAATACAGCTACAAATTTTTATGGGAAAAAATATTTTTAAAAATTGAGTTTTCAATTAATATTTAATAATATGGGAAAATACCTATGATATAACATCAAATGAACAAAACATTCAAAACTGAACACATGGTTTGATTCTACTTTTGTGGAAAATGTGTGCATAGGATTCATAGGAAAAATATAGAAATACATTAAAATGTGAGTGGTTATCTCTGGGTAGAAATTTGCTTCTTATAGTTTTCTAGTTTTCTCTTTTTCTCTAATGAACATAAATTGATTTTTATAATCAGAAAAAAGGCATATAAATAAAGGTAGAATAAAACAAGCACTTTTTTTGAAAAGGCATTTTAGACAAGTACGTGTTTCTGGAAGTGTCGGTGCAATGCACTTTTCCCAGGCTCCCTGCCCCACTCACAGTCGCCCGCCCCTAAAGGCGCTGGCCTTACTTGCCCTGCTCCTTCCCCCCCGCCAACTCTCCTCCTCTTGTCCCCCAGCGGCTCCACACAGGAGCCCATCAGTGCAGCATCCTTATTAAGAGCATGGCCTATGGAGACAGGCGGACTTAGATTCAAGTCCTGGCTTTGGCTTTTACTGGCTATGTGACCTCAGGTATGCCATTTCACCTCCCAGAGCCTCAGCTCCCTCAGCATAACATAGAGTGATAGAGTGATAGTGGTAAACACCCCCATGTTATGGAAATTACTGTCATGAAGAGTAATACAGAGCATGGCACTAAGTGCTCAAAACATTAATTATGATCATAAAAACGTATAGAGCACTCACTGTGGGCCCAGCGCTGCTGTGTGCTGGGTGAACAGAGGTGAACACACAGGCGTGGCTCCTGTGCTTATGGAATTCCCTTTCAAGTGGGAGATAAAGGCTCTACGAAGCCATCTTACAGAAAACTGGGCCAAGTGCCACCAAGAGCCTCTGTCCTATGTGGGGAAGTGTCAGTGGGGGAACTCTGAGGCTCCAAGAGGTCACACAGCTGGGGAGTGACAGAGCTGGGATTCTCTGAGGGTGTATAAAGGGGGACTAAGGCCAGAAAAGGCCTCCCTGACTGATCAACAGGCTGCGACCTGGAGATAAGGGATCTGTGGCCGGGCAGGTTCTCCAGGCACAGAGAACAGCACATGTGAAGGCACTGAGGTGCTGGAAGCTTGGCGTGTCTACAAGGCTGGGTTATAATGAATGTGACATTGTGCTGGGTACCTGGCACACGGCAGCCCCTCAGAAAAGGTTGCATGGCCTCACTTATTCTTTGTGGAAGGAGCTTTGTTCCTCTTGGGCATGGGCCCTGATTGAGACAGGCCCAAGACAGCACAGCGCCAGCCTAGGCCAGACACTTCAGAATGCATTGCTCAAAGGGGCATTTCTTCTAAGGAGAACCAGTCGGCTATAGGCAGAAATCCAGCAACATCAAGAGGCACCGAGGGAGCGTGTCGAGACTGCCCAGCTTCTACCGGTGGCTGAAACAAGTACACACATAACCACGTTCTCGAGCGCCTGCTAGACGCAGCTCCATACCCTGATGGTCCCCTTTGGTCCTCACCACTATCTTATGTGGCTCTGTAAAATGGGCACATTTCACAGTGGGAGAACACTGAGGCGCTGAGAGGTGGAGTGAGTTACTGAAGGTCACATAGCCTGGGGGTGACAGACAGGATTCCAGCCCAGGCTTTGACTCCAGAGCAAGGCCCCTGGCTAGCAATACTGCCTCCCAATGCTGCTGTTGTCGTTCAGCTCTGAGAGCAGCCCAGCACCGGGACTTGGCCTCCGGCCAAAGTTGGAGTTTCAGTCTCCACGGGCCTAATGTCCCCGCCTCCCTGCCATGAATAGCCACTGAGTACCAACACACTGCAGCAGTCCCCAGTCAGGTACGAGGAGGCTGGGACAGGCCCCTGACCTCCCACTCTCCCAAGCCACTTCCAGGGCCTAGCTCTTCCCTTTTTCCCCTCCCCTTTCTCTCTTAGGTCCAATATATCTGGGCTGGAAGTAAAGCAAAATGTATGTCTCAAATGAAACCATCTTGGTGTAGACACGAAAATGAAGGCAGGGACAACTGGGGACAGAGAAACATATCCATCAATCACCACTCTGTGGGACTGACTCGGGCCATGTACTAGAGGCAGAAATGACAGGACTCACTGACAGAATGGATCCAAGGCAAGGAAAAGAGGAATCGAGAATGACACCGGGTTACTGGCCAACCAAGGGGGTGGTGTCACTTACTGCCAATGGCCAACCAAGGGGGTGGTGTCACTTACTGCCAATGGCCAACCAAGGGGGTGGTGTCACTTACTGCCAATGGCCAACCAAGGGGGTGGTGTCACTTACTGCCAATGGCCAACCAAGGGGGTGGTGCTACTTATTGCCAATGGGGCTGGCTGAGGAGCAGGAGGTGGGGGATTCAAGAGTTGTGTCCGAGCATGTTCAGTGTGGGATGCCCCTCAGATGTAGGAGGAGAGGCTGGATAGGTGGTGGGAGGCCTGGGGTTCAAGGGAGGTGTCAGGGCTGGGAAGATGGGTTTGGGAGTCAACAGTCTAGATGTGAAGCCCAATGATGGGCTCAGATAACTTGGAGAAAGAGGGCAGACAGACACAGGCTTGTTTTATGACAATCTGTTGAATGCTACAGTTGTTCTTAGATGCCTTCCTATATGCATATTGTATTACACAATTTAAGAAAGTAAAAAGGAAAGAGTGGGCCCAGGATAGAACCATGGGGCTTTCAACATAGGGAGGACAGGTAGGGCGAGGGGTGGCCAGGAAAGCAGGAGGAACGGCGGGAGCTCGGGAAGGCCCAGGAGCCACAAGCAGCAACATTCACACAGCCGGGAGAGGTCACCTGGGCTGAAAGCGAGGGGCCCGGTAGTGGGCCCAGGATGTAGGCTCAGGGTCTGACAGGCTGAAGGTCAGTGATGGGCAGGGACTCACGCCTCAGGGCACAGCTTAAGAGGGAAAAGGAGAGGGTGGCATAACCAGCACTTAAGAAAGACCTGCCCTGAGGGAGGGAGGGCAGAGAGACAGGACTGTGGCTGGTGAGGGGGCTGATGGAGGGTGTTTTGAAAAGACGGACGCCACCGGGGCTCTTCTGTGTGCTCATGGGGGTGATTCCGTGGAGGCGGAGGAAGTAGACAAATGACAGGAACCATGTCTATGAGCAGGCAGGAGGGGACAGGAGCAGAGCTCCTTATCCACGGCCACGGGGGGAAGGCCGAGGGGGTGGGCACCAAGGGAGAGGGCTTGAGGTTCTAGGAAAAAAGATGGCAAACACTGGCCTTGGTGTGCTGGGGCATGACCTGGGTCTGTGCGCCACTGACCTCGTGCTTTTCCAGATGCCCTTCTGCCAACCAGAGAAGGCTGGACTGCAGACACAGGCCTCGGTTGGACCCTGGCCAATTCTGGCTGTGACCTCAGTTTCCCCACTTGCAAAGTGGGGACCCTCATCCCATCTTAGTGGCCTGTGGGGAAGATTAAAGAGGGCAGAACAGTGGGATCACGATGCACCCAGCTCCGTGCCTGCATAGAACAGGCCTTCAGAAGCCCTTGGTGGGACAGGCTGGCGGCCATGCAGCGGCGGTCTCGCTCCAGACTGAGAAAGGACAACCCTTCAGGACACCCTGCCATGCAAATGATTTACGCTGGGGTGAGGAGGTGGGTGCTGGCCTGGTCTGTTTGGAAAAAAGAACATTAACCGCAAAGCTAATGACTCCGCGTGGCTCCCACTGGGGCTCTGCCTGAAGCCAGCAGCACAGCAGCATTCCTCCCGGCCCAAGGTGTGCTTACAGGCCCCTCACCGAGACAGCCCCTGGGTCCACACCTCCCTCCCCCACCGTGGCCACTGACCAGCTGGGAGACCTTGGGCAAGTCCCTGCCTTTCTCTGGGCCTCAGTTTCCTCTCCTGCAGCCTGGAATGGTGCGCTCAGACCTCCGAACCCTGCATTTAACTCCATAAGTTCAGGTCTTTATCACACACTTTGTTTATAACAATAATGAACAAACTCTGACTTTAGGACCACCAACAGTTATGCAACCTTGGCCAAGTTCTCTATCCACGTGGAGTTTGCAAATGAGTTTCCTGCCTCACAGGATTCTTGTAAGGAACAGAAGACATGACCCACATCAAGCTCTCAGCATTGTGCCTGGCACAGAGTAAGTGCCTAGTAACTATCTTTAACAAGGGATCTCAGTGCTTCCAAGCTGGGCAAATGACACCTTTCCAAGGCCCATGCAGGACTGTTGTTTCTGGCTGCCTGGCATCCACTCCCCTTCTCCTGGTAACAGCACCCAGCTTTTCTTTGGAGGGAACTGCCCCACCCCCACCTCCCATTGCCTCAGGAGTCAGGAGGGGGGCCTTAACCTGGCCAATCACTTCATCCTATGCCCCTGGCCATGGAGATGGGTTCAAGGATAGGCATGTGACCCAGGCCAGATCCATGAGGCTACATCTAGAGATGACAGGCAGACTTCTAGGAAAGCAGCTCTTCTGTTGGATTTGTTAAGCTCGTGGGATGCAAGACTGGAAATGCTGGTGGCCTTTCCTCCACCCCAAAGGGACAGTCCAGCTGAGGATGAGGCCACCAAAGAAGATGGCAAAATGAGAAATGAAGACAGACAAGTATTCCAGGTGCAGTTCTTTGGGTCCCCGCATTGAGCCAGGCTTAAAGGCAACCATTCCCAGGAATTTTCAGCCACATGAGACATTAATGCTTCCTCTTTTTTTTTTTTTTTCCTTAAGTGAGACTGAACTGAGTTTCTGTCCCTTGCAACCAAAGATTTCTGACAATATGGTCTGCTATGCCATGACCCCCGACTGGCATTGCTTTTTCAATCTGACCAGCTTCCCACGACTGGGCAAAGGAAGGACAGCAGGGCTGACACTGACCACCCTGGAGCTGCCTAGGAAGGAGGGCAGGGCTGCCTCAAAAAAGCACAGGGCCTGGCCTGAACTCGAGGACCTCCAGAAAGGGCTTCCATAGAAAAGAGACATAAGTTGAGTATCCCTGATCTGAAAATCTGAAATGTGAAATGCTACAAACTCTGAAGTTTTTGGGCACAAAACATGAAAAAACACTAATCTAGAATCATCAACAGTGATTTTCGGATATCAGATTAGTGATGCTGAAATGTTAACTATAATACAAATATTCCAAAATCCAAAAACGTCTAAAATCTGAAATGCTTCTGGTCATAAGCATTTCCGACAAGGGATATTCCACCTGTGATAAATGCTTCCTGGAGCCACAGGGAGAAGGGAGGGAAGGGAGCGCATGGCCTGGCAGAAGCTTCCTCTCCTGGCTCCAGGAACTGCTAAATTCAGCGAAAAGTAATTTTCCTGCACTCAGTCCCTTCTCTTTGGCCCTGAGGAGCATCTCGAGAAATCTAAGCCTCTCAGGATGGACCCACTCCAGGACCCGCAAGCCCCTCCTGATCTGTACCCCAGAGACCATTAAACAAGCATAGAGCAGCCCTGAGACAATGCACCCTACAGTACTGTCTGTGTGTGTGGCTTGGGGGATTGGTCGTAATCCAGGTGTCCATCAATGGGCAGGAGCCACGAGGGAGAAAGGAACCAGATAGGCATACCACAGTACAGATAGATCCTAAAGAAGGGTGAGTGGAAAAAGAAAAACAGAATAAGGTCCTTAGCACAATACCATCCACATAAGCATATAAAACAAATCTACCTATTTTTAAAAGATACATTCGGCCAGGCATGGTGGCTCATGCCTGTAATCCCAGCACTTTTGGAGGCCGAGGCGGGCGGATCACCTGAGGTCAGGAGTTCGAGACCAACCTGACCAACAGGTACCCAGTAGAAACCCCATCTTTACTAAAAATACAAAAATTAGCCGGGCGTGGTGGCAGGCGCCTGTCATCCCAGCTACTTGGGAGGCTGAGGCAGAAGAATAGCTTAAACCTGGGAGGCAGAGGTTGCAGTGAGCCAAGATTGCGCCACAGCTCTCCAGCCTGGGCAACAGAACGAGACTCCAAAAGATACATTCATGGGATTATGAATCAGAGTGATGCCTACCTGGTCAGGAGAAGACATGAAAAGGAGTGGGGATTGGGGATGAAGCGAAAAAGTCAAAGCAAGAGACAGGGTCTACATGGCCCAATGAGTCTATCCCCTGGACAGAGGCGTCCGAAGAACTTGACTCCCAAGGTTCCCAAGCAGGGAGGGAGGAAGGAAGGGGCAATGTACACCTATGCAAAGGGAATCGTTAGCACAACCCTGGCAGCAGCTGGGGGCCCTTAAGAAATCCTAACACCTGGGTGCCACCCCCAGAGGTTCTGATTTAATTGGTCTGGGTGCAGCCTGGGAAGTGGGATTGTCAAAGCTCCCCAGGTGAGCACAATGCGAACTAAATACTGCCGCAGCAGTCTTCCAGTCCAGGCTCTGCCACTGACCGTCTTGGTGGTTCTAAGCTAGTCACTTTCCTTCTCGGGACTCTGGATTCTTTACCTAGAAAGGGCACCCCACGGTCTGGCCCCATAGATGCAGCACTCACTGCTGCAGCTGGACTCTGTGCAGGAGGATACTGGGCTGGGCTCAAAGTTCCACCAGGCAAAAAAAATATGTGAGGCCTACGAGCCCTTTTTTATTTCTGAGACTTTGGCTCGAGGGCAAATAAAACACACCCCAGCCCCACAAGATGGGGTGGATGCTTCTTAGACAAGGATTGCCAGATGAAATGCAGGATGCTCAGTTACATGTTTTTATTTAATTTAATTTTTTTTTTTTGAGATGGAGTTTTGCTCTGGCACCCAGGCTGGAGTGCAATGGTGCCATCTCGGCTCACTGCAACCTCTGCCTCCTGGGTTCAAGCGATTCTTCTGCCTCAGCCTCCCAAGTAGCTGGGATTACAGGTGCCTGCCACCGTGGCTGGTTAATTTTTTGTATTTTTAGTAGAGACAGGGTTTCACCATGTTGGCCAGGCTGGTCTCGAACTCCTGACCTCAGGTGATCCGCCTGCCTCGGCCTCCCAAAGTGCTGGGATTACAGATGTGAGCCACCGCGTGTAGCCACATTTGAATTTCTGATAAATACACTTTTTTTTTTTTTTTTTGCATAAGTACGTCCCAAACATTGCATGGGATACGCTTGTACTAAAATTTTTTCCTAATTAGCCAGGCATGAGCCTGTGGTCCTGGCTACTCGGGAGGCTGAGGCAGGAGGATTCCTTAGGCCCAGGAGGTCGAGGCTGCAGTGAGCTGTGTTCATGCCACTGCACTCCAGCCTGAGCAACAAGAGTGAAACCCTGTGTCAAAAAAACTTTTTTTTCCTTGTTTATCTGAAATTCCAATGTAACTGGGTGTCCTATATTTTTATTTGCTTGATTTGACAACCCTACCCAGATGCCACTTTTGTTTGTTGGTTTTCAGGTTTTATCCAGTGGGACCTGATTGTGGTGAGGGAGGAATGAAGAGGTCTCAGGGGTTTTCAATTCTAGAATTTACAACTGAGCAGCTCTAAAGGAACCATGTCAGCCCCTTGTTCCTTGTGATGGAAAGGAGTTCAGAGTGCTCAGGATAGCACAGAAACTGGCTGTCTCTTTATGTTTCCATTGGGTACCTTGGACACCACGTTCAGGAAGCCAAATTCTCCCAGGTATTGGGAGATTTTGGGTGGGATTTTTGATGTTCTCGTGGTGCCTCATCCTGTCCTGGAAACAGCAGGGTATTTGTCTCCTGTACTTAAACCATACAAAATCATGACTGCTTAGCTTATTTTTATTACAACATTTTTCCTGATTATAAATCACTGTTATTTTGGAAAAATAAAAAGTCACTCATAATCCCTTTACCCAGATGTATCCAATGACAACTCGCTTTTCCTCTGGGAAGAAAATAAACATTCATTGAGCCTCAATCACGTGTCAGAAACTTCCCCTCTATTATCTCATATAACCTTCAGAAAGGACAATAACCTTATTGCTCTTTCTGACTGTAAAAGCAATACAAGCTCTTTCCATATATGTATTTTTTAAAGGTGACTCAGAGATATAAGGAAGTAAAATTCACCCATTATCTCATCACCCATGGATGAAATTCCTTCTAATACCATTTTCTTCTTTTATATATGTTTGTGTTTCCTGCAGATCATATGAGGCAGATTAAAAAAAAAAGGACAGAATAATTTTGTGATCATTGTCCTGTGGCACCTGTGCCAGGTAGTTTCCATCAATAAGCACAGCTCAGGGACGACTTGTAGATAAGGGAAGCTGAGGCTCATGTCTGCCATGTCACAGTGGTGTTCCAGCAGACTCTACCTCTCCCTTCCTAGAATGTTGTAAGGAGTTCAATAAGAGTTTGCTGAATAAGGAAATAGAGTGGGGGGGGGAGAGTTCACCTCACAGATTTATGCAATCTCATTAAGTCATCAAAGGCTGCTTCCAATTTGTATTTTTAAAAATCCGAATCCACTTGAGCTGATTATGGAGTGGCTGTGATTTCTTGGCTGTTACTCAAAGACATGGGCTGCAAATGAGCAGGTGAGTGAGGTGGGATTGCTTCCCTGCTGGATAGGAAAAAAGAGCTCCAAAAAAGATGATGGGAAATCTAGGAGGTTTCAGAAACCTGCATCTCCTGGAGGTGAAATACCAAAGCCTTTCATGGAAAAGAGCATGAGGGGACATAGTTAAAACGCCCAAGTAGGCTCCAGCTTGGAGGGTGGGTAGCTCTTCACAATCTGGTCTAAGCCTGGAATTTGGACATGTGCTCCGGCTCACTTGCAAATAGGCAGAGCTTCTTATTTCTTAGCTGTTATTTCTTGAGTGCCTTCTCTGTGTCAGGAACTGTGCTGCATCCCTTTCAGACATCATCTCATGTAACCTTATCAACAATCCCATGAGGTGGGTGCTATCTTGTGCCCATTTTGCAGATGAAAAAAAATCTGAGGCACAGAAAGTTTCAGTTACCTGGCCAAGGCCACACAGCTGGCAAGTGGAGAGTCAGTTCTAGAACAGAGGTCTATGTGATCCAACACCCTGCTCTTGACCACTCAGATGTTCCACTGTCTTCCTACTTCTGTGGGTTGGGGCATAGCTTGGATGCATGAATCTTTCCTCCTTGCCCAATGGTGGGGTAATGAAGGGGATGAGGTAGAGGATCAAGAATCCCAGGCCAGGGTTTTCCCACAAAATGCAGGGCTGAAAAGCCAGAAACAGCCCAAACATGCAGATATACAAACTCTGGTAATCCAGTTCATGGGCTACTACTTAGCATACTTAGCAATAAAAAGGAACGAACTACTGATACAGGAACAATGTGGATGAATCTGAAAAATACGATGCTGAGATAAAGAAGCCAGATACCAATGGATAAATACTGTGCGATTCCACTCACATGAAGTTCAAAAACAGGCAAAACTAACCTATGGTGAAAAATCAGAACAGTGGCTACCTCTGGAGAAGAGAAGGCTTGACTCAGAAGGATCACCTCTGGGGTTACGGACAGGTGCATCAGTCTGTCAACACCTGCAAACCTTTAGATCCATGCATTTCAACACTGCACATAAGCTACACTAAGCTACACCAAGAGCTGTGTCCAGATTCCCTGACAAACCTGCTCTCCCTTTACTCCCCTAGAGGTCGAGGCTGGGCTGGTTCCGGTGCAACCTGTAGGTTCAAGAGCTAAGGTCTCAAACAGAAAGCAGATGAGTGGTTGCCGGGGCTGGAGCGAGGGGAGAACAGGGAGTGGCTGCTTAATGGGTAGGGTTTCCCTTTGGGGTGATGACATGTTTTAGAACTGGATAGAGGTGATGGCTGACAACTATATGCCACTCAGTTGTACACTTTAAAATGGTTGCTGTTCTATTATGTGAATTTTACCTCAATTTTTAAAAAAAGGTCTTGAGATACAGGTAGCAAACTTCTACTCCCATGAATTCTCACCATCAGGATTTGGGCATTAGCCGCTGCCTCCTCCGTGAGAATCGGGCTCACACCTGTCAGCCTCCCCAGCACCTCCAGCCCCTTAATGTGGGCCGGGGTTCGCCACACCTAACTCCTCTCTGCACATGCCATGGAGGTACTCCATGGGTGTTTGTGATTAGAGCCTAAGTTTGACGCTGAATGAGTGAATGAACGACTAAATGAGCAAATGGAAGCGTGTGAATGAATGGGTGAAGGAGTGAGCAAATGAATACATGTGCGAATGAGTGAATGAGTGAATGAATGAATGAGCAAATAAACTAGGAAGTGAAGGAATGAGTGAGCGAATGAATGAATGAATGAATGAGCAAATAAACTAGGAAGTGAAGGAATGAGTGAGTGAATGAACCTGGGCCAGAGCATGGGTTCAAACCATGTGGGTTCCAATCCTGGCTTTGCAGCACAAATGATTTAACCTCTCTATGCCTCAGTTTTCGCATCTGTAAAACCGGAGGGTAGGTTGTTGTGAGAAATAAATTAGTTAAAAGGCGTAAAGCGCTTAGTGCCACGCCTGGCAAAAGGAGCTCTCCATAAGTGACTGTGGCTACTAATGAAACACACACCCACGCGCAAAGGCACCGCTGCCAGGTCCCCAGGGGGCGCCGCGCCCGCGACCTACCCAGAAGCTGCACCTCGTCGGTGATGCCGTAGACATCAATGAGCGCCCAGAGCGGGCCGCCCACGGCCACGCCGCAGTGGAAGAGCACCGGCTCGCCGTCGTTCACGCTGTAGAACACGCGGCCGTGGCGGTCGGCCCAGTAGGCCAGCACCGTGTCGCGCAGCGCCAGGTTCTCGGGCAGTGCCTTGGCCCAGTAGCCCGGCCGCGTGACCAGGTCCGGGCAGGCGTACTTGGGGATGTCCTGGGCGCTCATGAGCGACGGATCGTGCGCGGTGAAGCCGAAGCGCAGCGCGCCGCTCCAGCCAGGGCGCACGGCCACCAGGCGCAGCCGCACCTGCTCGTACAGCCGGATGGGCCGCTGCGTGAACGTGACGCCATTGCAGAAGCTGTTGCGCCGTGTGGCCCGGCGCGAGTGGCCGTCCAGCCGCACGTTCTTGCCTTTGGCCTGCGCGTGGAAGCGCGGCGCCTCGCCCAGGACCGGGCGTCGCTCGGGGCCGGGGCCGCAGCACGGCCGGGTGGCCAGGAGGCGCGCCGGTGGGCTCGGGTCTGCGGAAAGACACAGGCAGCACGGTTAGGCCTCCTCCGAACTCCTGCGGGCCCCGATTGGTCTTTACTTAACAATCATTTTCATTTGAAATTCCATTTTAACAGGACTGGTTACTGATAAACTTAAGAAGGTTCCAGGCTTGACCAAAGGGAGACCGACCCTAACTGGCCCTAATCTCTTTGCCACAGCAGTCAGCATACCCGTGCCACAGATAAGCGAACCAAGGTTTAGTGTGTGTGGTGAAGCACTAGAGCTGTTTCCCTGTCAGAGGCGCCAACACCAAGAGCCCACGACAGCCAGCCAGGGGCCAAATAACTTCTCCATCCCCATCAAATCCCTCCACAGCTACAAGGACCTCGCGGGGCCACCTCTGGGCCACAGAGTCCCTCCAAAAGCAACAGAGCCCTGGATTCTTAGGGTGAGTAGTGGAGATATTTGGCTGCTTTTCTCTGTGCAAATCATCCAAATAATACCTCCCCTACTTTTATTCAAAAGCTAAGACAGGTCAGGCAATAGAAACGGCCAAGGCAGCCTGAATCCCAGCTCTGGCACTTCCTAGGTGGGAGGTATGGGGCAGACTTGTCACTTCTCTAGCTTGTCTTTTTGCCTGACATGACTCCACTCACACAGCTGCTGAAAGAGAATGTGGATGAAATCCCTGGAGTACTACCTGGCACAGCGTGTGTATGTAACAAGTCATTAATAATATGATATTATTACTGATGATATATATTACTGAGGTTCCAAAGCACATCCAAGCCAGGATTCAGGGATTCCCCTCCCCTCAGCCACAGAAAATGAAGGCATTGCTTATGAGCAACGTTGGCTTTTCCGGAACGGACACCTTTGGGGTTCATTTCTAAAGACATTCTGCTCTGAAGGACCTGGGGAATCCCGGCGTGGTCTTTCAAAGGATCTGATCACAAAGCCAGGTGGCTCAATATCAAGTGGGAGTCTTCCTCTCCCCCTGCCTTTCCTTCTCCCATCCTAGGGGCGGTTCCTGGGGGGCTCTGGGATCCTGGGAGGTGGCAGGGCGGGAGATTACTACATGAATCTCTGCTGCTCTTCGCACAGCAGCTGAGTACAATTTTCATGGCAAATTCTCAGAAACCACAGGCCGCCCAAGGCACACAATGAGAAGAATGGCGACCCCAGGAATGAAAGACCACTCCTCCCACACCCAGCCACGGGGTGCACTGTGCTCTGGGCACACCACAGAGTGGAAGTGGGGGGGTTTGATGAATCCTGAGCCTGATGGGAGCTAGGGCAGGGGAAAATGAAGAGGGAGAGGCAATGATGAGGCAAACAAGACATGGCTCCCCTTCCCAGGCCCTGGGAGAAGGAAGGCCCAGTCACGGGGGGAGGAAATCACGCCTGGAAGCTGGGAGGCTCCTCTCTAAACAGAAGCCGCTGGCCCACAGAAGACAAAATATAAGGAATAAAAAAGCCAAGGTTCCACATTAGAAAGGAACATAAGGGGTTTCAGTCATTCTTTTACTTAACACATATGAAGGGAGTGTCTAGTATGTGCCAGGCACCATGCCAGGCACTGGGAATACAGCAATCACCAAGACAGACAAGGCTGTTGCTCTGATGGAGCTGACGTTCCAGTGGGCAAAGTCAGACAATGAAAAACGTACTCTTCCTGGAGGGAAACATTACAGAGTAAAATTCAGCCAACAAGGCGGGGCAGAGAGAGGTGTTTTCTTAGGACTTTGAGGAAGGGCCTCCCTGATGAGTGGCTTTGGAGCAGAGACCTGAAGGAGGTAAGCAAATGAGCTGGGAGGGTGGTTGGGGTAAGACCATTCCAGGTAGGAGGTACAGCAAGTGCAAAGGCCCTGAGGTGTCACTGAGAAATGACAAGGAAGCCAGTTAGCCAGAATGGTGGGAGCAAGGAGGGAAGCGGGTAGAAATGAGATCAGAGCTGGGGTGGGGGGTGGGGAGATCCTATTGTTTGATTTTTCTTTAACCATTTTACTCTGAATGCAATGAGACCTTATTGAAGGTTTAGAGCAGAGACATGGTAGGAGTGCTCAGGCCACTGTGTGCACAGTGGACTGCTGGGAGGCGGTGGCAAGGATGCTGGGGCCAGCAAAGCTACTGGATTATTCCAGGGCAGAGATCATGATGGCTCCTATTGGGGGTAGGTACCAGTAAAGCTGGTGGGAAGGGGTCAGATTCTGGATATGTCTTGAAGGTAGTAGAGATTTGAAGGTTTTCATTCATTTTTATGTAGGAAAATAGAAAACATTCAGTCTACTTGCTTTGGACATTTCAACTATATTTAATAGATAAAACAAATTGAAAAAGGCCTTTTGGATCTTTTCTTTTTTTTTTTGAAATGGAGTCTTTCTCTGTTGCCCAGGCTGGAGTGCAATGGCATGATCTCAGCTCACTGCAACCTCCACCTCTTGGGTTTAAGCACTTCTTCTGCCTCAGCCTCCCGAGTAGCTGGGATTGCAGGTGTGCACCACCATGCTTGGCTAATTTTTTTTTTTTTTTTTTTTTAGTAGAGACAGGGTTTCACCATGTTGGCCAGGCTGGTCTTGAACTCCTGACCTCAAGTGATCTGCCCACCTCGGCCTCCCAAAGTGCTGGGATTACAGGAATGAGCCACCATGCCCAGCTGGCCTTTTGGTTCTACAACAGACACTTGAATGGGAAGCAGAGTGGTGGTAAGGACAGGGTAGGGAGATACCAGTAGTAGATCCTGGAGGGCAGGGGGTTGTCCATGCCGTCTTTGGTTTCCCTGGGCTCAGCACACACCAGGCTTGATAAACACCAGTTGCTGCCTGTGTTACAGTTAGAGCTTGAGCAGACCTCAGGGATCATCTCCTCCAACAAGCCCATTTTACAGATGGGAAAATGGGCCAACAGAGGGAGAGGGGTCTGCCCAAGCTCAAGGTCAGTCAGGGTCAGGGCAGAAAACCCTTTCTTGGGCTCTTCTGGCCAGGCCTCCCCTGATGCAGGGAGGCAGAATATGGAGGTCATTTTCATGGAAGAAGGGTAAGGCCCACGAGGGGTGGCTGAGCACCACCTCCCTCAGCGTTGGGCCGTGGTGAAGGCCTCTGCCTTTCTACACCTCCCACCTACAGTTAGTCATGGGGGCACCTGCTGTTTCTGCCTGCCCAGTATCCATCCCTCTTTTTCTGGCTACTATGCTCCAGTTTTCCTTGGGAGATCTCGCTTTCCGCCAGCTAGTGGATCGACCTCACTCCAACTCTAGATACTAGGGTGGCCAATCAGATGACTGCAGATTTTTTGGCTAGGGGCGCCCTCTTCTGCTCTAAGCCAGGTTGAGCTGGGTTTCTGATACTAGCAACCAACAATGTCCTGACTGATAGAATCACCGCACATTCAGACACTTACTCTAGGTTGGTCATGTGCCATGCATTTCATCATTTAATCCTCGTAGTGTCTCTGTGAGGTAAGGACTACTGTTAGCCATCCCCAGCATGCATGACGAAATGGAGTTTCAGAGAGTTCAGTCACTTGCCCAAAGTCACACAGCTGGTTTAGTTAAGGGCAGAGATGAAACCAGGGATTGAAGCCAGGTGTGTGTGATCCCAGCTCTGTTTTTTTTTGGTGGTGGTGGTGGTGGTTGTTGTTTGTTTTTTACCATTTTACCATAGTCTCTCTGCCTTTTAAAAACCAACACAAGATGGATAGAAGGGCTGAGCCATAGACCCCTAAGGTAGGAGAGGGAGGCAAGAGGCTGCCTGTTGACCTCCTTCACCCCTGGGCAGACTTGCCAGGCACTGGACTGGCACAGGCAGCAGACAAAACGTTCATTCCACTGCTCATTCATTTCTTCATCCAGTTATTCTTTCTGCAGATCACACACATCCTGCCTTCGTGGAGATCTGAGTCTCTCCAGGTCAAGCAGACACACAGCTGAATGCCCAACGACAACAGGCGTGATAAAGACCATCTCAGGCGATGGCACCGGGGGGACTAGGGGCCTGGAGGAGGCCCTGGACTCAGTTAGGGGCTGGGAATAGTGGGATGCCCACTGAGCCAGGTCTCGAGGGAGGAGAGGGAGCAGAGGGGAACGGTAGGGGCAGAGGCAGGGGGAGGCTGGAATTTGGGGGGAGGGTAAAGTGATACGGTAGGTGTGGCAGGGGGTGTGCCAGGTTGGGCAGTCACTGCCTTGTAGAGGTGAGGGCGAGGGTGCTGCAGACACCGCAGGAACCAGGTGGGAAGGCCCTGAATGCCAGCCCAAGAGGCTCAGAACGCACTGCATGGGCAAGAGGGAGCCGCTACAGGGCTTTTGGCAAAGCAGGGCCACGGCCACACCTGCACTGCCTGTCAGGGAGGGGCCTCCAGGGCAGCAAGGAGGGTGGACGCAGAGTCAGGCTGTGGGCCATCTCTAGAACCACGAGGTTAAGAGGAATGGACAAATCCCAAGTGAGCAGGGGAAACAGCACCCGGGTGCAGACCATCGGCAGAGATAGCTCAGGGACAGCAGAAGCCTGTGCTGTCCACGCTCACGGTGGCCTTGTGCACGACACTCAGCTCCTGGTGCAGCTTCCCCCAGTGCCCAGCAGGCCAAGGCCCCCTCCAGCTGGCAAATCCTCCAGGAAACATTAAATATGACCACATATCAAAAGCCCTTCTGAGCACCAGCGTCCATGGCCACCCTTATTTGATTATTTTTATCTCCCCTCCCCATCACTGTTGTTTTCCGACCTCATCTCTCAGTCAGAGAGTTTCTTTACAGAAGGGCTTGGGAATCCCAAGAGATGTTCTTTAAGAGCGGCCTGCAATTTAAATGAATACTGGGGTGGAGAGAAGTACTGCCTTGTTTCTATAGGGGAAGCTTCCTGCAAAACCAACTATATGTTAGGATAAAATGCGGCCAAGTAACCAGCGAAGTTTACATATTTGTTTAATCTTGATTATATGATCTGACTTCCTTCAGGGAATAAGAGATAAACAGTCTTTATTTTTTTCCTCCCCAAGACCACAGCGCTGACGTGAGATAAAGAAAACTAGAGTTAAAAAGTTTCTAAGAGGATGTGTTATTTACACAAATGGAAGATGCTTAAAATAAAAGAAAAACAATAAGCAATCTCAAATAGTACACCAGCATCTGCTTTTAGCTGGGTTCAGGGCAAGTGGTTCCTATAAGAAACAGAAAAATGTGGAGGGTGGACTCCAAGGGCCCTGCGGATCATCCTAGTTTGGAGATGTCAGTGGCAAACCTGAACTTTATCATTGAAATTGCTGCAACAAACACAACAGCCACATCATAGAAAGTTCAGAAAAGAGGAGAAAAATCTACCCGTCCCCCCCACCCGCTGCCTCTCCCAACTTTTGCTCCCTGTCTCTGCATTTTTCATTGTCCCAGTCCTGATCCCACATGAGAACTGTGGGCTGTGCCCTCACGATGTACCATGGCTGTGCTGGATTTTTTTTGACACATGATACCAGCTAATTCTTAAAACAAAGCTTCACCTACAGGATTGGTGTCTCCATTTTTCCAGGAGAAAACAAGGCTCTAGGCAGCAAAGACACTTCCCTGAAGCTGCAAGGGGGCAGCGTTGAGATATGACCCCAGCCTGTCTGACCTCAAGCCCGTGCTTTTTCCCCCTGTCCTAACTTTCTTCCATAAGTACCACTGAAGTACTCAGTAATATAAGTAGTTTCCTAACTTTCTTACCATCAGAGTGCACAGACAATTTTGTGTCCTGCTTTTTGTTTTCTAATTCAACATTACATCGAAAGCATTTCCCCACATCGCTCCCAAGCCTTCTCTGCTTGTTTCATGGCTGCAGAATATTCCATCGAGGGCCAAATGTCCCCCACCCTTCGCCTCCTGGCAGTCACTACAGCCATTCCCCCAAAATGGCCAAGTCTGCGGGTGCAGAGATCCTTAGCTTCTGGCACCAGGACCAGACTCATACAGATACCCTGTCACTGGTAAATAATAATAATAATAATAATAATAATAAACAAATAAAACCTCTTTTGCCAGGAAGAGGTCCCCAAACCACGCCAGCGACTAAATCCCCTGGGCCATCCTCCCATGAAAGACCAAGGCCCTGCTGGCCTTGGGTGGGTGCTGGCCCCAGCCAGTGAGCCGTGCCCCCCACTTCTGACCAAGAATTGAGGCCAGGGACTCTAAGAAGAAGTGGGGGAGGTGCGGTTTCTGTGAGGTGGGGACTCAGTGGAGACCTTTGCAGTTGCCCTTCTCGTTCATAGAAGGGAGAAGGGACAGCCCTGGCCCAAATCCCATGGCTTTTTTTTTTTTTTTTTTTTTTGAGATGGAGTCTTCCTCTGTCCCCCAGGCTGGAGTGCAGTGGTGTGATCTTGGCTCACTGCAACATCCGCCTCCCGGGTTCGAGCGATTCTCCTGCCTCAGCCTCCTGAGTAGCTGGGACTACAGGCGCCCGCCACCACACCTGGCTAATTTTTGTATTTTTAGTAGAGACAGGGTTTCACCATATTGGCCAGGCTGGTTTCGAACTCCTGACCTTGTGATCCACCTGCCTCAGCCTCCCAAAGTGCTGGGATTGCAGGCGTGAGCCACTGCACCTGGTCAATCCCATGGCTTTTTAAGTTTTTTCTTGAGGCAGAGTCTTGCTCTGTCTCCCAGGCTGAGTACAGTGGCATGATCACAGCTCACTGCAGCCTCAAACTCCCGGGCTCAAGTGATTCTCCCACCTCAGCCTCCCAAGTAGCTAGGACGACAGGTGTGTGCCACCACACCCGGCTATTATTATTATTTGTAGAGTCAGGGTTGCTGGGGCTGGTCTCGAACTCCTGGGCTCAAGCAATCCACCCACCTCAGCTTCCCAAAGTACTGGGATTACAGGCATGAGCCACCATGCCCAGCCTAACCCCCATGGTTAATCACAGGCTGCTCCAGCCCCACCAAGACTAGAGGGCAGTGTCTTTCCAGCAGTTAGTCAAGGAAACAGTGCCCAGACTCGAAATGCATGGCAGAGATTTGGAGGGTGGGTGATGAGTGTCTGTGGGTGGTTAGGGAGGAGGGAACTCTGGCTGTCAGGGTCACCACTGCCCAGCCTTGGCAAGTCTTTCTGGAAGGCCGGTCAACATAAGAACTGCTTCCTGGGTGGCTCTGAGATTTACTTCATGGGCTCTGGATGAAAGCCTGTGCTTTGCTACTGATTTGTCTGAGAGCCTTGAGCAAGTCACTGTACCTCCCAGAACTGCAGTTTTGTCATGTCTAAATGGCACGTGACCTTAGACCCCTGTCTCAGGCTGCTGGCAGGGGCAATGAGAGCATAGAAAAATCCCGGCAGAAGTCCTGGCACATAGTAGATGTTAAATAAACAGCTATTCCCTTCCCTTCCCCATGGGAAATAACAAGTCCAACCACTGGGTAAGCCCCTCACCTCCATCTCTTTCATGCTTTTTATTTCTACATCACAGTTTGAGAGGTGGTTAAAAAGAGCACAGGCTTGGAGTCAGACCTGGGTTTAAATTCTGGTTTTGCTTATTTATTAGCTGTGTGATCTTGCGGTCCGTGTGATCTTGAGGTCCGTACTTAACTTCTCTGTTCCCCCTGCCCCAGCCCCCAACAACCTAGAAAAGTAGGAAAAATCATCTCTACCCTGCAAGGTTGTTGTGAGGATGACACAAAGCAAACTCATCAGACACACAGTGTGTGGCATGTAGTAGGTGCTCATTAAACACTTGATCTCCTCCTTTAACCACCTTATTTAGTTCCTTTGACTAGGAAAGGTTTATTCCTGGGTCAGAGATACCTACCTGTGGCAGCTGGGAAAATACGTTCTGAAACATTTTTCTCCCGTGTAGGGCTCATAACCTTGGCCAGCAGAGGCCTCTTGAAAACCCTGGGGTTGCTTCCCCTTGGTGTCCAAGGACAGAAGCCTATTTTTAAACTATGCCAGCAGGCGTCCTAAATGCGCCTTGTGCCATCCCCTGAATGGTCCCCACTCATCTCTCCAGCCTAGCCCTTCCTTTGATCTAAAAAGAGCCCAAGGAAATGGCAGTTACCGTCAGGAGGATGGCAGGAAGCAACAGCTCCCGATACTCTGGCCCCGAGACGCCGGCTTCCAGCCTGCTGGAGTTCCGCAGATGGCATGCTGGCTGAGGTTTTCAGCAGATTCCTCTCCACCAGGAAAGGGAATTGCCAAATGGGAGAATCGTCTATTCTGCCTCTTCCTTTGAACATGAGGATTACACTGGAGTTTCACTGGGCCTCTGCTATGTAGTGGGTACATGTCTTGGTTTATTGGGTTTAATCTTCAGGAAAACTCTGCAGAGTGGGTTTTACCACCTTGATTTCCCAGATGAGGAAACTGAGGGTCTGAGAGGACCAGGCTCATGCCCTTTCTTCCACCCCACCCCTTCTTCAAGGCAGCTGCCATAACTTTTGGGTTGGCGGGGCGTGGGGAATGGTTCATGGACCTTGTTAGAAGCAATAAAATCTATAGAGGCTTCCCCGCCAGAAACATACCCAGACTCCATGCACAATCTGATATTCAACTTCAGGGTTTCCCCCCAGAAACATACCCAGACTCCATGCACAATCTGATATTCAACTTCAGGGGCTTCCTGGACCTGGACCTTTATAACATGCGTCCTTGGACTGTAGACCTTGAGTGAGAAATCTCTGGTTCAAATGACATTTGCCCCAGTCCAAAATGTAAACCAGCACTGTTGGCAGTAGGAAGCAACATGGTGCTCATGTGTGTTGGGGTGAGGGGGGCAGGCTGTGCTCTAGAGAGAGGAAAAGGCAAGGCTGGTATTTAGCAAGGCTTCCCGCCATATCCAGAGGGGCCAAGATATCAGTCACCTTTGCCAACAAAGTTCCATTTTCCATTGGTGGGTTTAAAAGTGGGCTGGAAAAAAACATAACCAGGCTGGGCACGGTGGCTCACGCCTGTAATCTCGGCACTTTGTAAGGCCGAGGTGGACAGATCACCTGAGGTCAGGAGTTCGAGACCAACATGGTGAAACCCTGCCTTTGCTAAAAATACAAACATTAGTCGGGTGTAGTGGCGGGCATCTGTAATCCCAGCTACTTGGAGGCTGAGGCAGGAGAATCACTTGAACCCAGGAGGCGGAGGTTGCAGTGTGCTGAGATCGCACCACTGCACTCCAGCCTGGGCGACAGAGGGAGACTACATCTCAAAAAAAATAAAGAGAAAAGAAAAAACATAACCAACCCTTCCTCACCTCTGCCAAATGGGGCAGTGACAGGCACTCAGGAGACAGACACCAGCTTACTGGACTTTGTTCCCTTTTTCAGAGGCCTGGTTGGCCAGCATCCCCAAGGGAAAAGGGCCAGCCCGCGCTGGTAACTGCCACTCTGCTCCCTTTGCTTTGCAAACAAAACCCCGTCAACAGCTGCAAGGACATCCCAGAGAGGCCAGAGGTCGCAATGCTGCTTGTGGGGAGAAAAGCTCACTCCATCCAGGCCTAAGTGGCAGACCTCTCAGCTTGAGTGGGCTCTGATGCGAGAGTTCCCAGGGGGTGAGGTCATCCCGACGCCCCCTCAAAGCATGCTCAGCCAGGGCTGGGATTCCCAAGCTGACTCCGACCCTCTGCCGGGCCCCCTGACTGTGGTCTCTTCTTGATAAAGGGACCCAGGAAACTCCAACTTCAGAGGCGCCGGCTCCCAGGGCTAGGGCCCCACTGCAGTGAGAGGTGGGGGGAATGTGCCCTCATTCCTTCTCGAGTACATCACTTCCTCCTTCATCTGACATTTACAGAGCATCTGCTCTGGGCCAGGGCCCGCGCTGGCTGCCGGGTACATGCACTGACAAGTCACACACTGTCCCCGCCCCCTCGAGCTGAGACCAGCTGCAAGGATGGACATAAGCAGACCCCATGACTGCACAGGGTGGTGGCCAGGGAGGGCTGGGGCAGTGGCGACAGCTTCTCAGGGGAGCTGCTTTGCAGACTGAGGAAGCAGGGCTGGGAGGATGACAAAGGATGGGGAAGTGTGTTTCAGGCAGAGGGAACAGCACCAGCAAAGGCCTGGAGATGAGAATCAGCTGAGAGCACTGGGGAACTGTGAGGAGTACAGGCCAGAAGGGAGAGGGGAGGGTGGAGTGGGAGTCAGGGGCAGTATCACAAAGGGTCTTAAAGGCCATGCAGGGGAGGTTAAAGTCCTCCAGAAGGTTCTGGGGGCTGCTGAAGGGTTGGGATCAGGGAAGAAAAACTCCTGTGGATCCACCTCTCTGAAAAATGAGATTGAAACCCTGGGCCTTCCTTTCTTCCATGCCAGTCAAAGTGACCCAGCGTGGCAGGAGTAAGAAAACAGTCCAGGTTTTGAATGTCTCTTCCAACGGCTGACATGGTCCTGCCCCTCAGCGCCTGCTTCTCCTCCTGGCAGCCCCTGGCAGCTGCCCAGTGATAAGCTGGCTGAGGTTGCCAGGCCTACCGTTTCTCCTTCTCTTTGCCTTGAGGACAGCCACTCCCCCAGCCTGGGTGGTGCCCAGAAGCCTGGCTGCTCCCAACTTCAGCCCCAGGAGAGCACCTGCGGGGCCTGAAGGTCAGCATTTTTGGCACAATAGACCCACTGGCCCAAGTTCCCCTGGAGCAACACTGTTCTTGCTCCTGGACTGAAGAAATGTTCTTCACACCCCAACAGCTGGGCAAAATGTTTGCTGGTCCCAAGGTCTCTCACTTACATCCTGACCTACAAGAAAAAAGCTAGACTACGTATAAGTAGCTTAATCCACCTTCTGGCACAGAGGGTGAGCAATACCCTGGCTTGGTCTCAGGAAGGAAGCTTTGGGGGGGGGGGGGCGGGCAGGGGTGGTGGTGGATGTCATCAATCAGCTTGTTTTGAGCTCCTCAGAGGCCACAGTTTGGCGGAACTTGGGGACGAACAATAAGCAAAGCATCTACAAAAGGAAGAAAGTGACTGATTACAGCAGGGGGACGGAGCCCCAGGGCTGAGTGTCCCTGAGGCCTGAAAAAGAATTGGGGGTAGGGCCTGATGGGAGAGGCAGACCTCCCAGGGGACAATGGCCCCCCACCCATAGGACCTTGCAGGAACCTCCTGACGGTGATGGAGGAGGTGATGGCTACCAGACCCCCTCCCAGGGAGGAGGGCGGCTCTGAGAGATTGGGTGAGCTGCCCATGACCAGGAATTGTGGCATGGGTGTTTGAACTCATACCAGCCTGGCTCCCAAGGCTATGACAAAGATGCTATGGCTCCTGACGGCAAAGTGCAGAAGTCATCCCTGCAGGGAAGGAGGTCAACACAGTGCCTGACACAAGGTAGGTCAGCTAATGTCATCTTCCCAGCCACACTCGGCTCTGAGGCCCCCCAGGAAGTGACTCTGATGCGTGTCTCGTCCTTCTCTGGAGATGCAGCCTTCTCTTCTCTCTCCCCCTCACTCACCACGCAGGGCTTCCCCCAAACGCCTGAAAGCCTCATGAGAGCAGGTAAGTGTGGACTGAGGATGCCTGCAGGAAGCCCGCATGGACTTCTGCTCCCTTCCCCAAGAGGTAAAGGGCTACGTGCTTGGAAGGCATGCTCTGGAGCCTGTAGGGTCCAGCCCTACGGAGCTTAGCGGGTGTTCTCCCTGTGTGCGGAGACGAGAGATTGTAATAAATAAGACACAAGACAAAGAGATAAAGAGAAAACAGCTGGGCCCGGGGGACCACTACCACCAAGACGTGGAGACCGGTAAGTGGCCCCGAAAGGCTGGGTGCACTGATATTTATTGCATACAAGACAAGGGGGCAGGGTAAGGAGGGTGAATCTTCTAAGTGATTGACAAGGTGAAGCAAGTCACGTGATCACTGGACAGGGGGCCCTTCCCTCTTAGGTAGCTGAAGCAGACAGAGAAGGCAGCATATGTCAGCGTTTTCTTCTATGCACTTATAAGAAAGATCAAACACTTTAAGATTTTCCCTATTCCTTCTACCACTATCTACTACGAACTTCAAAGAGGAACCAGGAGTATGGGAGGAACATGAAAGTGGACGAGGAGTGTGCCCATTGAAGCACAGCACCACAGGGAGGGGTTTAGGCCTCCGGATGACTGCGGGCAGGCCTGGATAATATCCAGCCTTCCACAAGAAGCTGGTGGAGCAGAGTGTGCCCTGACTCCTCCAAGGAAAGGAGACTCCCTTTCGTGGTCGGCTAAGTAACAGGTGCCTTCCCAGACACCGGCGTTACCACTTGACCAAGGAGCCCTCAAGCAACCCTTATGCGGGCGTGACAGAAGACTCACCTCTTGCCTTCTAGGTCACTTCTCCCAATGTCCCTTCAGCACCTGACCCTATACCCACCGGTTATTCCTAGGTTATATTAGTAATGCAACAAAGAGTAATATTAAAAGCTAATGATTAATAATGTTTATAATAATGATTGATAATTGTCCATGATCATCTCTATATCTAATTTGTATTATGACTATTCTTATTCTAACCATTTTCTTTATTATACTGAAACAGTTTGTGCCTTCAGTCTCTTGCCTCGGCACCTGGGTAATCCTCCACCCACAGGAGCCCTGATTAGAATCTCCATCCCATGTGTCCTAAGTTCTGGCGATCTGACAGTCCTTGGTTCACTGGTCCTCTCTATAGCCCTGTGAGCCCATTTCACATATAGGGACATTAGGCCCAGAGAGGGTAAGGGGCTGGCACAAGTTCATGAGGCAGATAAACAGCACGGTGAGGATTCGACTCAGGTCTGAATCCAAAGCCCATGCATGCTGTTGGTTATCATGCAGAATTGCTTCCCTAGCCAACCAGTCATCCATCATGGGGACGTGAGGGACTGACTCAAATAGTCTATAGCAGGACTATTTGGTCCTACTGCACAGATCAATTTTGGGAGCACAGATCCCTTGCCTCCAAGGAAAAAAGGTAATGGCCACTTAACAGAGTTCCCAGCTTGTGCTGGATTTGGACTTCACCTAGAATCTCCTATTTATTCATCATCGCAGCCCCATGAGGGAGGGAGGGACTGTCATTATCCCCATCCTAAAGATGAGGACATGGCGGTTGTTAGGAGTTTTAAATTTATTTTCAAAGAATTAATATGTCAGTGTGTTCAATTCTTTGCCTTCTACTTTTAAACTTAACTTCTGGGGAAGCGGCGGCAGGCGCCATGTCCGGCCGCGAAGGTGGCAAGAAGAAGCCACTGAAACAGCCCAAGAAGTAGGCCAAGGAGATGGACGAGGAAGATAAGGCTTTCAAGCAGAAACAAAAAGAGGAGCAGAAGAAACTCGAGGAGCTAAAAGCGAAGGCCGCGGGGAAGGGGCTCTTGGCCATAGGTGGAATTAAGAAATCTGGCAAAAAGTAAGCTGTTCCTTGTGCCTGAGGAGATGGTGACCCTTTATTTCATCTGTATTTAAACCTCTCTATTCCCTGCCATAACATCTTTTGCCACGTATAGCTGGAATTAAGTGTTGTCTTGGAGCTGTTGTACATTTAAGAATAAACTTTTGTAAAAATAAATAAATAAATAAAAAATAAACTTAACTTCCTAGTAAAGCAACCTTTTTCGATTATCTCCTCCACCCTAACTCATTCTGATCACCCGCTCCACTCTAATTCGTTCCGATTACCTGCTTCACCCTAACTCATTCTGGTCACCTGCTCTACCCTAACTCATTATGATTACCTGCTACCTGCTCTGCCCTGACTCCCGCCAAAGCACTCACCCCGTCATTCTCTTTAAATTAGCCAGTCAGAATTAGTTTAACCTGCACAGTCTAATCCTAGCCAATAGGGGAACGACACAGCAGCAGGGGCCACATGCGTCAGGGATAAGAACCCCTTCCCCTCGTCCAAGTGTGCACTCATCATTGCTCCATCTGTAAGGATGTACCCTTCTATGAAGTAACTTGCCTTGCTGAGAATTAAAAAGAAAATGTTATATTTGAGTGCTATTCCTTTTGCGGCACCGAAACTTTATATATAACAATTTGGGGGCTCGCCCGTGATTATATTCCCCTCAGGGGGCGGTCTCTGGTTCTTGTGAGGAGGTGCACCCCGCCCTATTGTGGCAGCCTCAAGGGTTAGAAACAAGACCCACCCAGTGTGAGGAATAACCTGAGCTCTCAGCAATGCAGAGGGAAAAAAAAAAAAAAACAAACACTGGCCAGCAACCTAGCTTAAAGGATCCTCACATACTGCAGCAACAACTGTGCATAGACCAAGGAAGCAGCAGCCGTGGAAGCCGGTAAAATACTTCCTTGGTGATCAAATTCTGGAGGGCTAAATGTGTGTGTGCGTGAATGACCACCCTGCTGGTGGTGTTGTGTGTGGATGGTACAAGTCCTACTGCTGGACGGAGTGAGTGGGTCCTCTCCGTGGTTCTGTAGCTACCTCATATGGTTTAGGGTGGATCCTGCCGTAGGATTTATACCAGCACACCAACACTAAGAGGGGCCTAATTCTCCCTTAGGGAGCAGCCAGAGAGGACAGCACAAGTGGGAAGTGTGCAAAGGACCTTCAGAGGGGGAAAGGAGGGAAACAGGTCAACCTCCCAGGACGAGGAAGGCAAGACACCCCCTGGTTTGAGGGGTTGAGCCTTCCAGGGCAGGCAAGGCAAGACACCCCCTGGTTTGAGGGGTTGAGACTTCCGGGACAGGCAAGGCGAGACATCCCTGGTTTGAGGGGTTGAGCCTTCTGCTGATTTCAAGGGTTGAACCTCACACAACCCCCCCACTTTCTTCTTGGGGGAAGAAAGAGCAGCTCCACTCCCTCCGGTCCCTTCCCTAGGTGAAGAGGAAGGAGAGGGGAGAACAGCAGCCTAAGTGGCTGGCAGAGGCAAGGAAAGACCAGCAGAGAGAGAGGAGAGAAAAAGAGAGAGGGGAAAGAGAGAGAAGAGACAGAAAGACAAAGAGGGAGTCAAACAGAGACAAAGTCAAAGAGAAAGGGAGAGATATACAAGTAGTTAAGAAAAAACCAGTGTACCCTATTCCTTTAAAAGCCAAGGTAAATTTAGAACCTATAATTGATAATTAAAGGTCTTCTCCGTGACCCTATAACACTCCAATACCACTTTGTTGTCAGTGTAAACAAGGGTGTAGCCCAAAAGCACTGAGGCCACTGACAACCCATAGCCTTCCTATCAAAAATCCCTAACCCAGTACCCTGCGGATGGCCCAAATACATTCAATCTGTAGTGGCAACGGCTTTGCTAACAGAAAAAAGTAGAAAAATAACTTTTAGAGGAAACCTCATTGTGAGCACACCTCACCAGTTCAGAACTATCCTAAGTAAAAAAAAAAAAAAAAAAAAATAGTTTAACTCAAAAATCTTAAAGTATGGGGCTATTCTGTTAGATGATTTAACATTAACCACTGATAATTCCCTTAACCCACCAGGTTTCCTAACAGGGGATCTAAGTCTTAATTAATTACCACGCAAAGGTCTCACCAGACCTAGGAGGAGCTCCCTTCAGGACTGGACGATAGATGGTTCCTCCCAGGTGATTGAGGGAAAAAGACACAATAGGTGTTCAGTAATTGATAAGGAAACTCTTGTAAAAGCAGAGTTAGGAAAATTGCCTAATAATTGGTCTGCTCAAAGTGCGAGCTGTTTCCACTCAGCCAAGCCTTAAAGTACTTACAGAACCGGGAAGGAACCATCTATACCAATTCTAAGTTAATTTGGAATGAACAAGGTTTTATTAACAGCAAAGGATAATTGAAATCCCAAACTTACAAGGTTTTCAATAAAAGTAAAATTTGCTAAAAGTTAACAGTGTAAAATGTATTATCCTAACTTCTAATCTTATGGCCTTAGGCAGTCTAGTCCACAGACATGAAGGAAGTTCACTTTGGAAAAGAATGGTTATCATCTTTAGGGGAAAAAAAAAGTTGGGGGAGAATTTATGTAAAAAGTATGTTATATGGTAAATTATTGTCCTAAAATAACTGGTTGTTTAAAGAAAGAGAT
The DNA here is from genome assembly GCF_000001405.40 of Homo sapiens. Classification (NCBI taxonomy): domain Eukaryota; kingdom Metazoa; phylum Chordata; class Mammalia; order Primates; family Hominidae; genus Homo; species Homo sapiens. Next base: position 172,653,912 of record NC_000005.10, on the reverse strand, counting down.
GTTTGCAGTAAGTCAGAAAGTTGAGGCATGTTGAAGAATTGTCTGAAAGTCGTGAAAGAAAAAAAAATGTGTTATAAAAGGGAATTTACGCAAGAAATGTTGTATAATTTAAAAGTAATTAGGCCTCCTGAATGTAAAACTATTGAAAAAAGTTTATGTGCAAGGTGTATAAGGAAAGTAAAATATACTTTTAGTAAAAGGATTATAAAGAGGCATAAGAATGTGGATTTTTACCTACATTAAAAGGTTAAAATTTTTTTTGTTTTGAAGGTTTAAGCAAGTTTTAAAACGTTAAATTGTAAAGGAAATTCTGTGTGTAAACATATTGGCTAAAGTTAAAAGGGTATCATCCAGTTTTTCTGTGAACTGGACATTAAAATAACATGACGGGTTTTTCTTAAAGCACTAACCTGCTCTTTAACAAAAATTATAAAAGGTTAAAAAGAGTCTATAAACATTTTACCTTATGGTCAGACATTAAAAATTAAATGTCTACAAAGTTTTATTAAAACTAAGTTTAACATTGACACACTAATATAAAGGTGAAATTTAGCTTATCTGGTATAAAAATCATACTGGAAGCATTGTCAAATATAAAATGGTGTTTGGATTTCTTCAGTCTAAAAACTAAAAAAAACAGGTGCTAAAGGAAGTTTCTCAGTAAGAAGGCACCAAGCACTATAAAGTCCACTGCTGACGTCCCCACATTTAAAACAAAGGTCAATTTCTTAGAAATTATATACTTGGTTTATCTCCCACTTACCTTTCCCTCAAAACTAAGTGTTTTAGCACATGTACCACTCCTAGAATTTCCAGTAAAGCAGCACCAACCTGGCGATCACGTTCTCATCAAAGGATGGAAAGAAGGAAAACTCAAGCCAGCCTGGGAAGGACCCTACCTTGTGCTGCTAACCACCAAGACTGCTGTTTGTACAGTGAAAAAGGGATGGACTCATCACATCTGAGTCAAGAAAGCACCACCCCCTCCAGAGTCGTGGGCCATAGTCCCAGGGGAAAACCCTTCCAGACTAAAGCTAAACTCTTGATTCTATTACTCTTTCTTCTTCCTCGCTCTATTGCTGACCATCTAGTTATTAACAAAACCAAGTCAATTTCACCTCAAACTATTGCATTTAATGCTTGCCTTGTTATACCCTGTGGGGACTTGCCAAGTCAAAGACAGCTCTCTGCTTCAGAAAAGTACCTCTATCCCTCCTGACTTTCTTCAGACTGGGCATTAGTAAATTAGGACCATTTAATCTGGGAAGATTTCGATAAAGACCCCAGTGTCAACTAGGAGTCTTGCCCCCTGATGTAGAGCTTTTATGCCGTAGTTGGTCCAACGTTCTGTGGACCACTAAACAGCAAGGATGGACTGCCCCAACCGGTTTCTGTAATTTCCTAAAAACCATACATTCATTTTGCTAGAGGATCATAGAAGTTAAAGAGTTAAAACAAACATTGGCAATTAGACAGAATACCAAGATGCAAATGCCTGGTTGGAATGGATCAAATATTCCGTCTGCACGTTAAACAAAAGCAATTGTTATGCTTGTGTACATGGCAGGCCAGAGGCCCAAATTGTCACCTTTCCACTAAGGTGGTCTTCCAGTCGACCAGGTGTGGCCTGCATGGTAGCTCTTTTCCAGGATTCTACAGCCTGAAGTAATAAGTGGTGCCAAGCTCTCTCTCTGCTATATCCCCAAGTCCAGCACCCTGCGGGTCAGCCCCCGAGGGCCATCCAGCTTCCATCTCCCAACACTAAGTTCACTTCGTGTCTCTCATGACAGGGAAGAAACTTAGCCTTCCTTGGAGACCTGAAGGGATGCAGTGAGCTTAAGAACTTTCAAGAGCTTACCAATAAGTCAGCCCTTGTTCATCCCAGAGCGGATGTATGGTGGTATTGTGGTGGACCTTTACTGGACACTCCGCCGAATAACTGGAGTGGCACTTGTGTTTTAGTCCAGTTGGCTATCCCTTTCACCCTGGCATTTCATCAACCAGTGGGAGGAAAAACAAGACATCATAAAGCAAGAGAAGCCCTTACAGGTCTTTTGACTCTCACGTCTATTTAGATGCAATTGGAGTCCCATGGGGAATACCAGATCAATTTAAAGCCTGAAATCAAATAGCTGCAGGATTTGAGTCAATATTTTGGTGGGTGACAGTTAATAAAAATGTAGATTGGATAAACTACATCTATTACAACCAACAGCGATTTATTAACTACGCTGGAGATGCTGTTAAAGAAATAGCTGAACAAATGGGGCTACTAGCCAGATGGCTTGGGAAAATAGGATAGCCTTAGACATACTAGCAGAAAGAGGAAGAGTTTGCGTCATGATTAAAACTCAATGTTGCACCTTCATCCCAAACAACACCGCCCCTAATGGAAGTATAACAAAGGCATTGCAAGGTCTGACTGCTCTATCCAATGAGTTAGCCAGCAACTCGGGTAAATGACCCCTTTATAGGATGGCTAAAAAAGTAATTCAGTAAATGGAAAGGAATAATACCCTCAATTCTTATTTCCCTCGCAGCCATGATAGGTGCACTTATTCTTGTCAGGTGCTATGTCATACCATGTATCTGTAAGTTGATGCAAAGGCTCATAAAAACAGCACTTACTAAAACCTCACTTAACTATCCTCCACCTTATCCAGAGAAGCTACTGCTTTTGGAAAATCAAGCAGAACAACTAAGCCAAGACATGTTAAAAAAAGTTTGAAAAGAAAGCTGTAAGGAAATACAAGGGGAGTTGTTAGATATGAGTTCTAAATTTCTTTTCAAATAATTAATATGTCAGTATGTTCAATGCTTTGCCTTCTACTTTTAAACTTCCTCGTAAAGCAACCTTTTTCGATTATCTACTCCACCCTGACTCATTCCGATCATAGGCTCCATCCTAACTCATTCTGATCACCTGCTCCACTCTAACTCATTCAGATTATCTGCTCCATCATTCTGATCACCTGCTCCACCCTAACTCATTCCGATTACCTGCTACCTGCTCTGCCCTGACTCCCGCCAAAGCACTCACCCCATCATTCTCTTTAAATTAGCCAATCGGAATTAGTTTAGCCTGTGCGGTCTAATCCTAGCCAATAGGGGAACAACACAGCAGCAGGGGTCACGTGCGTCAGGGATACGAACCCCTTCCCCTCCCTTGTCCAAGTGTGCGCTCACCATTGCTCCATCTGTAAGGGCATACCCTTCTATAGAAGTAACTTGCCTTGCTGAGCATTAAGAAAATGTATATTTGAGTGCTATTCCTTTTGCGGCACCAAAACTTTGTGTATAACACAGCTCAGGGAGGAACAGACTTGCCCAGGATCATACAGCTTAGAGACAGTGGAACTGAGATTCAAACTTGGGACTGCCTCCAAACCCACCCTCTTTCCGCCACCTTTCTTGAGATTCCAGCGAAAGACCCCATTTGTAATCACCTGGTGACCTTGTGCCAGGCTCTGGTCCTCAGTATCCCCATCTGCCACGTGGGAGCTGGGACAGGGATTCTGAGCACCCTCTGGTCCTGAGAACAGAGCCCCTGAGTGACCTATCTGCAGGGCTGAAGTTCCTGCAGAGACATGGAAATTCCACTCTGCCATCTCCTGCCCTTGAATGGACCAAACTTTAAGGGAAGGGAAGCTTTTCTGAGACATGGAGATCTGCTTGTTTGGACTGGAAAGTTACCAGGCAGACCTGGCAATGGAGACACGGAGTACAGCGCAGACCCATCTCATAAATCCATCCTTGTAGCAAAAGGAAAGAAAATACGTGCCTGAGGGATGCAATTGTGATATAAACAATGTGTAATGTTGAGGATGTAAACAAAATACACTGTTTAATAGCTGTGGGCATTCTGCCAAGTGCCAATACTGCCCAAGACACCTCGACCCCACCCATTTCCCCAAATGGCTTAGTCATTAAAGAACTTTCCCCCCCTTGCCTAGAAGTGAGGCTAGCGGCCAGCTCTGGGTGGCCCTGAGTCCTGGTAATAAGATGAAAGGAGAAGAAGGGATGAGTTTGCTGGGTCTGTGGTCCTGGGATGGCTGTCCCAAACTCTGCTCAGAAACACCTGCCGCTATCTGAAAGTTCTGAGGCTGGGTGGACACAGGGAGGTATGAGAACTGGGCTGAGGCAGGTGACGTCACCGTCCTGTGCCTTATATGTCCTGATCTATAAAGTGGGGCTAAACCCTCTGCCATGCAGAACTGAAAGGGGGACTAAGTGAAAGATGTGAAGGGTGCCAGGCAGGAGTGGTGGCTCACACCTGTAATCCCAGCACTTTGGGAGGCCCAGGTGGGCAGATTACCTGAGGTCAGGAGTTCAAGGCCAGCCTGACCAACATGGTGAAAACCCATCTCTACTAAAAATACAAAATTTAGCCGGGTGTGGCAGTGGGTGCCTATAGTCTCAGCTACTTGGGAGGCTGAGGCAGGAGAGTTGCTTGAACCCGGGAGGCAAAGGTTGCAGTGAGCCAAGATTGCACCACTGCACTCCAGCCTGGGCAACAGAGCAAGACTCTGTCTCAAAAAAAAAAAAAAAAAAAAAAAAAAAAAAAAAAGAAGTGAAGGGCTTTGCAGGAGTTCGGCAGATGGGCGCTGGAAGGCATTCCCTGGAAGACCCCAGGGTCAAAAGGCGTCTTCGTGGATAATTCATCTGAGATGCATTGGATACTCCAGGGCCTCTGCAAGAACCATGTCAAGTCCCAGTTTGACTAATTACCTGTGTACTCCAGTGACAGGCACGTTCTCCCCGCTGTCCAGCTCCAGACAGTTCCCACAGTTAGTTCCTCCTTTGGTTGAATTGGAATCTGCTCTCCTTTGATGTCTACACACTGGTCATGTCTGCATTGGGTCCACCATGCACTTCCCCTTCAGGTCTGCAGGCAGCTCTCAGGCCACCACAGCCCCCGCAGACTATGCTGCTGGAGAGTCTTTGCTTCCCTGGGGATGGCATGGCCTTTGATTTGCTGCCCAGAAAGCCCTCAGGGCATCAGCTCTCCCCTGACCTGCCTGGGCAGGGAGTTGGAGATCTGCACACCAGACCTTGGGGACTATCTGCTGGGAATCCCCATGGTGAACCCACAGGCTGCCTGGAGAGGGCCCCCACCCTGCCATGCCTAGAGGTGCGATGTGAGACAAAGAAAAGTAAAAGAACTAGGTGAGCAATTAAAAATGAACCTGCCAAGATTTCTAAATGCTTACAGAGTTCTGCCAAATACAATGAAGGCTTCCAGTGCAAATGGGAAATGTCCTCCATGGGAACCCTCCACCCTGACCCAACATTCCCTTCCACACTGACGTTCCTTCCCTCTAGCTGGAATCATGTTGGACTGCTTGAGCTGTGTTCCCTGGGAAAGTTACCTTCCCTCTCTGTGCCTACGTTCTCCCAAGAGTTGGGGCACTAATAATAGGAGCCATCTCCCAGGGCTTGTCCTGATAGACATGGACGTACCTGCTGAGAACACTGTCTGGCACAGACGGGCTACGTGATACAAGTTAGTGGTTACGTGATACAAGTTAGTGGTTATTCTTTTGTGTCTGTCTCCCTTGAGAGCACCCAATCCTAAGATCAGTGTGGAGGAGGGGCTCATCTCCCAGTGAATACATAATCCTAGCAGGTGCTACGTGTGAACACTTAGTACCTGCTGGACACTTGGCATGCCTGAGAGGTAACATCATTCTCCCCTTTCTGTAGAAGAGGAAACCAAGGCTTAGAGAGGTTACGTCACTTGTCTGGCTAAAAAGGGGCGAGGCCCAGACTCAGACCCGAGAAGGAAGGACTCCAGCCTGTGCGGTTAATCTGCTGCTGCTGGGGGCACAGCATGGGGACAGGACACTTCTCACCTGCAGGACAGACGCGGGCCCTGGATGACAAAGGGCTCTCACCCTCACCTGGGCCCTTGCTCACTGACTGGTGGGGGCTGCCTGGAAGTCCGGGATGGGGGAAGGGCCTGTGAGGACCCTGGGCCCAGGGAAGGTATTGGGAGCACTGTGATGCTTGCCATTGGGGGCTGGGGGTGTCAGCATGGGCCAGTTTTTACCAGGCAGATGAGTCAGGAGCCTGAGTCCTAGTTGGGCAGGAAGAAGGAGCACAGAACTCAAGCTCACCCCGTCTCCTCTCAGGCAAGATTCCCAGAGGCCACATCCAGCTTTTGAGTTCCAGAGTCTACAGGCCTGGGGTGAGGTGGGCGGGGGCAGGGGGCTTCTCTAGGCACAGCTTCATTTTGGCGGCTGTGGACAGAAGTAATTCATCTTCAGAGGGCAAAGGGAGTGCACCTGCAATAAGGGTGGGGCTCAGGTGCTCAGGACGAGGACAAGGGGCAGCAGCAAGTCAGCAAGAGGAGCCGCAAGAGGCCCCAGGGTGCAGTGCCCCGTGGGATGGAGGGGAAGGGGTGTGGAGCCCAGCGTGCCTGGGATCCAATTCACTCTGCCACTTCCTGGCCACCTGGGCCGGGCAGGTCTCACTACCCCTCTGAGCCTCAGTTTCCCCTTCTGTGACATGAGAAGACTGCCTCGCAAGGCTCTCATGACGGCTTCAATGGGATGGAATAAAGGGCCTAGTGCAGGGCAGGTGTGCAGAAGCTCGGACCACCCCGCGACACTGCCCAGGTGAGCGTGTGCTACCTGTCGGGCTGCGACCTGGCGCCCTCCCTCTTCCCTCTCTGCTCTAAGCTCTAACCACACACCTGGCCTCTGGGCTTCTATTTTAAGCCCTCAGAGAGCACCATAAGTACAGAAAGCCCTTTGGTCCAAAAGAGAGGCAGAGCTGACTCTTCTCCATGGGGGAGATTAAACAGCCTGTTCTGAGCGGCCCTTGAGGTCCAGCCCAGGGAAAATGCTACGCCCCTGCTGGCAAACACAGCACATTATCCCGGTTGGGAGTGTGGCAGCTGAGAAATCCAAGCCTCCTGACTGCAGCCTGGCCTACAAGAAGCCTCCTCTTACCCCCGGCCCCCGCCTCCAGACTTTCCCACTGCTGTGACCTCACATCCCACCCCCATTTGCACTGGGGTCCTCAGAACTCCACAGCCCCCCACACCTGTGCTGCTCCCCCTCCCTCAGGCCTTTGCACATGGTGCCCTGAACAGCCTTTCTCACTCCCTTCTCCTAGCTGATGTCTCTTCTTTACGGGCTCAGCTAGACAGAGCGCACCTCCTCCAGGAAGCCTCCCCTGCATCTTCTGGGCTCTCACAACTCCCTGAGCTTCCCTGCCGACCGCGTACTGTAACTGCTGTGTCTTTGTCGGTCTCTCCTGCTAGAACTTGAGTCCTTAAACCCAGGCTGTGTTCCCCTGCAGGAGAACTGTAAATGCAACCCACCAGGCATATCCTTCTTAGCAGAAATCAGGTGTTCAGGAAAGAGCCCAAGGAACCCTTGGGAACTGCTGACAGTAGACAGGAAAGGGGTGCCTCCCCATCTTCAGCCCCTTGGTTTGAGGCTTGTGGTCACCTGGGGCAGGGTTTTCAAGGCAAGGAGTGAAGGGCACCTGTCAGCCAGCCCCGTGCCGGGACTCTAGGAGCAGGCCCGAGGCCTCTCTTCCCAGAACCATGATGGCTACCATCCTGGGCATTTGTTGAACACTCACTTTCTCTATTCCATGTAATTCCCACCCCCACCAACCGTGAAGGAGCTACCCCTAGTCTCCCTGTGAGGAAACTGAGGCACAGAGAGGTCATGCCATTGGGAACTGGCCGAGCTGAAATTTGAACCCAGGCAGCTTGACTCTAAGATCTGAGTCTAACACCATAACACCAGCCTTGCACTGCTGTAGGCCAGGGGCCTTCCAACTCTCAACGGCTCCCGCTGTGTCCCAGGGAAAGAAATGCATTTTACATGGCAACACACAAAACACACATCTCACACACACCCGCATGCGCAACTGAAACAAAAGTTTATGAAGCAAAAATACTCTTACTACATAAATGCACCAGATTTTTAAAATTCTATGTCATTAAAGATTTTTTTTACAGCTGGTCACAACCCACGGTGGAGAGACCACATGGTCTGGTGGCCAGGCCTTGCGTGGAGTGTTGGGTGCTGACTTTCCCTCTCTGAGTCACAGGGTAGCAGTAACTTGTGCTCTTTAGTGATGTGACCAACTGGGTGTCCCGTTCTGTTACAGCATGTTGGCCCCTTCCACTAGGGCCAGCTCCTGAGGGTAGCAAGCGATTCTGATTCTACAGAATCACTGATAGAGGTGGTTCTTAATGACCTGGTGGAAGGGAGGAAGATGGGACAAGACAAGCAAGGTAAAGCCCAAGTGAACGTGAAGTTGTGCCTGGGGAAGGGGGAGGAGAGGTAGAAAGAGAAGAGGCAATATCACTCCATGGGCCATCCATGCAGTATTGCCATGGCTGGAAGGAGGGTGACAAGGGTCGCTGTCCTCCCAAGAGCTGAGAAAGTCCAGATCCAGGGAAAACAGTGGCTGCCAGGCCCTGGGAGCAACACCACCCATGGCTCAGATGGGAAGTCAGGGAGCAGCAGATGTGTCCCGGCTAGGCTCAGCATCCACATGGCCCCTTATCTGGGCCAAAAAGAGAAAAGGGCTCTGCAAGGGAGGATGTCAGACTGTCTGGGGTAAGCGAGTGCTTCTTTGTCTGGATGCAGCACTTACAGACTGTCCACGTAGGTTAGGGGAGGCTGCTTCTCCCCTTACTCTGTGTCCTTGACCTCTCTGAGCCTCCACTTGCTGCCCTGTAAAATGGGGATAAATATAGTCCCTCTAAAGGGTTGTTATGAGGATTTCAAATAGATACTGTGGGTAAAGCCCTTGACCAAGGGCTTGATATAGAGCGGGATCAACACACTTTCCTCACTCCAAAGCTCCAGGATGCCCGGTTATTGAGCTAATACGAAAAAGCTGTTGGTTCGGTCAAGCGTGGGCCAACTTAATGATGAAACCCAACCTGTTGTTTGAATTTAGTGTATTCTCCAACCAGAGCTGCAGGTGAGCCCAAGAGGCGAGAAGGAAGGGATTGGAATGTGCTGTTAGGAGAAGGGGATGAGTCCCTCCCTCCACCTCCCCTCACTCTCATCCTGGAACGCTGCCCTCCCCTATCCCCACCTGCTTACACTTTTTTTCTCCCTTCAAATACCCAGATGAAGGCTAACGGACTCGAGAGAGAAGGACTACATGGTATGAGGAGTCAGACAGGTCTCAGTCTTTTAAGCCCAGCTTTGCCACTGCCTAACTGTATGCAAAGTGTCTTAATCTCTTTAAAATGGTGGAGAATGGCACCTTACTTTGCAGGGTTGAGTTGCAACTGGAAAGAGAGTGTAGAGCACACAGTAGGAGCTTAGTAGATGTGAGGTCCTGTGCTGCACGTTCTGTTTAAAGGGCATTTCTCTGAATATGCTGATGCACTTTGCAAGAGCTGCCAAGAGGCTTCCGCAATCGATCATAAACAACCTTCCCTTTCTTTGGCATTTCCTTATTGTATAGTGTAGCATGCCACGTGCATGGTGGGGAACCCAATAAATGTTATCTAAATCACGGGCTGGGAGGCCACAGCATGTCAGAATAAGAATGCAGGACTTTGGAGCTAAGTTAACCTAAATTGCAATCCCAGTTCTGCCAACTAGGTGAACTGTGTGAGCTGGGACAAGCCACTTTACCTCTCTGAGCCTCGGCTTCTCAACTGTAATATGGAGATGATAATGCCTACATTGCAGGGATGTTAGAAGAATTAAATTCATCCATTCATCCCATCCAACACGTACTTACTGAACATTTACTCTGTACTAGCCACTGCTCCAGGTGCTAAACGTATAGCAGTGAATAAAACAGACAAAATCTCCCTGGGGGAGACAGACAAGAAACTGCTAACTACACATACAGCGTGTCGCATAGTGACACGTGCTAAGGAGAAACTTAAAGCTGGGTCAAAGGAGTGAGTGGGGTTGGGGCAACAGCAGGCCCCTCGTTCAAGCAGAGACCCCAAGGAAGCCTGGTGGGAGCCATGGGGAGGAGGGCAGAAGAATGTGCCGGGGAGAGGGATCAGGAAGTGCAGAAGCCTTGAGGAGAAGCATGCTTGGCGTGTAAATGAAGCCACATATGCAGGAAGCCTGGCATGGAATCCAGGTGCTCAGCAAATGCCAGCTCTCTATTTCAAGTCCCGCAGAAAGAACCCCACGCATGTGTCCTTTTCCTGAGAACGAAAGCACAAGGATTCTACAGGGCAAGACTGTGCCAAGTGTTCCTTCAGCCTAAGATTCAGGCAACATTCGAGCTCCACCACCAGTTTTTGAGCCCTTGCCAGGCACCAGTCTCTGGGATGGGCAACCAGGGATACAAGATGATCAAGACAAGGGCTCTGTCCTCAGGGAACCGCAAAGAGTCACAGAGACAGGCAGTGACAATGCAGTCATTGCAACGATGAGCAGGAAAGGACTTCAGGCATCCAGATAGCAGAGCAAAGGATGAGACTGTGGGTGGTCAGGGAAAGCTTCCTGGAGGAGGTAACGACAACTGGATTTTGAAAGGCAGACTAGACAAGAAAGGACAATCCATGCATGGGGACCATCACATGCCAAGCACAGAGGTACAAAAAACAGCACAGGGTGTGCAAGAAACTCATACTGGTAGGTCGGAAAACAATTAACGGCCCTTCATATTCTTGGCATCTGCCACCCGATGTGACTCAGGAATTCCGGTTCTGACCCCTTCCTCAAACTCAGTGCAAGCTTCAATCCCCAGAGAAGAGTCTGAATTCCCCATACTTAGACACTGCAGTGGGTAACCAACCTTAACTGCCGGCTCCCAGACTAGGGTGGCCCAGTCCACAGAGAGAGAGTTGAGAGGGATGGAGAATACATAAATCTCTAGCTATATTTAGCCTGCCTGGCGTGTGTCTGTCCCTTTACGCACCCCAGGGCTGACCCACAGGTGGCAGAATGGCTTTTTACTAGAATAGTATAAACATTTTTAAATTAAGAAACCAAGGAAAGGGGCCTGTGCCGAGGTGCCTCATCCCAGTGTCTATGTGGCGAGAATATCTGCTGCCCTATTTGCCAACATCCCCAGATATCTCCTGACCCGCGGGTGGGTTCTCCCCCAACCTGGCAATAGCCCTGTCCACAGGAGGTAGAGGCCACCCTCCAGTAAGCAGACCTGGGTTCTAATCCCACCTCTGCCACTGACTAGCTGGTGACTCTGCTGATGATTACAGCTCTCTGGGAATTTGAACGTTTGAGTGCAGTTGCTCAGAGGCTTGTAAAGTAGGAGTTGGCTCCTCTTCCATAAGCTGACCCTGGGAATCCTGGGCTCAGCACTGTCCACTTCAACCCGCTCCAGGGGAAATTATTCTTTAAGAGCATGTAATGCCTAGAAGGGAGAGCTATATGGGAGTGTTATAGCAGAGATGGGGTGATATGTCCCTCTTCCAGAACCTCACACTAAATTAACCTCACAGCTGACTTGCTTCCCCATTGAGCCGAGCCTTTGTGCTTTAGACACACACACACTCCTCTCACCTTTTGCCCAAAGGATGCTACAAAGGCCCAGCCTTAAGACAAAATACTTCTAAATACTTGGGCGTGTGAGGGGAGGGAGGGCAGAGAGACACAGGTCCCACTCCAGATTCTCCCACTACTAGCTGTGTGACCTTGGGTGAGTCATTTCACCTCTTCTGACACTCAATTTTTTTATTTGTAAAACTGGGATACACATCTTTATCGCGAAGCTTCTTTGCATACCGAGCTGGGGTATGCAAAGTGCTGGGCACTGAACCTCCACGGGCACGCGCGGGCGCGGGACCGCTGATCTGTTCCCACAATTACCATGTATTTTCCAGTAAGGCCTCCTCCTACCCCGTTAACCTGCTCCGGATCCCCTCACTCCGGTCCCAGAAATTCTGGGGCGATTTTAACTAGGGGGCGATGCGATCTGCAGCAGCGACTCCGAGGGGGCGAAGGAGTCCCCAGTGGAGCGGACACCAGAGGGGGGCGCAACCGGGGTGCGCGTGGGAACGTGGCCAAAGCACGGCAGCATGTGCCGCGGGGGCGCTGGGAGGCTGGAAACTGGGGTGCCCCTGAGAGCACCCCTCACTCTCGGCAGCTGCAGTCTTGGCACCACGGGTGGCTTCTGACCGTCGGAAGCCCTGGCGAGCCCGGCTCCAGTCACCCCCACCCAGGTCGCCTTGAGTTTGCTCATCAGCGCCCTCGGGCTGGAACAAAGGCGAGGGGGCGCGCGGCATCGCCCCAGCGGCCCTTTTTGCGCATCTGGCCAAAGCCGGGAGAATGAGGACTGGGGTCCCCAAGGTAACCAGGACGCGGTACCCGCCCTCCCGGGGCGCAAAGCCCAGCCGCGGGGCGCGCGCCGAGCTGAGGTCCGGGAGGTACCGGAGACTCCAGCCCGCTGCGAGCCGAGGGCTCCAAGGGCCGTGGGGTAGCTCTCCAGAGTCACCCAGCGGGTCCCCCGGAGGAGAGAAGCCCGGCGCCCGCCTCCCGGGCAGGGCTCCCCGGCGTACCTGGCAGGGTCCGGTGCACCGTGTTGCCCATCGCTGCGTCGGGCGCGGCGTTGGCGGCGGCGCGCTCTGGGCGCGCGGAGGCTAATTACGCGGCGGGCCAGGGACCAGGACCGGGGTCGACGCTCCGGGGCATCGCAGCTGCACGGGCGAGCCGGCGGGCGGCAGCTGGGGCGGGAGCCGGGAGGGAGGCGGCGGCGGCGCCTGCGGGAGGAGGAGGCGGAGCCACCGGCCCGGGCCCGCCGGCTCCGCCCCCGCCTCCCACCGCCTCCAACAGTGCAGGGGCGGGGCCGCGGCCGCCGCATCTTTTGAAAGTTTGCACCAGGCGGCGGGAGAAGCACAGCCAAGCCTCCCGCCCTCGCCGCTCCCGCGCCCGGGCCGGGAAGGCGCGCAGGGCAGCTGGGTGCCCTCGGGTGCCAGGATCGGCAGTCTGCTGGCCTGTCACCCATTTGTTCTAACACTTTGAGAAGGCCCACTGTGTGCCAGGCCCTCTTCCAGGCGCGGGGCCCCAGCCGGCCGAGTCCTAGCCCCGGCAGACCTCTTTGGAGAGTGCTTCGGCCCCGGGGGAACTTACACAGAGGCAGACGGGCCCCTGGGACCATGTAAAGGGCTTGGAGACAGTACACCCAGGGTTCCCGGGTTTGGGTGGAGTCTTTTCTATCCCCTAGGCCAGGTACCGAGGAATAGAAGAAACCCAGTGTCCAAAGATTGGGAAGAGGGAACCCACATTCATTAATTTATTCGCTCATTCACTAAAATATTTATTGAGCACAGTCTATGCACCAGGCACTGTGCTGGGCCGGGTAGATACAGACAAGGTCCCCACTGCCCTGGAGATGGCATGCTGAAGATAGAAATAACAAGCAATTACGATCACATTATATAATAATCAAAGCCAGGAAGAAAATAAAACAGATCCCAGTAGAGTGAGGAGATGACATTGTTTGGGGGCATAGGGAGAATCTGGGGTGGGGGCACATAAGCTCCATCTGATGGACTAGAAGGCGTCGGCCATGAGAAGAGATAGGTAGAGTGTTCCTGGCAGAGGCAGTAACAGGCATTCCTCATTCAGGCACCTGGACCACACTCAGTGGGAAGTGCAGCTGTGCCCTTCTCGAGCTCCATTTCACAGGCTGGAACGCTGAGGCCCAGGAAGTGCAATGACTTCCCCAAGAAGACCCGATTCCAAATGAGCTGTTTTTTTCAATTCTATTTTTCATGCTCTTGTATCCCTTGAGACTTTATGAAATATGTATTATTACTTCCATTTCACAGATAGGGAAATTGAGGCTCTGAGAGTGGAAGAGAGGTGCCCAAGATCTTCCAATGGTACAGGGCAAAGCTAGCCTGAAGCTATGCGAATAAAAGCGGGGTATTCAGGAGACAGCCTTCTGCATCTCCGGTGCCTTCTGCTTACAGTACATGACCCATCCCAGAGGGTTCTAGGGTCTTTAAGGCCAGCTCCAAGCTTCCACTTCCGGGAAACCTTGATTCCCCACTCCCCCCTGACGTCATATGTCTGAACATAAGATTGCCTTGCATTTGAGTTACTAATTTCTCATATTACAGGTGCTCGCCCAGTGACTTAATTTTTAACCCCAAAGTTCTGTTTGAGAAAGGTCCGTTAGCGTGATCCTTTTTTTTTTTCTTTTTTTTTTTGAGACAGAGTCTCACTCTGTCACCCAGGCTGGAGTGGAATGGCACAATCTTGGCTCACTGCAACCTCTGCCTACCAAGTTCAAGCAATTCTCCTGCCTCAGCCTCTTGAGTAGCTGGGATTACAGGCACCCACTACCACGCCCCGCTAATTTTTGTATTTTTAGTAGAGATGGGATTTCATCATGTTGGCCAGGCTGGTCTCAAACTTCTGACCTCAAGCGGTTCCCCCACCTCAGCCTCCCAAAGTGCTGGGATTACAGGCCTAAGCCACCTCACCTGGCTGATCCTCCTTTAATCTATGTGACATTGGGTTGCATATGGAGGTCAGCAATATTATAAAGGGAATTGAGGGAATTTTCCTCAGATAAGGCAATGCAAACAAATATGACTTTGTGACGGCAAGGGTGAGAGGTTGTGAACAGGCCTTTTAAAGGCCACTTTCAGAGTACCTCAGTAAGTGGCCATGTTGTGCAGATCACAAATACTCACCTGCAGCAAATGAATCCCTACTGTCAAAATGTGATGCGGATTGGACCTGCGGTGGAGACACTGTGCCCAGCAGTTGCCTGACATGTGGATTCGAAAGGGCTGTGTGTTAGCCTCTGGATCTCTGAGAGTAGGACCTGCTCTAGTAAAAAGCTGCCCCCAACACACACGATGGTGACACTAGTGTCAAAGCCACACAGAAAAGAATTAGAATCAAATTGTTTCCTGAAATTTGAAACTGCCAAAAGCAATCTTTCCATATTAGTATTCTCTATGAGAATAATTGCAAATATGTTTATATAACTAAAGTAATAAATGAAATATTTCAAGTAGATGTCTATTTCATCTTCACCCCATTAAGTTTATATTATTCAATAAGAAAGTGCATCTTCTCATAGGGAGAATGGGGATTGCCTGTAATCTTTACTTGGATTACCTTATATTTGGGCACATACAGCAGTTGCTCACCCATCTGAGATCCCTCTGCACTTTGTGCTGTCCCCTCAATTACACCCTCAAGACAGGTGTTGTAGCTGTTACCTTTGCGTCCTCTCCACTGCCAGACAGGATGCTCCTGCAGGCAGGAAGAAGGCTGTAATCATCTAGGAAACCCCAGTGCCCAGAACAGGGCTGGCAGACACAGGTGCTCAATACACATTTGCATAAATTGACTGCAGAGATGCATTGCCCTGAGCTGAGAGAAAAACAGAAAAGAAGGAGAGAGGGAAGAAAGAAGGAATGGAGAAAGGTAATAAGAAGGGAGAGGAGAGAAAGAGCTGTGAGAGAATGAGTTTTTGCCATTAGTAGCCCTAGACCCTGGTGTGATGAATAGTAATATGTGCAGGGAAAAATAAGCAAATGAGCAAAATAGGGATGCATTAACAGAAATATAGTCTTTAGGACAAAGGAGGGGCTTGCTGCTCCAGTGCATGTTGGTTAGACCATTCCAGAAGTCGCTTTGGCTCTGGGCACCACACTAGAGAAGGAGGACAAAGCTAGTCCACGAAGGTGGAAGGGTGGCTTTGGGAGAGAGGGAGATCCCTGTCCCAGGAGGTGTGCAAATAGAAACCATATATTTCCTGCCAGGCAGTTGAGGAGGGGCTTCCTGAGTCACATGTCTTCTAAAGTATACCTTCCAGTACAATCATCCACTGAGCCCCTACAACCCACATGAAGCCATGGGGGTGATTTATGGTTTGAGGTTTATGAGTCTGATTGGTCCTGCCTCTACTGACCCTGAGAGGACTGCAGAGGTGCTCCCCTGTCTTTGCAGCTTGTGTACCAAGCTGATCTCCTGGGATGTGGGCCTCCCATTTTTGTTGCCTCTCCCAATCTCACCTCTTCCCACTAGCTCCCAAGCAGGGCTGGCCGGGACACTGTGGAAATGCTGTCTGCATGTATTAGGGGCCTGGGATCCAGGCACTATGTCTAACAGCAACAAGGGAAGGGAAGGGACTGTTGGACTCAGCACCTGCCGCACAGGAGACTTTATAACCACAGGGATGGAATGTGAATCTCTTCCTTCTCCAAATATTATAGTCATACCACATCCAAGGAGATAGGTTCTAGCATCCCCATTTTCCAAACGAGGACACCAAGCCTCAGACAGGTAAAGTCACATGCCTAAGTCTCTGCAGCTGCTAAGAGGAGTTGGGATGTGAACCTACGTGTGCCCATATCCAAGCCTCATCTTCTAAGCAGTGTCCCTTAAAGTTAGAGAGGACAGCTCTGCCCAGGCGCCAAGGCGGCAGGACACCAGGGCTGCAGAGGAACGGGTGGGGTCTCAGAACCAGAACCCGCAGACACTAACGGCTGCCATAGAGCCTGTGGGGCAGAGCATGGGGTGGGGACATCTTCCGGCCCGGGCAGCAGCCTCCAGTCACAGCAGCTCCTGGATTTGACTTTCACACACATACACATCTCTACCAATCACATCCAGAATTGCACAGACTGTGCCACCCTCCTTTAGCACCAGTACCCATACATGGGCTGCAGGGGCCTCTGGGTGGGGCTGTCTCTCTTGATTATGCAGCGTCAGCAGAGCCTCCCGGGGCAGTTGGTAGTGGGAGTGCCCTGGCCGGGCTCCCTGGCATTGCTCCCTGGGGGCATGCCCTGGCAGGCCCTGCCCCATGCAATAACAGGCAATCAGGTGCATGTTGTAAAAAGGGTGCACACTGAGCTGCTGTGCCAGGCTAGGGGGTATGCCCACTGCAGATACCTGCGTGAAATGACCCCTTCCTTCAGGGTGTTTGCCCAGCCTCCTCCTCACAACTCAAGAGCCGAGTATCTGCAGTCACACTGCAAAGCTCGGTTTTAAAATGGCTGCAGGAAGGCTGTGCTTTTCTACAAACCCTGACTACGAAACCTTCAATTTCCAACAGATCTTTACCTGAAAAAGCATCATTTTTCAGTTGCTGGTTACAAAGTGCCAGCCGCATAGTGGGCCCCACGCTACACCCTCTGAGTGATCCTTGTCCCAGCATGGCGGCATGGTCATTAACACAAGTCAATTCCCATTTTGCAGGAGAGGAAGCTGAAGCTCAGAGATGGAAAAGAGCTGCCCAGGTCACACAGCTAGAAGGGGGCAGAACTCAGAGGGTTCTTAGTCCTCTCTGCAGAGGAAACAAGCTCCGGTGATGAGGCCACTTGCTTGATGTAGCACAGCAGTGAGCAGAGGAGCCAGGAGCCGGCATCCCTCGGGCTTCAAAACCAGCGCTCCAATAGCAAAGTCATTGAACCAAACTAAGTGTCCATCAACAGTTGATTTGACAAAGAAAATGTGGTACATATACACTGTGGAATACCATGCAGCCATAAAAAAGGATGAAATCATGTCTTTTGCAGCAACAGGGATGGGGCTGGAGGCCATTATCCTAAGTGAAATAACTCAGAAACAGAAAATCAAACACTGGCCAGACACAGTGGCTCATGCCTGTAATCCCAGCACTTTGAGAGGCTGAGACAGGCAAATCACTGGAGGTCAGGAGTTCAAAACCGGCCTGGCTAACATGGTGAAACCCCATCTCTACTAAAAATACAAAAATAAGCCAGGTGTGGTAGCATGCGCCTGTAATCCCAGCACTTTGGGAGGCCGAAGTGGGCAGATCATTTGAGGTCAGAAGTTCAAGACCAACCTGGCCAACATGGTGAATCCCCATCTCTACTAAAAATACAAAAATTGCCAGGCATGGTGGCGGTCGCCTGTAATCCCAGCTACTCAGGAGGCTGAGGCAGGAGAATCGCTTGAGCACAGGGGGCGGAGGTTGCCGTAAGCAGAGATCGTGCCACTGCATTCCAGCCTGGGGACAGAATGAGACTCCACAAACAAACAAACACAAATCAGAAAATCAAACACTACATGTTCTCACTTTATAAGTGAGGGTTGAACAACAGGTACACATGGACATAAAGATGGAAGCGATAGACACTGCGGACTCCCAAAGCCAGGATGGTGAGAGGGGAGTAAGGGCTGAAAATTACCTATTGGGCACAACGTTCACAATTTGGGTGATGGTACACTAGGAGCCCAAACCTCCCCATTACACAATATAACCATGTAACAAGCCTGCGCACGTACCCCCTGAATCTTAAATTTAAAAAGAAAAAGTAAAAACAAACCAAAAAACCCTGTTGCTCCCACTGCACTGTCCCCAATAAGCAAGTCACTTTTTTTTTTTTTTTTTGAGACAGAGTCTCGCTCTGTCACCCACGCTGGAGTGCAGTGGCACAATCTTGGCTCACTGCAAGCTCCGCCTCCTGGGTTCACGCCATTCTTCTGCCTCAGCCTCCCGAGTAGCTGGGACTACAGGTGCCCGCCACCACGCCCGGCTAATTTTTTTTTGCATTTTTAGTAGAGACTGGGTTTCACTGTGCTAGCCAGGATGGTCTTGATCGCCTGACCTCATGATCCGCCTGCCTCAGCCTCCCAAAGTGCTGGGATCACAGGCGTGAGCCACAGCACCCGGCCGAGCAAGTCACTTTTATGTGGTGGAGTCTGGCAGCACGTACCTGGCAGCCAAGGCAAAAAAAGAAAGAAGGCTCACCGCCTGGTTTTCATTGTCTTGTGCATGCAGACACAGGCTTGGTCCTGGGGCCGGCTCCAAAGGAAGCTCGTCGGCGGTACACAGGAAGGCTGAGTAGACAGAACTTCTTCTTGAGTTTGGCCAAAGACGCATCAACAGCATTTAGATGGATAGTCCCATACTAGACATCTAAAAAGGCCAAGGACTGACATTTTCCTGAAATCCAAGGGAGGCAGCACTACTGGGAGCTGGGGTCATGGGTGCTCCACACTCAACTTTCTCACAACACAGGGACAGAGCTTAGATGCTCTGAAATGCATGTCATGGGCATGGGACAGAAGCCTGCAGCAGGGGTTGAATTGAACTGAAATCAATCTATCATCCCAATAACTGGCATTCACTGTATGATTACAATAATTGCTATACATCATAGCTAACATTTATTAAGTGCCAGGTATGTTCTAAGCCTCACAATAGATGTATTAACCTCACAATTACCCTATGAGATAGTACTGTCAACGTGCCCATTTTACAGATGGGGAAACTGAAGCCCAGAGAGTGTACATAGCTTGGCCACAGTCACACAGACAGAGAACAGTTTGGCTAAACATCTTAGACTCTGATTTCTTTCATCCTCATAACAACCCTATTAACAGGAAAGGAGGTTAAGGGTTAAGGAGCTGCTTCTCAGACTCTTGTATTTGTCTCCTCATTTAATCCTCACCTCCTCCTGCAAGGTAGGGGTTGTTATCATCTCCATTCTACAGTGCATGCTGGGAGGCTCAGAGAGGTGAAGCAACTTGTCTAAGGCCACACAGCCAAGAGCGACAGGATCAGGACTAGAACCCAGCCCACTCTGACCCCAGAGTCTGTGCTTTCCTCCTCTTGGCCCTTCAGATGGCTGAGAGTTTGCGGAGGGCCTGGCTCATCCTACCTGCAGTAACTTGAGGGCAGGGCTGTGCTAATTCATCTGAGTCCAGTGCCCAGCCCTGGTCTGGCCCTGGGATAAACCACTGTCCCCTCCTGACTTCCTGGAGCAGCAGAGAACCCACCCAGGGGGATGTGGACTTTCGAAGAAAAACTGGAATAATGGATTGGGTGGCACTTAAGAACCCAGGCTGAAATCCTGGCTTGGCTACTTACTAACTGAGTGACCTTAAGGGTTATATGTCCTCTCTGTGCCTCAGCTTCTACACTTGTAAAATGGAGCTGCTGACAGTCTATGTCACAGGGCATTTGGAGAAATAGATGCACTGATCAAAAGGGGCTGGCACACAGTGAACAGTCAGTAGATGTGGGCTTGGGAAGGCCTTATCCTTCTCAGGATCTCCCCCACCGGACCACCCCTGCATGCCCATAAGCTGATTGCAGCCCTTCTCTGCTAAAAATCCCTTCCCATGCAGACAGGGTTTAGATGGGGCCCAACAGCCTGGGTTGGAGTCCTGGTTCTGCCACTCTCTGGCTGGGTGACTCTGGGCAAGTCATTTCAGCCCTCTGCGGCCACTCCACCTCCTCTGCCAAATAGAGAGATCATCTGTGAGCAGGGCAGAGCCCAGGCCTCCTGGCTGGGCACAGCAGGTCTACTATATTTTGGCCCATGCCACCTTCTGAAGGCTGAGCACTTGCATCCTCCTGCCCTGCTGAACAATTTGCTGGCTGTGTGTCTTTGTGCATGTACTTAACCTCTCTGAACATCAGTTGCCTCATCTGTAAAGTGGGAATGACAGTAATATCTACCTCACAGGTGATAAAACTTGTAATGAGGCAATGCATGGAAAGTCCTCGGCACAGAGTAGGTGCTCAATAAATGTTTACTGAATGAATGAGTGGATGGATGAACCCAGTGGTGGGGACTGGATTCACTCACAGGTTATAGGGTATTCATTAAGGGGTCAGGTTCTGGAACCAGACCATCTGGGCTCATAATCTGGCTTCCTGCCTATCTAGCTATGTGGCCTTGAGCTTGTTATTCGACTTCTCTGTGCTTACTTCTCTCACGTGTAAAATCAGCTAATAATAGTACTAGCCCTATAGGATTGTTTTGAGGATTAAATGAGATAATGTGTATCAAGTACTTAGAAGAGTTCTTGGCACATGGCAAGTGCTTAATAAAGGGAAGTCGCCACTATTATTAATTATGATTATTCCTGGGGTCAGTTGCTTGGGTGGAGGCACATTTCTCCTAGAGGAAAAGAACAGAGCGGGGACACAGGGTAGGCCCAGTAGGTGAAGTTGCCTCTCTTGGCCCTGATCACTGTGGTGTCTTCATGTCTTGGTGCTGGGCGGGGTCAGGAGCAGCCAAGTGGTTGGGAACCCAAGCAGGGAACCAGAGGGGTTGGCCAGCCAGGGGCTTGATGATGCCACACTGAACTGTGCAAGTGAATCATGACTGATGGGCTTTGAACCTTTGGGTGCCTCTGTTGCTCTGTGGTCTTTCGGGACTTCTCAGCTGCCTTGAGCTGGGGCCATATGGGCTCAGAGCATCAGCGGAGTCACAGAAGCACCCAGGGTAACATGAGCTGCAGCAGGAACCTGAGTGGGGGGATCCCAAGTTGGGAAGGATTTAGGGCAGAACTGGGGTCCTGGGCAGCAGGGACATGTGTGTCCTCCTGAGCCAAACCTTAATGTGCTGGGCTCTGTTTGTCCAGGAGGCCAGTCCTCATGTGCCACCCGTGGGCTCAGTTGGGCTCCCTGGGGAGTAGACGCAGGCCTTCCTCTGGCTCTGGCACAGATGCCACAGAGGCCAGCTCTGGGCCCCTGGCTTGGGTATGCAACCAGTCCCCTTCTACCCAGCTGGGAGGATACTGACCATGTCATGTTCCTGCTCTGAGCCTCAGGCTCCTCATCTGTAGAGTGAGGACAGGAACACCTAGAGTGGGAATGAAATGAGATGAAGCTTGGGAAGGAGCTGGTGCAGAGTGAAGGCTCAGTCTTCTGGGAACCACCATTACTATCCCAGGAGAGAGGGTGGGACTCTGTTTGTTCTCTGTGACAAGGGACCATGGTCCTTATTTATTTAGGGATCCAAGGAGCCACTCTAGCCCATACTGGAGCCTTCCCACCACAATCTGGCTCATGCTCCAAGTCTTTGTTCTTCATCACTTCTTTTTTCTTTTTCTTTTTCTTTTTTTTTTTTTTTTTTTTTTTTTTTGAGACAGAGTCTCACCCAGTCACCCAGGCTGGAGTGTAGTGGCACAATCTCAGCTCACTGCAACCTCCACCTCCTGGGTTCAAGCTGATTCTCCTGCCTCAGCCTCCTGGGACTACAGGTGCACGTCACCAAACCTGGCTAATTTTTGTATTTTCAGTAGAGATGGGGTTTCGCCATATTGGCCAGGCTGGTCTTGAACTCCCGACCTCAGGTAATCCGCCCACCTCAGCCTCCCAAAGTGCTGAGATTACAGGCATGAGCCACCATGTCAGGC
Organism: Homo sapiens; assembly: GCF_000001405.40. NCBI lineage: Eukaryota > Metazoa > Chordata > Mammalia > Primates > Hominidae > Homo > Homo sapiens. The sequence goes on along the minus strand of NC_000005.10, from coordinate 172,631,848 downwards.
CCGTTCTTCATCACTTTGTCTGCTCTTCTCGAGGGGACATGTCTGTCCTGGGAGGCTGGAGGAGTTTGGGCATTGGCCGGGACTCAGAAAACCCAGGACCAGCTGAGGCTGCAGCATTTACCCATCTAGGGGGACCTCAGGCAGGCCTCAGTGTCCTTATCTGTAAAATGGCCATGAAAAGATCAGGGCTGCAAGGCTGTTGTGGGGATCAGATGGGATTCTCATGAGACTGTGACATTGAGGCTGTGGGCATCACAGTCCTGCGGTGGGATATATGGGGCCACGTTGGGAATCCAGCATTTGGTCACACAGACCCTGGTTTAAATCCCAACTCTCCTTCTTACTTGCAGTGTGACCTGGGCAAGTGACCTTACCTTGCTCAGAGCAGTGGGGTCTCAGTGACAGGCCGAACTCTTGGGACACAAGAACACTGTATAAAGGAGAGTCATTAATGCCATCAGAGGTGTAAAATGATAATCTCTGGCCCCCTGCCACTCCTGTTTGCTTTGCTACCACCGGCATCTTAACTGGGTGACACCCCAGGAGGGCTCTCTGAAACTGCCTCCCATGACTGCTGCTGGAGCGCCTGTTCTGTGCAGCACCTAGCTTCAGACGCTGGGGACCATGGGATGAGCAGCCACTCCCACTCAGCCACCAGCAAGGACTGCCCATCACAGCCCAGCTGGTGTCAGGACGCTGCTCTGAGAAAATCAGTCAGTCGAGGTGAAGTGGGAAGAACTCCAGGCTTGGGCCAGCCAGGAGTGGGTGACAGGGACAGAGACTTCTTCCTTCCCCAAGCAAATTCATGCAGCAGACAGCCCATCTGTGGGAACCCAGCACCTGGGAGCACTTTCGAGTTCACAGAGCCATTCCCCTTTTGTGGCCTCTTTTCAGATTTATGGGACCCTCTTTGCCCGTTTCACTGATGAAGAAACTGCAGCTCGGAGAGGTGAAGGCTTTGCCCTTTGGCTAAGCAGCTGGGACAGAGTGGACTCAGGCCCGTCCTCCACCTCACTCCTCGCCTGCAGAAGGAAGAGATTCCTTAGGCCAAGAGGAAGAAGCCCACGAGAGGAGGTGCGAGTGTCTCAAGGAGCCAACGGGATCCTCCATTTGCCTGTGGTGTCAGGGCAGGGTCCTGAAGCCTGAGGGTCCAGGGTTGAGTCCCAGCTTGGGCACTTACCAGGTGTGACCTTGGGCTGGTCACGTGACCTGTCTGTGCTGCAGGTTCTGTATCTGTAGAATGAGTCAAATAACAGAAACTAGCTGAGGGGGCCATGAGCATTAAATGAGTTAATAAGGCTTCAGCATTTACACAAGTGTCTGGCAATAGTAAATCCTCAAGAAACAGGTGCCCCATGACAGCCACAGTTGCAGGTTCGAACTCCCGCTGTTAAACTCCTCATAGGCTTCTGCTCACATTCTTCAAGTCTGGAATCCACTTCTAGGAACCTGTCCTGAGGATGTAATCCCAGATAGATAGGGACAAAGCTAATTGATGGCCAGAGACGCTCACTGTACACCACGTACACCTGAATAAAGTCACAAACACTTCCTACCACAGGGCAGTGGCTTAGTAAACAGGCAAGCCACTCAATACAATCACAGAGCTCCTGGCTGTGATATTCCCAAAGGGTTTAGAGTCGCAGGGAGAAGGCTGTTTTAATGTTAAGTGAGAAAGGCTGAACACAGAACTCTAAACTCAGGGTGATTTCAAGCTTGTAAAAAGAAAATAAGCAAACATAAAATGTGTATAGAAACAAGGTGAAAGGCAACATAGCAAAACATGGCCAGTGATGATCTCTGAGGAACAGGAATATGGGTGATTTTTTTCCACCTTTTTCTACCTATTGGCCAATTTCTAAATATTCTGTAATGAGTATGTATAAAACTTTTTTTCTTTTTTGAGATAGGCAGAGTCTCACTGTGTCACCTAAGCTGGGGTGCAGTGCTGCAATCATGGGTCACTGCAGCCTTAAGCTCCTGGGCTCAAGCAATCCTCCTATCTCAGCCTCCCAAGTAGCTGGGACCACAGGCGTGCATCACCATGCCCAGCTAATTTTTTCTTTTTTTTTTTTAAGAGACAAGGCCTCACTATGTTACCCTGGCTGCTCTCAAACTCCTGAGCTCAAGTGATCCTCCCACAGTCCTGGGATTACAGGTGTGAGCCACAACACCTGACCAAAACTTTTCTAATGGGAGAGAACTCAATAGACTACTTTTGAAATAATACAGTTTTATACAGTGAGCTGAAACAGACTTGTCCTTAGCATGTTGGCATGGATTGGATTGTCAGTTTTCTAGTAATGAGTTGAACACTGGGGGCTGAGCCTGTGACCGACAGTGTTCACTTCAGTACATGTTTATTAGGGGCCCCAGCTCTGGGCTAGCCTCTGATTGGGCAGGGGAAGAAGGGCCAGGGGCAGGGCCCAGACATAGGTACAGTTTGAAGTCCCTTTGATACCAGGCCAGCTGGAGGTACAGAGAAAACATCCTGGAAACATTGCTGGATGGAGGCTGTCTTCGTGATTTTCCATATTCAAATGTTGCCGGTACTATCATTCACTTAATAGATTTTTAAAAATTGGTTCACCTAAAAAATACTCAGAAAACTATAGATTATTATTAAGAGGAAGCAAAAAATGCTAAAATAAATGAATAGATATATCATATTCATGGTGGGACCACTCAATATTTTAAATAAGTCAATTCTCTGCAAACTGACTTATAGATTCAACACATACACCTCTAATCAAAATCCTAACAGGGGTGTGTGTGTGTGTGTGTGTGTGTGTGTGTGTGTGTGTTTAACTTGGAAAACAAATTCTAGTTTTCAAAAAAATGTATGTAGAAACCCAAAGGGTAAAGGATAACCAATTTTTGAAAAGGAAGAACTTTTAGCCAGAAGAGTTGATAGCTCTTCTGGCTATCAAAACCTATTATAAAGCGATGGTAAATAAGTGCAGTGTTGGTACAAGGATAGACAAATAGATCTATCTATGGGATAGAATAAAAAAGTCAGACATAAATGGATGCATGTTTTATGACAAATGTGACACTGCCAAGTATTGGGAGAGAGGCCAAGCTTTTCAATGACCAGTGCTGGGTGAATTGGCCATCCATATGGAAAAAAATGGAGCTTGATCCCGACCTCAAACCATTCATGACATCAATTTCAGGGGAATTGTAGACATACATGTTAAAGACAAAATGTAAAACTTCTAGAAAGTAGAGAACGGCTTTATGCCTTCAGAGCAGTAGACAGATTCTTCAACACGGCACAGGAAGTGGTGGCCATACCAAAAGGATTGATGAAATCAACTCCATTGAAATTTAAATTCTTTCTGTCAAAAGACATTCAAAGGAGAGTGAAAAGGCAGGTTACAGAGTGGGGAAAGATACTTTGCCCACATACAACTACAAGAGAGCCTACTTTTTCCCCCAGAATAAACACAACTAAAAATATGACAAAAACTAACAACTCAATATAAAATGAGCAAAACCAGGTACTTCACAACAAGAATGTTCCAATAGCCAATAAATATATAAAAGATACTGAATCTTGTCAATAACCAGGAAAACTAAAATTAAAGTCGCAATGAAATAACCACAGCACCCCAACTAGATTGGCTGAGATTTAAAATTTTCACAATACCAAGAGTTGACAGAAATGTGAAGAAATTTTGACAATACCAAGAGTTGACAGGAATTCTTCTACCTGGCTGATGGGAGTGTAAAATGGTACAACCACTTTAGAAAAGTATTTGGCAGTATCTATCATAGTTAAACATACTTCTACCCCCATGATCCAGCAATTCCTCTCCTGGGCATAGGCCAAACAGAAATGCTTACTTATGTGAACCTAAAGACCTGCTGATGAATGCATCATAGCTTTCATCAAATGCTATTCAAAATGGCCCCAAACTGAGAACAACCCAAATGTCCATCCACTATAGACTGGATCAATAAGTTAGGAGACCCTTACAAAGTGGAATACTATGCCGTAATGAGAAAAAACAAAATACAGCTACACACAGCGACCCGAGTGATTCACACACATAATGTTCTGTGAAAGAAGCCAGACACAAAAGAATGCATACTACGGGACTCCACTTACATGATGTTCAAAGCCCAGCGTGTGTAGGTGATAAAACTCAAAAGAAAAGCAAGAAATGCCTATCGTAAAATGCAGGACGGTGATTGCCTTTGAACAAGAGGGAGGAGTAGTGATTAGCAGTGGCCCAAGGCTGGGTTCTGGGGAGCTAGAAATGTTCTATTTCTTCACTTGATGATTGCTTTTTGATCAATTATTGAACTGCACATTTTAGTTTTCACGTGAGTTTTATCCGTACACAATGGGCCCTCTCTCTGTGTGTGGAATTTCACAATAAGAAGTTTAAAAGAACGTCTTCCAGGGCACTAAATGGAAGGCAATTTGCATCCAGGTGCTAAGGAAGCATCCCCAGGCAGGAGAGCAAGACAGCATCATGAGAAAGCCAGAAGGATGAAGCCTCGTTCCATCCAGGTGCCAAATGCCCTGTCCGTCTTAGACTTAGAAATAAAATTCAGAAGAGAGAGGTGATGCAGACATGCATATTAGCATGTTTGCAGATTAGAAAATGAACTCATATAGTTCCTGCCTGAAAGTCAGCCTGACCTGGCTGCATGGTGCGGTGGAGAGCAGTGGCTTTGCCGCTCAGTGTGCATGGAAGAGTTTTCAGGCAAATAAGTGAGCGGAATCCACAGCTCCAAGGTTTTGGTGAGATTTTATTTAAAGCGCATGTTCAGCATACAGCACGCTAGAAATTACCTTTGCAACTATTTACATTTAGGATAAAACATTCAGATGCCAACTAAAAGCGTTTGTGTGGGGGACGTGGTTTTCAAAATTCTCTTAGGGGCTATGTGAACCCCAAATACGAAGAGCACTTTCTTTTCTTTTCTTTCTTTTTTTTTTTTTTGAGACAGAGTCTCACACTGCCACCCAGGTTGGAGTGCAATGGCACGCTCTTGGCTCACTGCAACCTCTGCCTCCCAGGTTCAAGCTATTCTCCTGCCTCAGCCTCCTGAGTAGCTGGGAATACAGGCACCCACCACCACCCCCGGCTCATTTTTGTATTATTAATAGAGATGGGGTTTTTCCATGTTGCCCAGGCTGGTCTCAAACTCCTGACCGCAGGTGATCCACCCTCCTCAGCCTCCCAAAGTGCTGGGATTACAGGCGTGAGCCACCGCGCCAGGCCAGAAGAGCTCTTTCTTAACAGGGGTGTGAGTAGACTCTGACAAGTGACGACAAGCGGGAAGGGCACTCATGGGGGAGGAACAGCACAGGCAAAGGCCTGGGAGCCAAGCTGTGTGCTGCGCTGAGGATTTGTGGAGGAAGAAGGGCAGGTGTCTGGTCTGTAAGGAGCCCTGAGGGCCTCAGTGGGGGAGCAGGAAGAGGCTCAGGAGAGGGAGGAGGAGCCCAGTGGAGTCAGCAAGAGGAGAAGGAGAGAGGCCGGAGCCTTTGGAGGAACAGGTGGCTGAGCAGGTGTGGAAGAAGAAAGCAAAGAAAGGGGCTTCTCTGATCCCCTGTTGTGTGTGGCCACAGCTCTTGAAAAGACCCCACAAAGCAGGCCCCTATCCTAACAGCTGCCTTGAAAGGGCCTTGTGCCCACCCATCTGCCACCATCCTCCACCCCATCCCTTATGATCGCCAGGGTCTCCCAGCAACACAGGCCCTGTCCTCGCCAGATGGGGGTCGGGGAGGGGAAAGCCACCCTGCCACCCAGCCTGGGGACAGAGACCGAGCAGGAGACTTCACACAGCAGGCCCTGGGCCACTCTGTCCTTTATATCTCTTTTCAGCAAACTGCCAATACAAAAGACTCAGTAGTTAATTTTTTTAAAAATTCAAATAGTGCCCGGGTGGTAGAAAGATTGAAGTGAAGTTGCGCGCTCAGTCAGTCTCTACTGCAGCCAGTTTGCTATGTGTTCTAGTCATCCCCTTACCTCTTCACAAACCTCCCCAGGAGAAAACAGCCAGGGCTTCAGTCAACCAACCTGGGTGTGCACCCTTCTCTGCTCCTGCTGTGTGACCTCAAGCAAGTGCTTTACTTCTCTGAGCCTCATTTCCTCACCTGCTAAATGGGGCTAGGAATAGCACTGATCTCAGAACATTCCACACTGTGAATCCCCTTTCCCCATTCCTCCCTCACCAAAGTTGAAGCCGGTGGGTGTGTCCCATCGGGAGGAAAGTTGGCCACTGACCACTGTCCTCCCCCACTCAGAGGGGAGCTGGGGTCCCTGACCTAAGGAAGGGGGCTATGTGGACTGAGACAAAAGAATCAGCACGATGTGTGGGTGGGGGCGGCCCCTCCATCCAGGGTGATCAGAGAAGGCCTCTCTGCAAAGGGGACCTGTGAGGGGATCTGTGAGGGGCGGGAAGGAAGCCAGGTGGGTGTGTGAGGAAGGGTACACCAGGCAGAGGGGACTGCATGAGCTGGGAGGTGTCTTTTCAAATGACCTGGGTATTACCTGAGGGAAGGGTGGTGGCCAAGCTGAGAGATTTCACCCAGAGATTTCACCCAGATCTTTCTGTGCCCAAAGTCCTTGACCCTGAAGTGTCACCAGCTGAAGCTGACTGCCAACCTCACCATAACTAGAGGTTGAAGTGCTCCTCTCTTCCTGGAAGACTGTGGGAAAGAGGCAGACGTTAGCTCAGAAGGAGTCTTGCCCAGCCCCGTCCTGGGGGAGCCTCCCCAGCTCCCTCCATTTCCCTATCTGTCCAGTCTCCCAGCCTCACCTGAGGCCACTCTGAGCCACTGTCAGAGAGTGGAGCTCCTGCCCAGCCCAGCTGGGGGGCAAAGCCCTCTGCAGTCTAAATTTCCCGGCCTCGGATGCCCCAGTTAAGGCCTTGAACCAGGGCTGTGAAATGGCCCAAGAACAGTTGCTGAATATTAGTGAGTGAATGAATGCATGAAAGGAGTAACTGAATGAATGAATGAATGAATGAATGAATGAATGATGGAGTAACTGAATGAATGCAAGGGATGCCCAGGCAGACAGCTAGCGTGGAGAGTGCAGGCTGGCAGATGGCTCAGCGGGGAAGGTCAGAGGGGGACGAAGGCCGGGGCCAGGCTCAGCCAGGCCACCTTCAGCCTCGCCTCCCAGGCCTCTGTGCCATCTGTAAAATGGACTCATCTAGGACTCTCCGAGCAGCAAGCGCCTCACCCTCCTCCTGGCTCTGTTCTGGCCACTGGCCAAAGGCAGTCAGGCTCTGAAGACCCTGCCCCCACTAGAACCAGGGAAGACCCTGGGATGAGCGGATCTGCTAATAGCACAGATCTCACTTCTGAGCCTCACCACTTCCAGCCTCTCAACAGCCTGCAAGGTGGGCCTTACTGCCCCTGTCTTCTAGGGGTAGAGGCAACCACCTGGACCCAGCGTCCTAGCACAAGTTTACACAGGGGAAACAGAGTCAGGTTCAAGCAGGGGATTGGGACTCCAAAGACCTGCCTTGCAGAGGGACCTGATTACAGGCGTGCACTGAGTGTGTGAATTTATTCAGCAGCTGCTGACCCTGAAGCGAGGCCGTGTGGTCTCAAATCCTTTCCCAGGCAAAGCTCTTCCGCAGCCAGATCTCTGTGAATCTGCTCTGCTGCTCAGCCCGAGGTGGGGGTGGGAAACGTGGGGGGTGATATTTCAGGACCCATTACATGAAAACAGACTGAGGATTCCCCTATCTTTAGCAACCAAGCTGTGCATACCTGTTTCTCCCCCACTGGGAGCAAAAGCTCAGATAAACATCCGCTCACACCAGCCCAATAATTCCTTAAATAAAGCGGATACATTTTGGCATCCACTGTGCTCAAAATATATGCTCCCTGGATTTTTAATATCACACGAGGTCTGCATAAATTTAACCTGAGTGCATCAGCTATTGACTGTCGCATTACGTGAATCACCATTTGGGGCGTCAGGATAAGGGGAACAGATCCGCGAGCTCAGTGGGTGTGGGAGGACTGTGCTCAATCCTAGTGGTCTGTGTGAGGGATCCCAGCTCTCCTGATCTCCCAGGGATGAGATAGTAGTCATAGTGAGATCTATGCCACCGAGCCGGGCTTCCTGGATCTATTCTCTCAGGGCCAGAGTCCTCACTCCATGGCATGGCCCTGGTTGAGTCCCTCCACTGGTGTCCCCTTGCTCTGTGGATAGAAGTCCACTTTCTGACCTGCCCACTTGGCCCTCTGTGATCTGGTCCCTGTGGACCTCTCATCTATCTCCCACCACCCTGGCCTGTGTTCACTTTGGTCCTGCCACACCAGCGTTCTTCTGCTCTTTAAGCAACACTGGGCCTCACCCAGCCTCAGGGCCTTTGCACCTGCCATTCCCCTACCTGAAGTGTTTTCCCTAGATCTCCAAAGCAGCTTCATCTTACCAGTAGAGGCTCAGCTCAAGTGTGACCTTTTCCCAGGGGCCTCTCAGACTAGATAGACTTAAGTTTCCTGCTCCTTCTCCCTCCAGCAAGGGGTTATCTCAGCCCCCTGCTTTATTTTCTTCAAAGACGCTGAAACTATATTGATAGGGTTACCCATGTATTGTCTTCCTTCCCACTGGAAGGTCAGCAACATGACAGGCATCTCACCTGCCTTGTTCATAGATGTATCTTTGGAGCCTAAGTGCACACAGTAGGTGCTCAATAAATATCTGTTAAATATACAAATGAATGGTTCCTCACAGCAACTCTCACCAAAGCTTTGCCCTTTCCCTGATTTTAGAGATTAAGAAACAGGCTCAGAGAGGTTCAGTGACTTGCCCAAGGTCACGACAGCCCAGTTGTAGGCACCCTGCCTGGCCCCATGAGGCCCCAGCATGTGTCTGGGGCTGGGAACCCAGCACTGAGCCCACACCCTCCTTTGCTCCTCAGTAATAAACCTTGATGGGACAGGGAAGGAAAGGCTGAATGTTCTCCTAATTAACTAGTGCGGGGGTTGCCAGGCAGCAAGGACAGGCCTTTGATCCCAGCCCACGGGTGATGGAACCAGAACTCCACCCACACAGATGATTGTGCCATTTGAGCCAGCAGCTGTGACTAGCAGCTCACCTGAGTTTGTTGTCATAAAGTCAAGTTATTACGGGGCATTGCTGGGGCCATAAAGGGCATTGGAACGAAAGTGGGAGGAGAGGAGCCCTTTAAGAAATCTCCAAGCCAGCTCCCAAAGGGTCTCACCAGCTCAGAGTGTAGCTCACACTGATGGGGCTCCTGCCGTGCCAAACGCCACTGAGGTGCTTTCCTTCCGTTCTCCCCTGAAACCCTCCCAGTGGCCGTGGGAGGCAGGTGCGGTCACAGCATTGCCCAACCCGAGATGCTGTTTGTTGTAAAGGGCATTCCGATCTCAGACGGGTCGAAATGCGAACCCGTGTGTCTTGCAGAATTGACAAAACCAAAACCTACTCTCATCTCACAAAGATGATCCTGCTCAGAGAGGACCAGTGATGACCCCCAACAGCGGTCCTCCAAACCGCTTAGTATATACAGCTCCCTCTCCTCTCCATGGTGCTTTCAGCCTCCAGCCTCTGTGCAGGCTGTTCCTTCTGCCTGGAGTGCCCTTCCTGGTCATCCACTCCACTTCCGCCTGGTGAGTTACAGTCCACCTTCCCCGACCCAGCCCAGACACAACCCCGTCTGTGGCTCTCCCAGCCTCAGATCTCAGTAGGAGGAACTCTTGTTTGCAGCGTGGCCCAGAAAGGGGTTAATAAGTTCTCCAAGGAGAGCAACTGAGTCGTCTGCAGCAACATAGATAGAATCCTCCTGTCTGTCTGCAGTGATACAGATAGAATCACCCTGAGGGCTTCTTCCTGTGTCAGGGCCTCTCAGGCCTCAGTGGGCATAAGAGTCACGAAGGGTCGTGTATTTGAAATGCAGACTCCCTGGCCCTGCCCTAGAGACCCTGATTCTGCAGGTGTGAGCGAGGCCCTGGAATCTGCATTCTTATAAGCCCATCCTGTGATTCCATTGTCGGGAATGCTGCAAAGTGCTGCTCTCAGCCTTAGAGTCGAAGTTCGTGGCTGGGCACGGTGGCTCACGCCTGTAATCCCAGCACTTTGGGAGGCTCAGGCGGGTGGATCACCTGAGGTCAGGAGTTTGAGACCAGCCTGGCCAACTTGGTGAAACCTCATCTCTACTAAAAATACAAAAAATTAGCTGGGCGAGTTGGTGGGCACCTGTAATCCCAGCTACTCCGGGGGCTGAGGCGGGGAGAACCGCTTGAACCTGGGAGCTGGAGGTTGCAGTTAGCCGAGATTGTGCTATTGTACTTCAGCCTGGGCAAAAAGAGCGAAACTCCATCTCAAAAAAAAAAAAAAAAAAGTTTGTCTTGACCAGCAGGACAGGCCCGAGGGAGTCTCTGTAAAATGCCCAATCAGTGCCCTTCTGGTTGTAAAGTGGGAAAGCAGTACAATAGCAAGCACACCACCCCAAATGTTTCTTAGCAGATAGCACAGTTGCACCCAGGCTGGCTACCTTTTCATTTCCACTTGAGTTCAAACTCGTTTTCCTGTTCCCACAGCTCTTCGAGTTGTGCTTGCTGCAGGTTGTGAGGCAGTTCCCTGAGAACCCAGCCCTCTTTGGACGGTAGCGTACAGGTCTACAGCGTGGGTGTGGGTTGTCCATCATTCTGCATGTTCCTGAGGTCTGTGGGGAGATCATAACTTCCTGCAAAGGAGTGGCTCTAATGGTGGGGTTCTAGGCACTGCTGCGAGCTGCTGGCTGTAGGTGCAGGGGTGGACAGTGCTTCTGTGTACATTCCTGGCACTTAGCGGGTGGTCTAGCAATGGTTTATAGAAAAACCAAAAGGCCTGGGCCTCACTCCTGAGCTCTCTTTTTTACAACCTTGCTTGATGTTCTTATGGCTCCTCAAACATCCTTTATCCCAAACACGAAGCTGGAGAGGGGAGTGAGAGCCTGATTGCTGAGAGGCCCTGGTCCTCAGAGGTCTGGTGGAGGATGATGGGGAGCCAGAGAGGGATTTTGAGCAAGTGACAAATGAATTGAAGGACAGAGAGGAAAGAGACATGTTCCCCAATGAGCGGGCTGCTGCGATGTCACATCCGTCTATCTGGCACTTACAAAGTGCCCACTGTTGAATGAAGGCAGGCCCCGGCCCTCGGGGGGCCCACAGCCCTGCCATGGCAGCAGCCAGGGGGAGTGGCAGGCTGTGGCCGGGTGGACATGTACTTCCTTCTGCTCTTTCAGGAAGCACAAGTTTGTTTTCCAATGAACTGACAGTGAGGCTGAAAGAATCTACCCACTAGGACCTGCCTCAATTTTTGCTCCACTTCTTAGAAGCCAATGACCTAGGGCAGTTTGCTTCTCAGCGTCCACCTTCAGCTCGCACCTCTGTAAAACTGGTATCAAATACCACCTGGCTCTCAGGCCTGTTGCGGGGGGTGAGCATGTGTGGAATGTGGGGAAGTGGCCTGTAAGGGTTACAGGTGGGGACTATGTCAGGGTCCCTGGTAGGAATAATGAAAGGGACCAACATTTCTTACAAGTCTCTTAAAGAGCAGGGGTGCAGAGGAAGCAGAGGGATATTGGAGGAGACTGATATTCCTTGCGGCTGCACTGTGTGTCTGTTGTCCCAGTGCCTTCTGCCTTCCCAGCATCTGATCCAGGCAGCTCCTCCAAACTTAATGCTAACCCATCGCACACAACAACCTCTCCCCTCCACAGCACCTAGAGTGCCATCCACACAAATCCCATCATCTCACACTCCTGTTTAAAACACTTCAGTGACTCCCTATCATCCTGGGATCAAACCCCAGTTCCCACCTGTGACCCACTGATCTTGGCTTGGCCTGACCTCTGTTTGTCTTCTGACTTTATCTCTCCACTCTCAGTTCTGTCTCTCCAGGCACCTGGTCTTTCCCATCCCTCCTCCTTTGCCCAGGTAGCACCCTGAAGACCTCAAGGAAGCAGTGCCTTTACCTCCCTTCCCTTCCCTCCCCACTTGCTCCAACTTCATGGACCCCTCTCCACTTGTTCTTTTTGTTGTTTAATTTTTTATTTATTTATTTTTTTGAGATGTAGTCTTGCTCTGTCACCCAGGCTTGAGTGCAGTGGTGGAATCTCAGCTCACTGTAACCTCCACCTCTTGGGTTCAAGCAATTCTCCCGCCTGAGTCTCCCAAGCAGCTGGGATTACAGACACCCGCCACCACACCCGGCTAATTTTTGTATTTTTAGTAGAGACGGGGTTTCACCATGTTGGCCAGGCTGGTCTGGAACTCCTGACCTCATGATCTGCCTGCCTCGGCCTCCCAAAGTGCTGGGATTACAGGCATGAACCATGGTGTCCTGCCTCCATTTGTTCTTAGTGACAGTTTTCATGGGTCCCAGTGTGCATTTAATCATGAGCTTATTTGATTCTTGCCTTTTCCCCTAGTCTGTGAGCTCATGCAGGCAGCGGCCACAACCATCTACTAAGGTCTGCATGATGGTATCCCCCAGCAATTCCTCTCTGTTGGAATCCTAGTTCTCAATGTGATGGTATGAAGAGGTGGGACCTTTGGAAGGTGATTAGGCCATGAGGGATTTGCGCCCTTATAAAAGGGACCCCAGAGAGCGGCCTTACCCCTTCCACTGTGTGAGGACACAGCAAGAAGGTGCCATCTCTGAAACCAGAAAGCAGACCCTCCCCAGACACGGAATCTGCTGGCGCCTTGATCTTGGACCTCCCAGCCTCCAGAACTGGGAGCAATAAATATCTGTTGTTGTGAGCCACCCAGTCTATGGTGTTTTGTTATGGCAGCCCAAACCAACTAAGACAGCATCTGCCCGCTGCTATGTCCTTGGCTCCTAGCACAGAGCCAGCACACAGTAGGTGCTCAACAAATGAACAAAGGAACAGATGGACGAAGCCCAGAAGTCATTAGGTAAGAAGGACCCACTGTGTGCACAGAGCTGAGTTAAGCAGAGTGAGGTGAAGGTGAGGAAAGACCATCTTTGGCTCACCGGGCTAGCTGTTTCCAGAAAGGACTCATTTAGCCTCCTGCATCCCCCAGAGGAGGAGACCCCTACTCCATTTCTGAGTCAGGGCTCCTGGGCGCCATTCCTTGGCCCAGACACAACTTGCTGTGTGACCTGGGCAAGTCCCTTGGGCTCTCTGGGCCTCATCCCTCACCTGGGAAATTATCATACCTACTTTTGCGTTGTTGAGGATGAAGGGAGTGATTGGAGGCAGAGTGGCAGGCCCTAGGCCTGGCGCATAGCACGTGTTCAATAAGCGTTCCTTCCCTTCTTAGCAAATAAGATGTAATTCAGTCTGTCAGAACATATTTCTCATAGGATTTTTATCTCTAGTCACACTAGCTTGCAGGCTTTAAAAACCACATTAATACCATATTTTTAAAAGCTGTTCTTAGAGGAGAAAACGAAGGGAAGGGAGGAAGACATTTCTTTTTTTTTTTTAGGGCCTCAGTTTAATTTTTTTTGTTTACCTATATATTACAAAGGACATTACGAAGGATGTAGATGAACACCAGATGCTGAGAATGACAGAGCAAGATGTGGAGTGGGGGATACAGCGCTTCCCTGCTCTCTCTGGGCGTCCCACCATCCCAGCCTCGCCCATGTGTTCAGCAACCCAGAAGCTCCTCAGTTTAATTTTTAACAGAAAGAAAACGTACTGGGGACCCCACGGACCGCAGCTCCTCCCACACGAACCCTACACCCAAGGCAGGACTCTCCTTATGTCATGTGTGGCCCCCGCACAATCTGGGAAGACTGTGAGGTTGCGGGCGCGGAGCTGCTCAGAGAAGGCTTCCGGGCCGCAGTCGCCAGGCAGGGACGGGACAGAACGCCCCGGGTCCCGGTTGCTGGCCCAACCCCACCTTGAGGCCGAGGAGCTCGAGGGCCGAACTGCGCCAGAACTCGGGTCCCAAATCCCGAAGTCGCCTGCAGGGAGCCTGGGGTCCTGCCACAGCCGGTTCTGGCCGTTTCCAATCAGCCCCTGCCGGATCTCGGGTAGCTGTCCCCAAACACTCACCATTTCCAGGCTTCCAGGTGTCCTGGCTTGGGGGGAAGACATTTCTTCTTGAGTTCGATTTAGTGGGAAATGATGGTTCGAGTTAGAAAATTCTTTTTTTTTTTTTGAAATGGGGTTTTGCTCTTGTTGCCCAGGCTGGAGTGCAGCGGCGCGATCTCGGCTCGCTGCAACCTCTGCCTCCCAGGTTCAAGCAATTCTCCTGCCTCAGCTTCCTGAGTAGCTGGGATTATAGGGATCCACCACCACGCCTGGCTAATTTTTGTATTTTTAGTAGAGACGGGGTTTCACCATGTTGGCCAGGCTGGTCTCAAACTCCTGACCTCAGAGGTTCCTCCTGCCTCGGCCTCCCAAAGTGCTGGGATTATAAGCGTGAGCCACCACGCCTGGCTGAGTTAGGAAATTCTGTTTGGGTCCAATCGGTGGAACTGTGAGGAAGGCACAACGGGAATGACCAGGGGCCCAGGGCCAGCTTGTGCAGCTGGAGATACAGGGAGGCAGCCGAGCTCCCCTGGGCCTGCAGTCCCAACGTGAGGGGCACTCCTGGCATTAATTGTGTCCCTAGGAGGTCTCTGTGGAAAAATAGCCAGTGTGGGTCCCTAGGGGAATAAAATAGGGGTGGGGAGACACACGGGCGTGTGTGGGTGTGTGCAGGGGGGGATTTTGTGTTATACCTATGAAGCGTAAACCTCCTCTACCTGAAAGAAGCTGATAGAATCGGGGAAAGGGGCGCAGAAAGAAAACAGCGAAGCCCTGTTTTTCCAGGGCTTGGGTGAGACTGTGAGTCAGCGGGTGGATCAGGATAGGGAGAGCTCCAGCTGGAGCCGCTCAGAGCAGCCCTGGGTCTCTCAGGGAGACTCACGGGGGTGGCCTCAGGCTGGAATGCGCCCCTCTGCGTTCCTCCCACGCCCCCAGCGCAAATCAGCTCCGCAGGAAGCTCCACTGACCGCCTCCTCCTTCAGCGCTGATGTCATACAAAGGGAGCACCCACTGCGTGCCACACAGCGTGCTGTGACAGTCACTTGACCCCGGTATCTCACTGAATCCTCCTAACAGCCCAAGAGGTAGGGAATAGTATTCTCCTTTTATAGATGAAGACATTGAGGCTCAGGGAAGTTAAGTCACTTGTCCAAAGCAGCACAGAAAGTCAGTGGTGGGGCTTCTGGGGGCTGTAGAAACTTTCCATGGACAATTTGACAATAGGTAGTAAGAGCCCTTTTGACTCCAGTTGCTCCACTATTAGAAACTGAGGCAAGGAATATACCTGGGCATCAACATCTCAGCTCTAAGGCTATCCTGGGCAGCATTCTTCATGATAGTGAAAAACTGGAAACCACATTTCAACCACAGGGGATTTGTTAAATAAACCCCAGCGATGGAATACTACACAGCCACTAAAAATGGTGGACAGATGTGGCTTGCTAATGTGGAAAGCATTCACAAACGACAGAGACAAGGTTTGAAGTTCTGAGATTCCATTCCTGGCTCACTCACTCACTAGCTGTCAGGCCTCGGGCGAGAGGTTAACACTTTCTTCATTTTAAAATGGGGATAGATCAAGCATTTCAGGGCTTTTGTAAGAATTGTAAGTGGATGAGTTAATATGTGTAAGTGCTTAGATTAGCATCTGGTGTGTAGTAAACAACTATGAACGTTCACTATTAGATCTGGGTTTAAACAATGTCAGCTATTCTTTCTTCAGATGTTTCTTCTGTCCTTCACTCCTCTAATTACACATATATTAAGCTGCTTGAAGTTGTCTCATAGCTCACTGATGTGCCATTCATTTGTTAAAAAAATTATCTTTGTGTTTCGTTTTGGATAATTTCTTTTGCTTTTTTTTTTTTGAGACAGAGTCTTGCCCTGTTGCCCAGGCTGGAGTGCAGTGGCTCAATCTCAGCTCACTGCAACCTCCACCTTCCGGGTTCAAGCGATTCTCCTGCCTCAGCCTCCCGAGTAACGGATGCTACAGGCGCCCGCCACCATGCCTGGCTAATTTTTTGTATTTTTAGTAGAGATGGGCATTTCACCATGTTGGCCAGGCTGGTCTCGAACTCTTGACCTCAAGTGATCCACCTACCCCCCAAAGTGCTGGGATTACAGGTGTGAGCCACCACGCCCGGCCTCTTTTGGATCATTTCTATTGCTATGTCTTCAAGTTCACTAATATTTTCTTGTACCATTAATCCCATCCAATGTACTTTCTCACACAGGAAGTTTTCATTTCTAGAAGTTTGGGATTTTTTTGGTTACGAAATTTATTTTTTAATTTTTAATTGACAAATACAATTGTATGATTTATGACGTAAAACATGATGTTTTCATATATGTATACATTGTAGAATGGCTAAATCAAGCTAATTAATATATGAATTACCTCACATACTTATTTTTTGTGCTGAAAACACTTAAAATAGACTCAGCTATTTTCAAGCATACGATATATTGTTATTAACTATAGTCACATGACATACAGAAGCTCTCTTGAACTTATACTTCCTGTTGAACTGAAATTTTGTGTCCTTTGACCCACATCTCCCCACTTCCTCCATCCCTCAGCCTCTGCTAACCATTTTCTGCTTCTATGAGTTTGGCCTTTTTAGATTTCACATATAAGTGAGAGTATGTGGTATTTGTCCTCCTGTGCCTGGCATATTTCACTTATCATAATGTCTTCCAGGTCCATCTATGTTGTCGAAAATGATAGGATTTCCTTTTTTTTAAAATGATAAATAGTATTCCATTGTGTATGTACACCACATTTTCTTTATCCATTCATCGATGGATGGACACTTAGGTTGATTCCATAGCTTGAGTATTTTGAATCATGCTGCAATGAATATGGCAGTGCAGATATCTCTTAACATACTCACTTCATTCTGTCCTGTAGGTTATCTGTTCAGTCTGTGGATTGTTTTCTTTGGTGTGCAGAAGCTTTTTGGTTTGATGTAATCCCACGTCTATTTTTGTTTCTGTTGTCTATGCTTTTGAGATTATATTGAAAATATCACTGCCCAGACCAATGTTGTGGAGCTTTCCCCCTATGTTTTCTTCTATTAGTTTAATAGTTTTAGGTGTTACATTTAATTCATTTTGAGTTGATTTTTGTACATGGCGTGAGATGAGGGTCTAATTTTATTCTTCTGCATGTGGATATCCAGTTTTCCCAATATCATTTATTAAAGAAACGGTCTTTCTTCATTGTGTGTTCTTGGCATCTTTGTTGAAAACCAATTGTCTGTAAAAGTGGAGGTTTAGGGGCCAGGCATGGTGGCTCATGCCGGTAATCCCAGCACTTTGGGAAGCTGAGGCAGGGGGATCAATTGAGGTCAGGATTTGGAGACCAGCCTGGCCAGCATGGTGAAACCCCATCTCTACTAAAAATACAAAAATTAGCCAGGTGTGGTGCACACATTTGTAACCAGCTACTTGGGAGGCTGAGGCACAAGAATCACTTGAACCTGGGAGGCAGAGGTGGCAGTGAGCTGGGATTGCTCTACTGCACTCCAGTCTGGGTGACAGAGTGAGACTCCATCTCAAAAAAAAAAACACAAAAGTGTAGGTTTATTTATGGACTCTCTATTCTGTTCCATTGATCTATGTGTCTGTTTTTATGCCAGTACCATGCTGTTTTGATTAATATAGCTTTGTAGTATATTTTGAAGTAAAATAGTGTGATGCCTCCAGCTTTGTTCTTGCTCAAGATTGCTTTGGCTCTTTTGGGTCTTTTGTGGTCCCATATGAATTTTAGAACTGTTTTTCTATATTTGCGAAAAATGTAATTGGAATTTTGATAGAGATTGCATTGAATCTGTCAATCACATTGGGTAGTATGGACATTTTAACAATATTAATTCTTCCCATGTATGAACATGAGATATCTTTCCATTTATTCATGTAACTTTCAGTTTCTTTCATCAATGTTTTATAGTTTTCAGTGTACAGGGCTTTCACCTCCTTGGTTAGATTTACTACTAAGTATTTTATTTCTTTTTGTAGCTATTGTCAATGGGATTGTTTTCTTGATTTCTTTTTCAGATAGCTTATTGTTAGCATATGGAAACACTACTGATTTTTGTATGTTGATTTTGTATCCTGTAACTTTACTGAATTCATTTATTCTAATAGATTTTTTAGTGGAGTCTCTAGGATTTTCTTTGTGAAGCCTCTGTGCCCCCATCAAGATTTGTCATCTGCAACCAGAGATAGTTTTACTTCTTTCTTTTTGATTTGGATGCCTTTTCTTTCTTTCCCTTGCCTAATTACTCTAGCTAGAACTTCCAGTACTACGTTGAATAGAAGAAGTGAGAGTGGGCATCCTTGTCTTGTTCCAGATCTTAGAGGAAAAGCTTTCAACTTTTCACCATTGAGTATGGGGTCTAGAAGTTTATTTTATATCTTTCATGTCTCTAATTAACTTTTCAAACATACGAAACACAGTTACAATAAATGTTTTAACGTCATTGTGTGCTAATTCTAATATCTGTGTCAGTTCTGGGTCAGCTTTTATTGATTGATTTTTCTCCTCATTATAGTTATATTTTCCTGCCTCTTTGCATGTCTGGTCATTTTTTTCTTTTCTTCTTCTTTTTTTTTTTTTTTCTGTTAGATGCCAGACATTGTGAATCTTACCTTGTTGGGAACTGGATATTTTTGTATTCCTGTGTTCTGGGACAAAGTTAAGTTACTTAGAAACAGTTTAATCCTTTCAAGTCTTGCTTTTAAAATTTAATAGGCTGGATCTGAGCAGAGTTTAGTGCAGGGCCAACTATTCTCGGCAGCTGAGGTAAGACTTTCAGTAGTATCCTATCTAATGCTCTGTCAATCATGAGGCTTTCCAGTCTGGCTGGAGAGAACAGGTGCTGGTCCTGGCCCTGTGCGAGCACCAGGCGCTGTTCCATCTAAGTCACTTGGGTGGCTCTTTCCCAGGCTCAGATAGTTTCTTCACGTGCATGCACTGGTCAATGCTCAGCTGAATACTCAGGGGAGACCCTCCAACTTTCCCTGGAGGTCTCTCTCTCCATGAGCTGTCTTCTGTCCAAAACTCTGTTGTGTGAATTCTAGCAGCTTCAACCTCCTTGGACTCTCAGCTCCATCTCTTCAATCAGAGAGACTGTTGGGGTCTCCGTTGTACTCTATGCTATGGCCTAGAAACTCTCTCCAGCCAGTAAGTAAGCTTGGCCTCATTTGTTTCCTGATGTTCTAGGATTGCTCTTCTTTGTTGCCCTATGACCAGTGTCTTGAAAACCATTCTTTTGTATATTTTGTCTGGCTTTTGGTTGTTTCAGATGGGAGGGTAAGTGCAGACTGTGTTATTCCATTGTGGTCGGAAGCAGAAGTCCTGCATTAGCTGTTATTAATGAATGACACTAACCCCCACACTCTTATTGCCTTTTTCAGGGTCCAAGACCTTTCGAAATATGAGACACAGAGAGGTAAAGGTGGCATAGCTACTAAGCGATAGAGCCAGAATTAGCACCAGGCTTGGTTGACCCAAAGTTCCTTCTCTCTAATACAACTACTGCCTCTGGGCAGAGTGCTAGTCCGAACCAGAGTGGCTGAGAAGGAGGGCCAGGAGCTCGGGCTCATGGTTCCAGCCCTGAGGTCACACTCATCAGCTGCAGGGTGGGCTGGGACTGAAGGCCAAGCTGAGACAGGACAAGGCTCTGGGGGCTCTGGCACCCACGTCAGCAGTCCTGCCTGCTTGCCCCGTCTCCTGGACCTTGGTGTTCCAGGGGTCAGGGGTGGGGCCTTGCTGGCCTCAGCAATTAGGGTGGGGCTGCCAAGTGCAGATAACAAGCAGAGGCAAGGGCAGCGGAGGGGCTGTGGGGTAGCCGCCCATGCCCACAGCTCCTCTAAGCCCTGCACGGCTGTGGTGTGAAGCGAGGGGAAGGAGGTCTGTCTCCCTGAGCCTCCTCATTCATCTGTGTGCTGAGTGAGCAGATCTAGAAGGCCCTTTTGAGTGCTTGGGTTGAGGTCTTGGTCAAAAAGATCCCTTCTTCCACTGAGATGCTACCATGTTTGCTACCAAAGAGAAAATAAGGAAGGGATGAAAAAATGAATTGCCAAAGTCTGATGATTGTCACTAGCCTTGACCATCCTGCAAGAGTCCCTCCAGTCTAAAAGGAAGGCATGTCCTTTCAGCAAAAGAGAACCTGCATCTACAGACAGACCTGGGCAAGTGACCTCATCTCCCTGGGCATCAGTTTCCTCAACTGTTTCTTGTTGTTAGAGAAAGAGTCTCACTCTGTGGCCCAGGCTGGAGTGCAGTGGTGCAATCACAGCTCACTGCAGCCTCGACTTCCCAGTCGCAAGTGATCCTCCCACCTCAGCCCCCACCTAGTAGCTGGAACTACAGGCACATGCCACCATGCCTGGCTAAATTTTATTTTATTTTATTTTATTTTTTTGTAGAGATGGGGTTTTGCCATGTTTCTCAGGCTGGTCTCAAGCTCCTGGGCTCAATATGATCCTCCTGCCTCTACCTCCAAAGTGCTGGGATTACAGACAAACCATGGCGCTCAGCCCTCAACTTTTAAATAGGAATCAGAGTTCTCGGTATGACTACGAGGATTAGTTACAATAACTTATGTCAGCTCTAACCCAGGTCTGCCCCAGAGGAGGTACCTAGGAACTATCTGTAGAATGAATGAATGAATCAATCAATTACTGAATGAATGCATGCACATTTAGTCACAAAGCCATCCTGCCTGCTCACCCCCAAGGTTTGCAAATCTCCAGTTCTCCCCAAGGGACGCCCAGGTCTTCTCAAGCCTGCCCCTCCCACCTGGTATCTATCTTCCCACTCTCACCCCAAACCCATCCTTTCTCCCCAAGCACAGGAGGCTGGTCACTATATTCCCTCACCTCAAATCTGTCCCAGGAAACCTGCAATCATGGGCCCAAGCAGCACTAGCCTTTATTTGAACTCAACCGTCTTACAGGCGTCCCCTTGGAACTCCAGGGGCTGGGAAGCTGTTTCCACGGTCAAGTGTTATTTAGTTCCCAATGGATGCTGCTGACCCGTCAGAGCTGTGACCCTCAGTCTTCCAACACACCCTGTCCCTCTCAAAAAAAGGACTTGGCATGTTAATTGGATCGTTGTTTTTATTAAACATAATGTTTTACTGACATGGAGAAAACCCAGAAAAGCATGAAGGAAATGAAATCCGAAGACAATAAATAAATAAATAAAACTTTAAAAGTCACTGGTAGTCTCAGAGATAAGCCCCTGCTCATATTTTAGTGTTTATGCTTCCAGTCCTGTTTTCTGTGCCGGAGTTAGTAAGGAGCAGAGGTATGTTTTAATAAAGGTAATTTTAAAAAGGTTTACAGATAGCATGCTTGTAAGAAAGCCTTTACGGTAAAAAGAATTTATAGTAAAAAGTAAGCTTATATATTTTGTTCCTGCCTGAGTTCTCCTCTTTTCCTTCCCTAGCAATAACTGATGCTAACGCATGCTTGTAGAGACTTCTAGAGAATCTATGCATGTACAAGTGTGTGTGTGTGTGTGCGCGCGTGAGTGTGCAGGCATATATGTGTGCTTGGTATCAAAATGTGCCTATGGTTCTGCAAATGCTGTCTTCACTTAGTGGCCCTCAGGAATATTTCTCGTGTCAACCAAGAAACACTCCTCCCCAGTCTGATTTTTAATGGCCACACAGTATTCTATGGGATGGATGCACCTTCGTCTATTGAGCCAATTTCCAACTGTGGGACGTTTTGGTTGTTACCAATTATACATTTTCTTTTCTTTTCTTTTCTTTTTTTTTTTTTTTTTGAGACGGAGTCTCGCTCTGTCGCCCAGGCTGGAGTGCAGTGGCGCGATCTCGGCTCACTGCAAGCTCCGCCTCCCGGGTTCACACCATTCTCCTGCCTCAGCCTCCTGAGTAGCTGGGACTACAGGTGCCCGCCACCATTCCCGGCTAATTTTTTGTATTTTTAGTAGAGAGACGGGGTTTCACCATGGTAGCCAGGATGGTCTTGATCTCCTGACCTCATGTTCTGCCCGCCTCGGTCTCCCAAAGTGCTGGGATTACAGGTGTGAGCCACCACGCCCGGCCACCAATTATACATTTTCACAACCACCCAGGGTTGTTAAACTGGGACATGCTAGGCTCTCTCGGGGGAAGAACCCTGGTTTGCAGTGTTTGCAAAAAAATTGTCTTAGTGTGAATATTCCCACCATGACCGATTTCAAGCTACCAATATCACTGAAGCTGCCAACATGTCACCGAGAGAGCAGCACAGTCCTTGAGAGCCTGTGTGAGCTGGCTCTGGCACACCAAAACCTCACCAATGACTCTCTTCATAACTGTGTCCCTAATTATTTCCTTAATAAACTCCCCAGGGTGAAAGGGCTGTGTCGAAACATATGCACAACCCCAAGGCTTTTGATGCGCAATACCCCCTTACTCTCCAGAAAGACGTTATCAGTATGTGCTCCACCAGCCTCGTGCAGTGCGAGAGATGCCTGTTCATCCCTCCCCACCCCTCCAACAATGGCTATTATCAGGGCTTTAAATCTTGCCCATCTGATCGATGGAATACTAGTAGCTCCTTGCTATTTTCATGTGCATCGTTTTTAGTGAATAACTGTTTATAAACTTATGGTCAAATGAAGTGTTAGTTGGGCAACTTTAGGGACATTTCATGAAGCCCTTGGGGATTATAGGTGTCCAGAAAGCAACTTTGGAATCATGGCTTTGATGCATTGCTTTGCTCATTAATGAGATCAAATAGGAGATCCATTCCTCCACCAAACAGCATCAAAGCTTTTCCCAGAAGGCACCTTGAGGCATCGCTCAATCCCATATTGTCATGATTACCTCACCCCCTATGACATCACCCCCTCCTACATTTATCTCCAGCAAGAACACCTGGAAATGCCACACCATACACTTAGCATGCTGTAGGAAATGACACCAACTCAGACCTGCGCTTAGGCAAGGCCGAGTTGGGCAGCACAAAATATCCAAAGTGCTTTACAAATAAAGGAGACCTGGAGAGGTGGAAGGTCTAACTGAACTCAGCAGCTGTGTGATGTTGGACAAGTTATTTCACCTCTTTGAGCCTCTGTGCCCTCATCCGCAAAAGGGGGGCAAGGTGGGGTTGGGATAGTATGGCCCATGCAAGACTGTGGTAAGAATTAAATGAGCCAAAGCATTTTAAGTGCTTAGCACAGGGCCTAGCACATAGTAGGTGGGCAGTAGGTGACAATCATCATCATCATTATCACACTGTCAGAGTGCTTTGTAAAATGTAGGAATGGGAAGTAGTAATATCACATACAATCCTTCAAGCTTCCTCTAGCCCCTCTGCTCTGGACCAGGCAGGTCACCACGGACCTTGCACATCCAGCTCCAAAGCCAGTCTCCTCTGGGATGAACTGGACCCCTTTTGGATTCTTTGGCCCCAGTGCCTTCATTTGACCAAACACAACAACTTTTCTGAGAACAGATCTAAAGTCTTCTTCCAGGAGCTTCCTCTATCAGGTCTTTTTTGACTTTGCAGGGGTTGGGACAAAAGTGTCCTGATGGGGCTCCTGCCTCCTGTCCCTCCCCAGTCAATCTTCCCTCCCTGAGATGGTTTCATGAGTGTCCCAGCACACAACCTGCCTGCTATCCATCCATCCATCCACCCATCCATCCATCCATCCATCCATCCATCCATCCATCCATCCACTCATCCTTCCAACAAATTGATTACTCATCTTATCCTTAGCTGTACAATACGGAATTACTGAAATCCATGCACTTACCAGGAAGTCTAATTTCAAGCAAATTAAAAAACAAAACAAAACCCTCCATCCCCCTGACTGTCACGCTCTTGCTCCTGCTCATCTCTCTGATTTCACCTGTTAACCACCCATCTACCATATTCCAGCAACTCAGTTGACTTGCAGCTCCTTGAACCCTCTAAGCTATTTCTCTACTTGGCCTTTCTCCATGCTCTTCCCTTGGCCTGGAAGGCTTTTATCTCATCTCTTTGCCCTTATTTAGTTTCCAGAATAAATGGTATTTCCTCCAGAGGGACTTGCAGCACTCCAACCCAAACGAAATTATTCCCACTTCGTTATGCTTCCTTTATAGACTTATCATAACATGTAAAGATGTATTTTCTTTGCATTTTTACTCACTTAATGCCTCTCTCTTCTGTAAGACTATAAGCTTCTTGAGGATGGGGATTCTGTCTGCTGTGTTCATGGCGGTGGGGCCAGAGCTCTGAGGCATGCCTGGCAGTGTGTATCCTCAAGATGAATTTGTTGAATGAATGAAGCAATATTTAGTCAAAACTCAGCTGAGAGAAATGGTATTGAGCAAGGATTGTGTGCGTCAAAGACAAGTTGTCCATCTTCCTTTCCAGATATGCTCCAATCCACCCCTGGGGGCAGCCAGATGAGAGCCTGCCAGAAGAAAGGACTCACCACAGGGACTACAGCTGAAAACCTGAAACGTCCTTTGGCAGGAAAGCACAAATATCTGGTGAGACAGGATGAGAACATGAAACCTCTGCTACGGCCACTGCAAGAATATTGGTTATTACACAGTGTCCACACTGTGAGAACATTGGTGAGATTCTTGTCTTAGAACTAGGAGATGAGTTAGAGCCCAGCTCTGAATTTAAACAATCTGTATTACCCAATCCTTGTCCCACCAGTTGTATGACTGTGGGCAGTTGTAAACTTTTCTTTCCCCATTAAGTGGGGATAATAATAGTCTCTGCCTTGTGTAGGTATATAAGGAATAGTAAACACCGACTAGATGCTAGCTATTATTACTATTCTCTTGGGTAACTGGTTTGTTCAAATGGCATGATCGTTGTGATTTATATAACTGACCAAATTTCCATTTTCATGCTGGCTGCTAGGAAGCTCAACATTGATTCCATGGCCCAACCACAGCAAATATCTAGGTAATCAGGGTTTTTTGTGTGAATGGGTTTATTCATGGCTTCATTTATGTCCCAGCTCTATCATTTGTTCCTTCTCTTATTCTACTATTTACATGTGTAGCTTGCTCTAACTTATGTGCCCTTGAAAACTGCCTTTAATCATTTTGGTAAGAGATTGGGTATTTTGTATGAGAATGTTCTGCTTATGTGGCTACCTGTGCCTCCTTAGTGAAAGTGTGAGTCCCTGGACAGTAGGAACCACCTCTGAGGCACTTTTCAACCCCCTCCGCCTTAGCCCCACTGTTTAGCAGCACATTCCATGCTGAGCAGACAAGTAGATGAAAAGGGCAAAAGGCCAGTGAACTCAAAGAAGCTCCCTGCCTCGGCAACAGGAGAGGAAATAGCTGACCCAGGAGGTCTCTGCTCTCTCATGTCCATAAAACTAAAAACAACTGCATGTGGGAAAGGCCAATGACCATTGCTCAAATTTCCTGTGCTTCAAGACCAAAGAAAGCAGTGAGGATGTCTGGAAGAAGGGGTGGACAGCCGGGGGAAATCTGATGGTCCCAGAGCTGCCTCACTGCTGGCCAACATGAGGAATCCAGCTTCATTTTGATTCCTGATAGTGGCAGAGATTCCACTGACTAACAGGCTCCCTCACCAACAGCCATGTCATCCTCCTCTTCCCAGACATGCAGCACACAGACCACCTTTGCCAGCCCGCCTTTCCATTAATTGTGGCAAGGAACTTATTTCTGGCCAGTGGCTTATGGGCAGAAGTTATGGGTTGTGGGTGAAAGTGTGTCACTTCTAGTCTTGGCCCATAGAAACTTCTCATACCCAATTTTAACTTTTTTCTCCATCACCTGCTGACTGGAGAAGACTTTGACATTCTAGAGGAGGGCAGAACCACATATAGAAGAAGCCTGGATCCCTGAATGACTGCATGGATTCAACACAGCACCTATACACACACCTGCCCTCTGTGCCCCGATAATCTACACTAGAGGACGATGTGAGCAATACATAAAATGTTATTATGTTAAGGGATGTAGGGGTTGTTTGTTACAGCAATCTCACTGATGAATCCCATGAGATCTACTACATGCCAGAAATCATCACAGGCATTTTATTTACCTTATTCCACTTGAGCTTCTCAGCAATCCTAAGATATAGGCATTATATTTGGTCTATTTTATAAAGAAAAAAAATACAATTCAGAGGCATGAAGTAACTTGTCCACTAAAGCAATGGAGAACTGCATTCTTCAGTCTCACTCCATTGTTACTTGATCTGTTTTGATATTACATCATCAGCCTGTATAGAAGGACATTAAAGAAATAGCTATAGGAAATTGAAATTTTTTTACTAGCACATAGAATTATTATTTATTATATCACACAAATGTCTTTTTAGGGAGAGCCATTAAGTAATTTTATCTCAAGCCCAATACCAGGAAAACTGCTTCTCTGATCAACTGGTATGTTTTTATTTTCAAGGACAATAAATCACAAAAACATGATTCCTTCTTTGCTTTGGCTGCTGGGAATCCCAAGGTAATGTTTTAGGTCCAACTCTAGTCGTGGTACAGGGTCATTAGAACCTGTGCTCTGTAGACAAACTTTACCTTTGTTTCCATTACTTGGTGTCTCTTATTTTCCAAAGATTCTGACCTCCTGCTTGATTCTATTTATCTATATAACATTTTCCCTTTTTTTTTTCCTTTTTTGAGACAGGGTCTCACTCTCTGTCACCCAGGCTGGAGTGCAGTGGCTCAATCACAGCTCACTGCAGCTTCGACTTCCCAGGCTCAAGTGATTCTCCCACCTCAGCCTCCCTAGTAGCTGGGTCTACAGGTGTGCACCATCATGCCTGGATAATTTTTTTTTGGTATTTTTGCATTTTTTGTAGAGATGAGTTCTCGCCATGTTGCCCAGGATGATCTCGAACTCCTGAGCTCAAGCAATCCACCTGCCAAAGTGCTGGGATTACAGGCCTGAGTGACTGCACCTGGCCACATTTTGCATTGCTAATGTGTTCATAGAAGAACCTTAAACACTCTTTGGAATCAGGTGAAGGATAAAGAAATACGGGACTTGCTCAGGATTTCACAACTATTTAGCATCAGGGTTAGGATTCAAGCCCAAGGCTGAAAGCAGAAGGCAAGGCCTATCGACTTTGCCAGGGTGCTGGGGCCTGAGTTTGCTCAAGTGGGTACTGACATGCCCTCTGGAAACAAGGCTTCTGGAGGGACCACGAAGATCAGGCCTGCCTCTTACTAAATGCTGGGCTTAGGTGGAGCCTGCTGTCACGTGGTACTTCAGAATGAACCAAAGGTTAACAAACAGCAGCCGAGGACCCCACATGCCCTGCCGATGGATTTAGCTTGGCCCATCAATATTTTAAAGAGTAACTAAGTCACCATCATTTGAAAATAATATTTCACCTTTTTTTAAAAAAGTCTGCATATCTGATCTTCTCATGAAAACTTGGGCAATCAGTCACACATGGCAATCTTTGGTACCCTCATTGACGGGCATACATCCTTGAGTTCTGTGCTGGTCCCTGGCTGGTGAGCCTCACTTACTTATGGCCTCTGTCTTCCCCTGTTGGCGTCTGAGGCTGAGCTCTGGTTGATGGCAGCACGGATGATGCTGGGGTCTGGACAACCTTCCATACCTTCTTGAAGGTCTTCTGCCATCCTGTGCAAACTCATTGGGTTCTCAGCTTCTTGGGCATCCTTGGTTTTCTCATTTGTAAATTGCAGTGCTCTCTGTGGGAGTTCAGTTCCTCATGGAGACTCCTGCCCATCCCACCCCGTTCACCTAAGCCTTTCTCACCCTTCAGACTTGAGCCATCTCCCCTGGAAGGGCCACTGGGACCACCAGGTGACCCTTGTTCACACTCGCCCTCGTATTGTGCTGTAATGATTTACCCCGTGGTCCTGCCACACAGCTGTAGATTTTGCACATGCTTGTCGAATGAACAAATGAGTGAGGGAGTGAATGGGTTGAAGCTGCCTGGGTTCCAATAGGCCCAAGTAGCCTGGCTCCGAACGCAGGGCTCAGAATCCTGTGCTCTCTCCCAACATCATGTTGGCAAAGAAAGCCCCAGCCTGGGCCCTGGTTACCCTGACTGCCTCTCCAATGCCAGGCTTTGCTGACCGAGCCACCATCAGCCCAGCCACCCTCCCCAAGCTGACGTTCCGGGAGAAAGATGTCATAGTGCTAGACGGTCACACAAGCAGCCCCGTGCACCGTCGACTCCCTTTGTTGAGAAGCAGCCCCGACAAGGAGCTTTTCTTTTCTCCTCTCCCCGCATCCTCTCCCCAGGCCTCCCCCCTCACCCAATCCTCTCTTTAATTGCTGTTGCAGCGAGCAGGAAGAATGTCGTAGATGTTGCATCTGTTTTTCTGGAAGACTGTGAAGGCGCATTAAAATATGTGCTCCGTGGGCGTCTGGTAGGCTGAGGCCTCTCTCATGGCTTAATAACGGGGGAAAGAGCTGAGGAAAGGAAGAAATGAAAGGGATAGTGAGACAGACAGAGAAGGCGACACTCAGAGAACAAGAGAGAAAGAACACAGAGAGACAGAGATGGAGAGAGAAGAGAGATGGAGTTAGAAACAGAGATGAGAGAGAGAAATTGTGAGTCTGTGGCCATTGCCACGTTCCTCTGATTTTCAGCATTTTTCTAACAGAGATTTACGAAGGTTTATCCTAAACATCTGCGGCGTGAGGCCGACGAGATACACACTTGGTTATTTTTGGGAGCAATGGAGAACCGCTCACGGAAACCCTGCCCGGCCAGGGGCCCCAAGGCTGCTGGGACAGGGCTTGCCTGCCCCCTCCCTGTCCCCTCCCTGACCCCTGTTTCTTTGTCTTCTCCAAGGCACTGGCAGGAGGCAGGGCTAGGCTCTTTCCAAAATCCATTTGTCCCGGAGTCGCCTGGGCTGGGAAAGTGCCCTCCATGTGGGCCGAGGGGGCCTGGAGGGACACTGGGCACATGCAAGGGGTCACCAGGATGAGGGGCGTCTAAGGAAGCCTAGAGGGAGAAGGGAGGAGGGGAGGGAAGTACAGGAGGGTGAGGCAACCGTTGCCACGTCAGCCCCGCCACTCTGGCAGGACAAGGAGGGGAAGATGTCTGCTGAACACAGACCTCCTGCTGCTATCCCACGGGGCGACAGTTATCAATGCTCCCATTTCACAGACGGAGAAATGGAGGCTCAGAGAGTGAAGGGACTTGCCCGAGGGAACACAACCAGGGGGCCTTGGGATAGGGTAGAGTGGGTATTTGACACTTGGCCTTAAGTGACCATGTCCTGGGTCCCTCTCCCGACAGTTCCTGTTTCTGTTGAGGGATCTCTGTGGTTTTGGGGATGCTGACTCCACTGGGGACCTGAGATGAGCCCAAGGTCCAGGCTGGACCCATTCTTCCTTTTTTGGCGACAGTAGCTGGGACAGCAGGCAGGAGGCAGAGCTCCAAAGATCACGATGCCTGGACAGAGGGCTTGGATTGCTTCTTATGGGGGCAAAGTTGTAACAGGAGGAGCTCAAGCAGGGACTGGAGGGGGTCACAGTGGGGTCAGGCTAGGGTCTGGGGAACAAAGGCAAGCATTCTGATGGTATCAACCAATCCAGCTACTCTTATGGTGTCCCAAGCCAAAGTGTGACTGATTAAAAATGAATAATCATCCTAGATTTAAAGGCCTGGTCCAATTGCACGTCCATTTTACACATGAGAAACTGGGAAATAATTGTATTCAGTGCAATATTCCCAGAATGATGTCTTAATGTAGTTCACTAAGAAGAGGAGGTTGGGGGTCTGAATGACTGCCTGCACAACATACCTGCACTTTCTCCCCTTCCTAGTTTTTATTCAGCAACCCATCTGCTCCCCCAAATTCCCTATATTCCATGGAAGGCTGAGCTTCCACCCAGCTCTGGGCTGGATCCTATTGCCTTCAGGCCTGTGCCCTGGCTACAGGACTTTGTTCAAGGGCAGGAGTGGCCTAAACCCATTCAATCACAGTGAATCTCAGAGTCTTGGCAGGATGGTCAGGATGCTGGGGCAGGACACTCTTGCTGTCTCTCTGGATATGCTGAGGATGCATGAGGATCCCCCTGACATGTTAGAAGCCATCTGGCTACTTTAAGAGAAATCATCTTAAGGATGAAGCTCGGCCAGGCGCGGTGGCTCACATCTGTAATCCTAGCACTCTGGGAGACCGAGGCGGGCGGGTCACCTGAGGTCAGGAGTTTGAGACCAGCCTGGCCAACATGGCAAAACCATGTCTCTACTAAAAAATACAAAAATTAGCCGGGTGTGGTGGTGGGTGCCTATAATCCCAGCTGAGGCAGGGAGAACTGCTTGAACCTGGGAGGCAGAGGTTGCAGTGAGCTGAGATCGTGCCACTGCACTCCAGCCTGGGCAACAGAGCAAGACTCCATCTCAAAAATAAATAAATAAATAAATAAATAAATAAAATAAAAATAAAAAGGATGAAATTCACAGACACAAAGGAGGGTAGAGCTGAGAAAACCACTGAAAAATGGAGCTGGAGTCCTGATCGAGCCTCACCCGAAGCCCACCCATTCTTGACTTCTCAGCTATGTGAATCAATAAATCAATGAATCTCCTCTATTATCTTCATCAGCTTTAGTTAGGGTTTTTGTCACTTGGTTCTCGAATGATACAAGTGGTGTAGTAGGGTCAAGCAGCCGACCTGAGTTTGAGACCCATCTCCAGGGGTGGGATCTTGGAGCCTGTTTCCCCACCTGTAAAATGATGATGACAGCCCCTCCTTGACTGGGCAACTAGGAGAGACACAACATAATTGGCACCTCTAACACAGTACTCAGCACCTAGTATGTACTGGCTCCAGAATTGTTCCCTTGGGGTACAGACCAGTCCTGCTACTGGGCTTAAAAGAGGAGCCCCCTGAAATCTCATCCGATGGGTGCAGGGTACAATGCCTGCTTAGAGCCTGGGCAGGGAGGTGGACTGATTATGGTCCCTAGGGCGACCATCCTGGGAGCCTGGGCATGGTGCCCTAGCAGGCTCTCGGACCCGCCTCTGGTAGGCCAGGCAGCCAAAAATAGTTGCTTTGCTAGGTTTTGAACAGGAATCTATTTCAGGCCTGGGAAGGAGGACTTTTTGACCTGCCCTCTTGGACAGAACCACTCCCATGAGCTCAGGCAGACACATCAGCCCCCATGGAGCAAGGCCTGCTTCTCAAGGAGGGCTGGGCCAGCCCAAGCAAGGACCAGATGCAGGGCATATTTCCATTAGAAAAACAAGACACATGGTGAAAATTTGACATACTGTACTTCACAGTGAAAAGGGGGCCCTCTGTGCCTCCCACTCAATGCCCCTCCTTGAGCATCCCCAGCTGACAGTTTGTTGATGACATCTTTCCAGAGAGATTTAATGCCTACCCAATCATTTGCATGTATGTGGTTTTCCTTACATATTTAGAATCATACTCTACCTACCCTTCAATTACCTGGTTTTTAAATAGCCTTATTGAAATATTATCATACCGTAAAATTCACCCATTTAAAGTGTACAGTTGAATGGCTTTTAGTATATTCAGAGTTGTGTAACCATCGCCACAATCAATTTTAGAGCATTTTCAGTACTGCAAAAAGAAACCTGTACTTTTTGGCCATCAGCCACTAATTCCTCTATACTCCACAGCCCCAGGCAACCTCTAATTTATTTTCTGTCTCTATAGATTTGCCTATTCCAGACATTTCGTAGAAATGGAATCATACAATGTGTGTCCTTTGTGTCTGGTTTATTTCACTTTGCATAATGTTTCCAAGGTTCATCCATGCTGTAACATGTCAGTACTTCATGCCTTTTGATGGCTGAATAATATTCCACTGTATAGATAGACCACATTTTGAGCCGGGAGAAGTGTCTCATGCCTGTAATGCCAGCACTTTGGGAGGCCGAGGCAGGCGTATCATTTGAGGTCAGGAGTTCGAGACCAGCCTGGCCAACATGGTAAAACCCCGTCTCTACTAAAAATACAAAAATTACCCAGGTGTGGTGGCGCGTCCCTGTAGTCCCAGCTACTCAGGCGGCTGAGGCAGGAGAATCGCTTGAACCCAGGAGGCAGAGGCTGCAGTGAGCTGAGACCGTGCCCCTGCACCCTATCTAGCCTGGGTGACAGAGTGAGACTCGGTCTCAAAAAAAACAAAACAAAACAAAACCCAAAAAACTAAATAAACAAAACAAAACAAAACAGAACCAAAAAAACCAGAAAACATAGACCACATTTTGTTTATCATTCTTGAGTTGATGGATATTTGGGTTGTTTCCACCTTTTGGCTATTATGAATAAAGCTGCTATAAACATTCGTCTACAAGTTTTTGTGTGGACACACATTTTTATTTCTCCTGGGTTTGTACCTGGAGGTGAATTGCTGGGCCACATGATATCTCTTTATTTAACTGCTTGAGGACCCGCCAGGCCATTTTCCATGGCAGCTGTACCATTTGACATCCCCACCAGCAGCGTCCGAGGATTCCATCTTTCCCACTTCCTCACCAACACTTGTTATTCTCTCTTGGACTGTGGCCATCCCAGTGGGTGTGATGTGGTGACATCTCACTGTGGCCTTGATTAGTAGCCTGGCTTTCTCTCTTGTTGTATCTTGAAGGTTTCTCTGAGTCATAGACTCATTTCAACCTGTTCATTACTTACCTCTTATTCCAGCATAAGACTATATCCTACTTAACCACCGCCCTATTGATGGGCACTTGGATTATTTCCTGTCTTAGGCTGCAATGAACCCCTCCCAAGCAGACGAGGGACCCTGAGTGGGTTCTGCCCATGATTCTGGCAGAATGTTTGGAGCAGACCTCCTAGCCCGTGGCTGGGATCTCCTCAGCAACATGGAGACAGTTACCGGCCCTGGCTCTGCCCCTGATATGCTGTGGGAACCTGAGGCAAGCCACAGGACTTCTCTGGGCCTCTTAAAGCAAGGTTCCAGCTGAGTTCCCCAGCACATGGCTTTCCCATCCCATCCCCTTATTATTCTGGTAATCACCTGTGTCACCTTGGCAGCTGCATTAAAAACTATTTATTTATTTATTTATTTATTTATTTATTTATTTTTGCCACTCAGATCAAAGATCCTCTGCTACAGTTTCAAGACCTCATTCGCCCCTCCCAAAAGTCTTGAGACAGAGGCCCCGTGGGGGCTGTGGTCTGACTGGAGGCTGAGAGGGTATTCGACCAGCCCACCGACTCCCAGTGGGTGGGAGTCCTCCGTCAGAGCCAGGCTTCAATTCTGGCTCTGCAGCCTCCGCATGGGTGACCTTGGGCAGTGGATATCACTATGGTGCCCTCCTCCATAAAGCCAGGATGGGAACTGCTCTGGGAGGTCTCTGCTTGCCTCTCCAGAGCCACTCCCCACCCTTCCCCACCTGCTGTGAACCCAGAGCCTGACCTCCACAGGAGCCATCACCCTGGCCCCCCACCCTCTGTCTTCTGGCTGGGCTGGCCAGTGCCGACGGAGCTCGGAGAATGGGAGGAGAGAGGCTGCGGCGTTGGTTCCCCTGGCCCCTCCTCGACGGTCATTAGGGGGTGGCAGTGGCCACAGCTCCTGTCCAGCTCTTGCCAGTTTCATGCCAGGCAGAGGGAGGTAACAGCTTGGTACAATTGGTAGCCCCGGGACTCCTCTTCAACCTCCCGTTTCCTGCTGGGTCCCTGACTGATTTGGTGACCCTTTCTCACAGGCGTGAAAAGGATTAAATAAGAAAATGACACACGAAGGTCAGTCCTGGCCCTGTGCTCGCATCCAGAGAGCCCTCCCCACCTGATGGCCTTCCTCTCCTGGGGGCCCAGAGGAAGGTGCCGCTATTGTTCTTGGCCTCTTCCTTTGCCCATGAAGGCTGTGGCTGCGGAAAACTCCAGAACTGAGGGATCACGCTAGCCTAAAATCTTGGCGCCAGACGGGTCCTAGCAAATGGAAATAAGCTGGATGGAGAGGCTATGACTTGATTCCGGGGGAAGAAACTGCTCCTGGGCCTGGGCCGGCTGCCCACACGGTGCATCCCAACCCGCCACGTGCTCCTGGGACCTGCCAGTATGAGCGCTCCGCCCAGTCATCAGTGACACCCACACCCACAAACAGCACACATAGCACACCCCACACGCAGCATTATGCACACCGCATCCCAGGACACACACCGGTCACATTCTAGAGGATGTCACAGCAAACATGCTCTGTGTATCACACACACCTGGGTAATTACCTGTTCCCCGCTCCCCTCCCACACAGACACGCACCCGTCCTCAGCGTCCCACCAAGGACATGGTCACCACAGGCAGGGGCTGGGGAAAGCCTTGCCCTTGGTGCATGGAAAATCAAGCTCAGGGAAACCTGTGTCTGTGTGTGTGTGCACACGCGTGTGTGTGGTGTGTGGTGTGTGTGTGTGGTGTGCGTGTGTGTGTGCGTGTGTGGTGTGTGTGTGGTGTGCGTGTGTGTGCGCATGTGTGTGGTGTGCATGTGTGTGGTGTGTGTGTATGTGGTGTGTGTGTGGTGTGCGTGTGTGTGTGTGTACGTGGTGTGTGTGTGGTGTGCGTGTGTGTGTAGTGTGTGTGTGGTGTGTGTGTATGTGGTGTGTGTGGTGTGCGTGTGTGTGTGTATGTGGTGTGCGTGTGTGGTGTGTGTGGTGTGTGTATGTGTGTGTGGTGTCTGTGTGCATATGTGTGGTGTCTGTGTGTGTGGTGTGTGTGGTGTGTGTGTGGTGTCTGTGTGTGGTGTGTGTAGGTGTGTGGTATATGTGTGTGTGGCGTGTGTGTGGTGTATGTGTGTGAGGGTGGTCTGTGTGTGTGTGTGGTGTATGTATGTGTGTATGTGTGTGGGTGTGTGTGTGGTGTGTGTGTGTGTGAGATGTGTGTGTGGTATGTGTATGTGTATGTGTGTATGGTGTATGTGTGTGTGGTGTATATGTATGGTGACTGTGTGTGTGTGAGGGGGTCTGTTTGTGTGTGGTGTATGTGTGTGGTATATGTGTGTGTGTGGTGTATGTGTGTGTGTATGTGTGTGCGTGGTGTGTGCGTACGTGTGTGTGTGGGGTGTGTGTGGTGTCTGTGTGTGGTGTGTGTGATATATGTGTGTGGTGTGTGTATGTGTGTGTGGTGTCTGTGTGTGTGGGGTGTATGTGTGCGTTTGTGTGGTGTGTGTGTGTGTGCGTGGGAGTGTGTGTGTATGTGGTGTGTGTGTGTGTGCATACATGTGGGGGGGGTGTGTTTCCCTTACACCCTGCGTGGAAGTGAACCTTTAGGCCCAAAACAGGCCTAAGGTTGTGTCCTTGAGGCAACTCCGGTCTCCAGCCCACCCAGGACCCCAGGACAGATCCTTCCAGCGCCAGGAGGAAGGAGAAGCCTCGCCTGAGGAGGCTGGGATGTACCTGCCTCTACACTCCTGTCCCTAGAAAAGAAGCAGAGAGAAGAGTGCACCTGGGCCTAAACCCCCTAGTAGTACCGAAGCCCCTACACTGAAGGTGCCCTCCCTCCTGGCTGACAGGCAGCCCGCAGCACACAGCTGGCTTGAAGGGTCTGGGCTAGACTTTAGTCCTGCTCCCCTCGCATCTGGGTGCCTTGTGAGGTGAAGACATGCACAGGTACACACAACAGCCCCGACAGCTTCGAATTGCTGAGTCAGCATAGGCAAGTCACCTCACCCTCAGCCACAGTCTCCCCATCTGTAGAATGGGGAGAAAAAACGCTGACCATGCAGTCTTGTGGAGATGAAGTTACAAGAGGTGGTGCCTGTGGACGTCCTGGCCCACAGCAGGTGCTTGGAGATTTGGAGCTGGTTTTCCCTGGGACCCTTTAGGGCTACACAGTGCACAAAAGCCAGGGGAAGTGGGGTTTTGAAGGGACACAGTCTTGCAATCAGAAGGAAGGGGTCGAGGCTGCCCGCAGGCCCAGGACTGTGGACCCAGGCAGCAGAACAGTCAAGAGAGGGGCATTAGTTGCTTCTAAGCCTCCGCCTCCCAGTTCACCAGTAAAGTCAGCATCCCAGAAAGGGGAACGCAGCAAGCCCAGTCACCCAGGCAAAAAGCCTCTGCTAGCACCCACACTCCATCAGCCACCGCTAACAGCCCAGGGGAAAGGGATTATCACTCCCATTTTATAGACGAGGAAGTTGAACCAAAGAGAAGCCAAATAACTTCCTGGTCACAAAGCTTGTGAATTGCTGAGCAGAGATTGGGAGCTGGGTGTATTAACCATGTAATTCTGATGCTTTGACATCTGTGGCTTCGCTGACCCTGGAGACTGACAATGACAGGACTGGCCAATTCCTAGGTTAGTGAACCACTCCTCGAGAGCATGCCTTTCCTCTGCAAACTAACCAGCCCAGAGCTCACATCCACCACGTCTTCCATCCAGCTCACACACAACAGCCACTCTCCCCCTGCCCTGATCACACCAGGGCCAGGCAAAGACATCTAGGGACAAACCCTATGCTGCAGAACCCCCTTCAACTATTCCAACTAGTCAATCCTAAGCCTGCTTACCCTGCCTCACCCGCTCCTTCCTGCAGACGTGATAACAAAGGCTCTTGCCCACATTTTCCCATCTGTCCTTCTGCCTCTCAACTGGCCCTGGTGCTTTCTGTGTGGTCCTTTGGGGTGTGGCATCCCCTCTCCTCCTGAGAACTATGAGTCACAAACACACTTTCCAATGGAAATTAGCCCTGATCTGCTAGCCTCACCACACCTGGACAGCAATGACAAAACCTACGTTTTCAGACACCGGTAAGAGCTGATTCCCAAGACCTCAGCACAAACACCTCACCACAGTTCCTTTGCCAGGGCCTTGCCCGAGGACTCTGCCTCTGAGTGGGGCACAAATGGCTTCCTATGTCCCTGGCTTGTCTCGGCTTGGACAGCTGTGTGCCCTGAGCCTGCCCGCAGTGCCCAGCCCGGGGGCTTATCTGACTAATGTCTCTCCCTTCCACAGACCATGACTCCATGAGCGTGAACCAGGACTATTCTGCTCACCTTGTGTCTGCACACAGTAGGTGCTTAACAAACACCTGGGGTATCTTCAAGTCCATTCCCTCATCTGACCCTCACAGCAGCCCTCTGAGGAAGGCAGGTATGGACTCTCCGACCCATATTATAAAGAGGAAGGAAGGGGCCTAGCAAAGTGAGGAGGACTCCCCGTGGCCACATGGTGGGTCAGAGGCGGAACAGGAGCTGGAATCAAGGCCTGAGCCCCCAAAGCCGGCCAATAGTTTCTGGTGACTGTGCCTCATGGCTTGTGTCGCAGCCTGCACACTGGAGGAGACAGGTCTGCACTCAGCCATTCTGAAGACGGTAAAAGTGAGAGGTCAGCCTGGCCCTGGGGAGGAGACAGGACAGCAGGCTAGTGCTGGGGACCTGGGTCGTGATGCCCCACAGACCTTTGAAATAACATTAAAAAGAAGACTTGATTTATAAAAAGAAAAAAATCCAGCTAGGTGCAGTGGCTCACGCCTGTAATCCCAGCACTTTGGGATGCCAAGGTGGGCGGATCATTTGAGCTTGGGAGTTGAGACCAGCCTGGGCAACTTGGTGAAACCCCATTTCTACTAAAAAAATGCAAAAAAATTAGCCGAGCGTGTGGTGCACGCCTGTAGTCCCAGCTACTCAGGAGGCTGAGGCAAGAGAATTCCTTGAGCCTGGGAAGCGGAGGTTGCAGTGAGCCAATATCATGCCACTGCACTCCAGCCTGGATGGCGGGAGTGAAACTCTGTCTCAAAACAAACAAACAAACAAAACCCAAGTTAAGCAACAGTGGTTCTGCTTTTTTTTTTCCTGCTGTAGTTGTTGATGATCCCCAAAAGCAAGCTGGGCAGGCATTGCCAGGCTTGGAGTTCCCTACTCTAGCCCATCCTGGTCCCCTGCTTCTCCTCTGACTCACCCCCAGAGGACGGACGCCCACAGTTGCTCACAGGTTAAGTTCTGCAGCGTACTCCTTCACTTCCTCCCGCTGGTGCCTCTCCCAGTGTTGCTGGACATACAGATGAATGGATGGGCCGACGGAGGAACGGATGCACAGTTTCTTCACAAGCCTCCTTCTTCATGAGACCTTCCCTGGTCCTCCTGAGTAGAATTGCCACCCCTCCTGAGTCCTGGCAGCCCCACCTCCCACCTCTGCTGTCTTTTCCTTGCTCTCCACATCCTGGTAGTCCTTGGATAATACATCCCTTCATTACTGCCTTTCTCCCACCTGAAGTGCAGAGACAAGTTATCTTTCATTCACTGGCTCGGCCCAGTCCAGGGCCTGGTCCAAAGTGGGCCACAATAGATGAATGAGTGAATGAATCTGTCAGCCACTAAACCTACCCTCGTGGCCTTCGGACAGTCATCCCCCCCAAATGTCCACAGCCGCCCCACCTCGCTGGCCATCTGCCTCCCGCTAAAGCTGCTCTCCCACGCCCTTGCCAGGCCTCGCTGGCGGCCACCGTTCTAACCTTCCTCTTCCTCACCCCACACCCACGGCAGTATTTGGCCTGGGAAACCCTCAGCCCCACCCCTTTCCCTTCATCCCACTCTCCTCCTCATAGTCTCCCTCCCTCCAGTCCATCCTCGGGCCTCCTCTCAGCAGCCAGGGTGCTCTTCCGAAGATACAAAGCTGACTTGTCAGTCCTGTCATCAAAACTCTTCTCCATGCCTGGAAAGAGGCCCTGATTCCTTAACATCTTTGCAAAGGTCTCCATGATCTGGCCCTGCCAACCTCTGTGGTCCTCCCCAACCCTGAACCCACCTCCTCCGTGCTTAGTTCACTCCCAGCACTGAGCCACACCTCATCTTCCTCCCGAGCCTTTGCGCATGCTGTTCCCCCTCCTGGGGCATCTGACTCCTGCTGACCCTCGGGCCCAGACCGCTCCTGCTCCAGGAAGCCTCCCAGGACCCAAGGCTCAGCTAAATGCCTTCTGGGCTCCCAGAAATTAACAGCCTGTCAATTTCCCTTGGTCTAGCCCTGGATGCCATGGGGGCAAGGACCATATCTGTTCTGCTTTTTTCTGAAGTCCCTGACCCAATTTGTGCCCGGTACATTGAAGAAGCTCAGGACATGGCTATTATTTCAATCAAGCTGAAATCTACTGAGCTGAGCTGGCCCAACCAGGAATTCAAGATAAGACAGTAGAAGGCAGTTTTTCATCTTAGAATGCCAGAGATGGCTGCATCCTCAGGGCTTGTAGCGCCCAAGCCCCTCATTTACACATGGGAAAACTAAGAACCAGAAACAGTAAGCATCAGAGTTGGGACTAGATCCCAGAACTTATTTCTTCCAGTTCAAGATTTTTTTTTTTGGCTTTCTTCTTTTGAGACCATGGTTGCAAGAACCTGCTGGCTTTAGGAAGACCATAAGACAGCGTGAGGGAGGACAAAAAAAAAGCTCAGAGAGGTGAAGTGATTCACCCAACATCTCACAGCTAGGAGGTAGCAGAGCTGGGACTGAACTCCAGGTCTAATTGACTCCCGGTCCATTGCTCTTTGCCTACAGAACGTTCCATGGGATGTAAAGTTGTGTGCATATCAAGGGATAGGCTGACCTAAAATAGTATTATTTCAAGATCCTGTTTTCAGTCTGTATGTCCTTTCTAGCCCAAGCTGCATCCAGGTATGGTTAATAGAGTGCCAGGCTGCCCACCTGTCATCTCTTGCCCCTCCAACCTGGACTCAGGCAACTTCAGAAGTCTTCTAGGTGTGCATGAGACAGCCTATATCTTGTCTGCTGCCCAAACCAGGCTAATTTAAAGTAGAGATGCTTTTTTATTTCTTCTTTTAACTTTAAAAGGATAAAGAGCTCTTACAGACAACCCAATAGAAAATTAGAGCAAAGACCGTGAACAGGCAAGTCACAAAACAAGACACATCAATGACTAATAAAAGCCAGAAGACGTTCCTCAGCTGCACAGGCTCAATTGCACCGATCATTTAGTAAATAAAAATTACAACTTCAATCAGATGTCATTTTAAACCCATCAAATCGACAAATGCCAGGGTTTGCACACTCAGAATCTATAAAAGCCAGGCAGGTCTTGCAAATGGGAGAAAGAGCCAAGTGAGACTCCCAAGAGACCAGCTTCTAGAGGGAGCAGACCCTGCGTCCAGGTCATTATCTCGCAGGGATGGGCTTGGGCTGCCAGATTGCTCCACCTGTCAACCATAGTCAGAAATCAGATTTCCGTGAGAATATGACTTTTAATTGTTGGCAACTGCTTCAGAATTAGACCCAGTCAGTTCTACTTTTGGAAATAATTGGATGAATACACAGAGATTCATGCATAAGAATATCCATGGCAGCACTAACTATAATAGTGAAAGACTAGATGCTACTAGATGTCAAGCAATGCAGCACTGACTAAATAAAATATGATGCGTCTCCACAGCAGAGCACTAAGAAGATCTTAAAAAGGCTGGCGTGTCCCGTTGGGTTATTGTCAATACTGGAGGTCTTCGTGGTAGATAAGAAAGATCTGTTATAATTAGAGTAGCCAAAAGCTTTAGATTTGTCCAAATTGGGGCAAACCCCATTCACAAAAAAGCAGTTACAAAATAAAACCACTCAGGTTATATAATATCATGAAGAAAGAACCTTCAGGAGAAACCTTCATGAAATGGTGTCATGAGCAGATATCCTCTGCAGATGAAGCATTCGGAGCAAAGGATTGCAAAAAATGCTCATGTCAAGTCATTCAGCAGCAGCAAGGGATGTGAATGAACAAATGTCCTTTCGAGGAAAAGATCAAGGCTGTGAACAAATCTAAATGAATCCATTTGGTTGGGGGCAATAACAGGGGCCTTATTTATTTATTTATTTATTTATTTATTTATTTATTTATTGAGAGAAGATCTTGCTCTGTCACCCAGGCTGGCATGTAGTGACACGATCATGGCTCACTGTAGCTTCAACCTCCTGGGCTCAAGCAATCCTCTTACCTCAGCCTCCCAAGTAGCTGGGATCACAGGTACGTGCATCACAACCAGCTAATTATTTTTTATTTTTTGTAGAGATGAGGTCTCACCATGTTTCTCAAGCTGGCCTTGAACTCCTGGGCTCAAGTGATCCTCCCACCTTGGCCTCCCAAAGCATTTGGATTACAGGCATGAGCCACTGCACTGGGCCTAATGCAACAGATAGAATGCATAGGAAGTCCTAAAAAGGGGTGTGCCCAGCAACATAATGGGTGAAAGATGCACCCAAGTCTCACAAACCAGGCTCCTGAGTCATCTACCATTGGCTGGTATCTGCAGGCTCAGGCAGCCTGGGAAGTAAACTTCAATTCTTTGGTTGGGTAAATAAAATCCTAGCCCCAGGAAGAAACTAGAAATAACAAGAGATAGTAAATGAAAATAAGAATAGAAGTAATAAAAAGACAAGTTGAAATCCATGATGTTGGTCCTGCTATCACCAGTTATGGTGAAAGTGTTCTTGTCAGCTTTATCGTTATATAATTGTCTACTTTTCAAGATATTTAAAGCACTTACGAGAATTTGAAATAATAGATGTGTGAAGAGCTTATTTGGTTAAGTTTGTAATCAAAGCTTAAATGCTTGGGAACATCTAATTTATTAAATTCATAAGTTTTAAGAACTCAGCAGCTTAATTATTAGAATGTTAAATTTTTTGAGGAGTATTAATTATGGGAAATGAAAAATTAGACGTTGGGCAATGTACAAAATTGTAAGACTATTTCTTTCCGTGCACATTCCCTTGGAGTTCAAGAAATTGTCAATAGTTGGAAAAAAATGAAAAAAATTTAATAGCTGAAAAAGATGCAAAAAATCAACCCTACTTCATGCTGGGAAGAGTGCAGGGAACTGAGACTCTCATATCCCATTGGTGAGAGCATTGTTGCTGCATGTTAGTTTGATCCTAAGTATCAATACTCAAAAGGACCTCACCGTGTGAGGCAGCCACCACACTTCCAGGGTATACAACATGTAAAACAATCATGGTGTACCATCAGTTCTCATTGTTTGTGCCAGTCATGTTCTTTAAAGTTGCTGGGAACACCGAATTAGCAAACATCAAGGCACTGCTCCCAGGGGAAATACAGGGTTAGGGTCCTTTCAGCCTCTGGTCACAACACACTTGTCGAGTGATCAATACACCACCTCGTTGTATGTGTGTTTCTGTTCAAAGACACCTTATTTAGTGTATATTGCAGATTCATTCACGTTGAACTCATGGCCATCACTCAAACCTGAATGAAGCTTCTCTAACATGTCTTTCCTCCATAAGGCTCATCGCAGCCTTCTTGTGCCTAGGGTCACTAGACAGCACGTCAGCTCTGTGCTTGGGGCCATTTTAACAGTGACATCACCAACAAAAAGCACAAAAAATGGTGGCACTAAATACACTGCAAAAGGACGCTAATTTCCAGTGCGAGAGCTGACACAGGAAGGCAGAGCCTGGCCTCGCTCCACCTCGTCTGGGAAGTGCCCATTGGGTGAGGCAAGCTTTTGACTGCTCTGTGCGTATCTGAGAACGACTGTCAAAGTGCAGCAAATATTGCTTTTGGGGTTACAAATAAATTTAAGCAAGTAGGCACATTTGCCAAAAGGAATCTACGAAAAATGAGGATGGACTGTGTGTCAAAAAGATGTTAATGGCGACATTGTAATAATCAAACCATTTGGCTACTGGATAAGGTCTAAATGCTAATTAGTGGGACATTGGTTAGATCAGCACCATTGACATTTGGGACCAGGTAATTCTTCATTAGAGGGAGCTGTCCTGTCAATTGTAGGATGTTTAGCAACATCTCTGACCTCTACCCACTAGATGCCAGTAGCACCCCGCCCCTCAAGTTGTGA
The DNA here is from genome assembly GCF_000001405.40 of Homo sapiens. Classification (NCBI taxonomy): domain Eukaryota; kingdom Metazoa; phylum Chordata; class Mammalia; order Primates; family Hominidae; genus Homo; species Homo sapiens. Next base: position 172,589,095 of record NC_000005.10, on the reverse strand, counting down.
CAATCAAAAATGTCTCCAGATGCTGCCAAGTAAGAACCTTGGGTCAGATAAACTAGGAGGCAGCCGTGCAATGGACTGCTGTGTCGCCTTTAAACCGCATGATGTCTAAATAGCTTGGGAAGATTCCCGTGACATTTTTGAGTAGAAAAAAAAAGACAGGTGGCAAAACTGGATGTATAATAAGATTCCATTTTTACATCTGAGTGTATTTGCATGCACACACGTAGAAGAAAGAGAAGAGAAAAGGTGAAAGCTTTTCTGACTTCCTGCTGCACGGGTGCATCTGAGGCCTTCACACCAATGAAATCTTGAGTTTTTCGGAGTCCACGGGAGACACAGATTTGAGGGCCACGAGCACTTCCTGCTTGGACTCAGACCCCTGCTGGGAAGGGTTTGGGATCTGGAGTCAGGCCCCACCTCCAGCTGGTGCTCCTGGCAGCCCCTTGCCTGGCATGGAGGACCTCTCTGACGCCGGCTGTCCACTGCACGGCTGGGATCAGCGCTCTTCCCTAGGGATAGGACCCTGGTCCCTACTGCCAGCCCCTAACTGGGATTGCCCTCAATAGGTCACAAGCCCTGGCACTGTGCCCCACTCCCTTGCTCCCCCAGCTAAGCCCCATCTCCAGCCTGAGTCCCTGGTTCATCTAGACAGTTCCTCTGCATAGCAGAATGCCTTGCTAGGTCCTCTACCATCTTCTGGGGTGTGGGTAGAGATCAACCCAGCTGTACCCCAGTGGACAGCAGCAGCAGCTGTGTGGGTTTTACCCCAGTCTCAGCATCCTCCAACTGCCCCCATCAGACATAATGGGCTCTGGAGTTGGACAAACCTGGACACAAATCCTGTCTTGGGCATGTACCACCTGTATGGCTTTGAGCAACTTATTGTTCTTTCCTGAGCTTCATTCTCCTCATCTGCGAAACAGACTCCTCTCAAAGCTATGAGGAGGGTTAGCTGAGCTAATGGGAGTGAAGAATGCAGCACAGTGCATAGTTTCTCCCGAATCAATGGTAGCTCATGGGGTTTCCACTTGGGGTGATGAAAAGTTCTGGAACTGGATAGTAGGCATTGTATGACATTGTGCATGTCTTTAATGCCACTGAACTGTACACTTTAACACAGTTGAGAGGGCAATTTTTATGTTATATGCATTTTACTACAATCGATCAATCAATCAGTCAATCAGTCAGTCAGTCCATCAGTGGCAGCTTCCTTCCCATCTATTCCAGAGCTCTTTATGCTTTGGCCTATCCAGGTTTAATATTTTCATGTCTTTGCCTACTCTTCCACATCCAGATACTCCTTAGAAAAGTGCTCTGACCTTAGAGTTGAGACATCTTGTCTTTTCCTCTTCTTGGAAGGCTCAGAACCCCAGAGACCTTCCATAGAGCAGGCCAGGGAAGGGAGGGACCAGAGGAGACAGGGCTGACCATCCCCCATGATTCGAGCTCCGTAACTATAGTTGGCACCTGGGAGGGAGGAACAACTGGCCCAGGAGTTTGGAAGGAATCCTTCATCTCTCTGGGGTGTTGGGGGTCAGCAGCTGAGGCCCTCCTCGGTCTGTAGCTAAGCCTGGACTGGTGAGCTCCCCCACTCAGCCTCCTCGACCACAAGCCCCTCAGGGCAACCTGCTCGCTCTAAATTCATCATCACCCCTATCCCAGCTGCCTCTTCCCTTTTCTGGGATTCCAAAACCGGGGAGCAGCACCTAAGTCTATTCAGCTGTCCAAGCCAGAGACCCAGAGCCCAGAACCCTCCTTCTCCCCACTTCTGACTTTCCTCCAGACACTCAGGAGCCCAGAATTCTCTGCCCAAACTTCCAGGGCCCGCACAGAGGACCGAGTTCCACCTCCTGAGAGTGGACTGCACCACTGATGTGTGCATCAAGCTGCCTCCAGAGGGTGGGAGATGGGGTCCAGGCCCCGCCTCCTGCTCAGGAAGGCTGGGTGGCGAGGGCTGGAGGAAACAAGCACATCTTTTTGCCCGAGGACGGATGATGGAAGTGTGGGCTAGGTCCACTGTGTGTGTGTTGCCGGGGGGGCAAAGAGAGGGGTGAGCCTGCTTCCACTCCCCAGAAACAGAGGGGTGAGCCTGCTTCCACTCCCCAGAAACAGACGGGTGAGCCTGCTTCCACTCCCCAGAGGGGACTTGTTTCCTCCAGCCCCCACCACCCAGCCTTCCTGCGCAGGAGGCAGGGCCTGGGCCCCATCCCGCACCCTCCAGAGGGCAGCTTTCCGTCACTCCCTAAGTGTTTAATCCCATGTTCCCAGTACATCTGCCACACCACTTCTCTCTGTGCCTTCTGTGGTGTGGAGCCAGGGCTTCCAACCAGTGAGGCCTGAGGCTTAGCTTGATGCCAACTAGGAGGTCTCCTGCTAAGAAAGAGAACGAGGGCGGTCGATCTGGCCAGCAGGGCTGAAGTGGAGCCACCCAGGGCAAGGCCCACACCTCAGCTTCCTCTGGAGACCAGAGAGCAGCTGCTGGACCTCAGATCTTACTCCGCCTTCCCCAGCCTCGCTCTTCCTCATACAACTGGTCAAGCCGCACCCCACCCCATCCCCAGCCCCCACCCTTACTCGCCCCCTGGCTCCCCAATCTCTCTGCCCTGGTCAACCTCTCCCAGCCATCCTCCACCCTGCAGCCGGAATGAGCTCTCCAAAACGCAAGCTTTCTCCGTGCTGACAGTGCCAGGGGCTCCAATCGCTGTCTGGATAACGCCCAGATTCCTCGCAGGACCCAGCTGACACCTCCCACCTCGCCCTGCCTCACTGTTTGCTATAGCAAACAGCTCACGTTTTCCTTCTCAGGGCGAGCCGGTTCCTACTTTTGTGCCCTTGCATGACACCTCCTCCACCTGCCTTTTCACCTGCAAATTCTCCTTCATTCACATCCATCAAGACCTGCAAGGTGAATCTTAATAGCATCCCTGATAGAATAATACCCAAGAAGCAGCTCCATCGAAGGAGGTGGTTTCAAGTAATAACACAAAGAAGCAACTCTATCCTTTGACGGCCCTGGGTGCAGATCTCCAGTGTGATGTTTATTGGCTTCGTGACCTGGGACAAGGTACTTAACATCTCTGAATCTATATCTTCACCTGTAAAGCAGGACCAAAATATTGACCTATAGGGAAGTGATGAGATTGACATTAACAAGAAAGGAAGTGAGCAAGGCTAAGACGATATCAGTCGTATTTTCTGCATCAAGAAGGACACATAGGTAGTGCATCTCAATTTTAATAGGGAAGATCTAATCCAGGCTTGAAAAACAATGAGAACATACACTGTATTTCATCGGGTGAAATAAGCAGGTCCCAATGGTGTGCACAGGATGACTGAATTTTTGCATAAATAATGACATATTTTTGTAGAGAGGGAATAATATTTAGGAGACATCCCAAAAGGTTAGAGTTGTTATCTCTGGGTAATGCAACTTTTTAACAATTTTATTTTTATCTCTTTTTTCTTTTGTTTATCTCTGTTTTTGCCTACAAATTCCCTATGATTTCCTACCCAAGTTGTTGTGGGTAGAATTGTGTGCTCAAAAGCCAGGTGGAAGTCCTAACCTCTGATACGTGTGAGTGTGATCCCACTTGGAAATTGTCATCTTTTCCCATGTAATCACATTAAGATGGAAATCATACTTGATTAGGGTGGGCCATAATCCAATATGACTGGTCTCCTTGTAAGAAGAGGAGAGACACAGGGACACACAGGGAGAACGCTGTGTGACCATGGAGGCAGAGATTGGAGCAATGTGTCACCAAGCCAAGGATGCCAAGGTTTGTCAGCAACACTAACAGCTAAGAGGGCGGGGAGGAAGGATTCTCTCCTGGGGCTTTCAGAAGGAGCACAGCCCTGCCGACTCCTTGATTTCACACTTCCCGGTTCTCTAGAATGGCGAGAGAATTAATTCCTGCTCTAGGCCACCCAGCTTTTATAATTTGTTGTGGCAGCCACAGGAAATTAATATAAAGAGCAAGCCTTACTTATGTACTAGAAAGGGCCAAGGGTTTAAAAAAGAAAAAGAGGAGGAGGAAGAGGAGAGTGCCCCGATCAAGAGTGCTCCCTGGAGGGCTGGAAGTGTCTGCTCAGGACTCGGCGCAGATGTGTAGTGAGTGTTTGTTGAGTGAATAAATATGCCTGCAGTATGTGACATCGTCTTGTCTCTGTCCTGTCTCCCCACGGATCTCACTCTAGCCCAAAGCTGCCTGTCATGAAGGAGCTCCCTAGCGAGACTGGAAGCACAGCTGGGCTTCACGCACAGGCCCAGCCCTCAGCTCTGAGGCTGCCATGGGGGAAGCAGGGAAGGACCTGAAGGACTCTAGGTCAACAGCTCTATCCCCATCAACTTTGTCAGGGTCCCTGTGTGATGATGCCATGCCCTCGGCCGCATACCCAGCTTCTTATTCTTTGTGACCAAGCCACACCTTGTCATTGATCAGATCTTTGTGCTGCTTCCAAAGCAATCTACCTAAAACTCAGGTTAGACCCTGCCATGCCCTCCTAAAGACCTTTGGCGGCTCCCCCATTCCTCGACACAGCATTCACGGCCACCATCTATTTCAAGCCATTTTGGGGCTTGCCTGTCAACTCCCCACCTCCAGCCCCTCTTGCTGCCTTCTCCCCCAGCAATCCCACATGCTCAACCTCTGCCCCGGGGGCCTGCCTGCCCTCCCACCTTCTCTAATCTCAGCACTGCCCAGGCCTCCCAGCAGAGTGGAAATGTCATTCAGGGGGACTGTGGAGAGCACGGTGTCCCTGGCTCTCCTTCCAGGAAGAGGGAACAGAGGGAGGGCTTTTCTGGAATGTTTCCAGGCCTATCCTTCTTAGCTGGACAGGGACTCTATCTGCAGCAGGGGAAGAAACAGCAGATGTCTTCTGCTCCTCTGAGTGACCTAGTCAGCCTTGAAGAATCACAGGAAATGGCTCTTGGGACTTGCTAATGAGCTTTGGACGTCTTCCCTCTGTCCTGGCAGTGTTGGGTGGGGAGAGCTTCTGGGTCCCACTTGTTGGCCTTTCTCCTACTTTCCAAATGCCTCCTTCCTTTTCCTCCTCCAGGAGGTGGGAGGTGCGATGCCGAGCCCCACGTAGTGAGGGGAAGCCCTGGCAGAGGAAGCCTGTTTGTTCTCCAGCTTGGGCTCGCTGTAAACAAATTTCTTTTTCCTGATTAGGTCACACTCTTGAGCAGGGTTTTCGGGACACCTTGACTTGGTCAGGGGCTACTTGCCTCTAAGGAACAGAAAACCCAGTCAAAATAACTGAAATTAGTGGGAGACTGGGAAAGGTCATGGAACCCAAGGGGAACCACCAAGCCTCAAGAGGAAGAACCATCAGACACAAAGCAAGAAGCAAACTGTCAGACGCAAAGGGGATGCTCACTCTGTCCCTCCTTGGCCCACCTCTCTTCCGTCATCACCATTTTTTCTGATTTGCTTTGGAGATCAGCTCCCTCTGTTTGCTCATGAGGGTCCCCAAATGGCTGTCCTCAAATGGCAGTCTTCCTTCCCAAACCTTACAGATCCCCCAGGCCCAGCCAACTAATCTAGTCTCTTCCTCTGTGGGAGCAAGAATGACCATCACGACCCGACAGCAAACTTGTGGAGCCCCAGTGATGTGCCAGCCACTGGTCCAAGGTCTTTATGTGAGTTTTCTCATGTAATTCTCAAAATAACCTTACAAGGCAAGTTGTATTGTCATCCTTACTTATGAAGATAATAAACAAGGACACAGAAGCTAGGAGGGGTTAACTTGCCCAGGATCACCTAGTTAATGGGTAAGGAAGTTGGGGTTTGAACCCAGGTTGCTGGGCTCCAAGGTCTGAGCTCTGAAATGAATTGGCCTGACCCAGTGTCTGGATTGGGTCTCCCTGGATCAGGTGTCCCTCCCCGGCCCAATCAGCAATGGCGGCAGGATGGGTTTAGGGGTGTCACAGAACACTCCCGGGCTGTGGGAGAAGGAGGGGACATGGCACTCTTCTGGAATGTAAGCTCCTCCGTGGCTGCGATTTTTTTTGTCCTGTGCCTTGTTGCACTCGGTGCCTAGAACAGTTCCTGGCACACAGTAGGTGCTCAGCAAATGTTTGCTGAATGAATGAATGAACTTCAAGTATCTTGGACTTATCCCTGGCAGATGAAGAGGGAGAGTTGGACATAGCCTTATTTGGGCCACCTGTGACCATCTCACCCTTCCAAGAAAAAAAAAAGATACATTTTATTGGTGTCTGGTCATGGGGAGAAAACAACCCCAGCCCTGGTCCTCTCTCCTCCGCAGGGAGCCTCCTCCTCACTAGTTTAATCCGACAGCACCACCCAGAAGTTCTGCTCAGAGCGATGCCGCTGGATGTTAGTAGCCATCCATGCCAAGGGCCCTGGTTCTATATGTGGACACTGTGGTGTCTGGTTCAATGTATTTTCACTCAGCACCTTCAATGGCTTAATGAGCTCTGTGCCTTACATGTGGTTCTTCCCCAAGATATTTGACCACGAAACCCTCTTTTCCAAAGGCATCTCATGGGACTAGTAGTTTGAACAATACATTTTGAGAAATAAAAATTTGATCAGTTTTGTTGCCTAATTTCATTTGCTCATTGGAACTGGGTTTAAGTTCCTATTGCATGCCGGGTAAGAAAGTCTCTGTTTCTCCCCAGTCCCTCCAGTTCCTTTGGAAGGGCTTACAAGGGCTTCTAGGGTGAGACCCTTCCCCAGGCTCCCTCTCCCACCTACCTTCATTAACCTCATTTGTTGAAAATCTCCCCCAAAGCCCTTGCACCCTCAGGTCTCCTTCTCGGCCTCTAGTTGGTCGCCGGGATGGAGCTTCTCCTCCCACACTCCGGCTGTCTGGCCCCAGCCCCTTTCTTTCACTTCGTGGTTTAAAATGCAATTATAGTACATTTCCCTGAATGGGTTCTAGGCAGAATATTAAGCTTGAAAACAATTGCAGTAGATTGCATTAATCATTTTCATTTCGTTTTGCAAATCTGGAGGTTGGGACCTTAGCTTGGGATATGTCAGTGAAAGGAAATTAGGCAGCATCTCATCAGTTAATGGATTTCTTTGGTGCTAGGTAGGTGGCTTGTGCTTGCTCCAAAAACCCCCCTTTGGGTTCCTATCAGCTGCCTGACACATGGTATAATCTTCCAGAACTTTCCGAGGCATGTCCTTGGACTTGGCTACTCTTCCTTTTTTAAGAAGGGAATACATTCTTATAAAAAAAATTATTATTATCAAAAACTGTTTTGTTGTGTTTGTTTGTCCTTCATCACTTGTGCCAAGCAAAAATGACAGTCTGAGTGTCCCAGCCTTTCCCTTCCCCAGCCACTAAAGACCGTCTGGCTTGGATGTCTTGTCTTTGTGTCTCCAGACCCCCTGTCCCTCCCCACCCTGCTCAATGCCACACTGTTCTCCCTTTTAGCTTCCAGTCGGGTTGCCCAGTGGGCAGTGCTGGAGGCTGGAGGGAAGGAGGGAGGAGAGAGGTCAATCTTTTATTTCCTTGGTTTCCAGCAACCTCTAGGTTTGGGTCAGTTGCTCCCTCCTCTCTTCCCTTTCAGGCCTAGGGTGGTCTCTGTGGTTTTTGGCACCTTTCCAAATAGTCGCCACGTTAACCCCTCCTTGGGAGACTGGAGTTCCTTGTCCCATCTGTTGTCTGGGCCCTGCACTGAAAGGGGCAGTCAGGTTCTTCCCCTTCCGTCCTAGGAAGGATCTACTATCCTCAGTTCTTTGGGGGTGTTGATGATGCAGATTTGGAAGAACAGGGGAGGGGATGGACCTGGAGGCTCTGCAGGTATGGAGGCAACAGATGGAAGAGGAAAGAGAGACTTTAAGAAAAGTTGTTAGGAACCAGGAATTCCCATCATGGTGTTTGCGAAATACAAATTGGAGCCAGGCAAGGTGGCTCATGCCTGTAATCCCAGCACTCTGGGAGGCCGAGATGGGCAGACTGCTTGAACTCAGGAATTTGAGACCAGCCTGGACAACATGGTCAAACCCCATCTCTACAAAAAATACAAAAGTTAGCTGGGCATGGTGGCGTGCATCTATAATCCCAGCTACAAGGGAGGCTGAGGTGGAAGGATGGCTTGAGCCCGGGAGGCAGAGGTTGCAGTGAGCTGAGATCGCACCACTGCACTCCAGCCTGGGTAACAGAGCCAGACCCTGCCTCAAACGACAACAACGACAAACAAACAGAAAAACCCCAAGAAATATAAGTCGAGAGGTTCAGCTACTCTGAGCACCCTTTCTGAGGCTGCACTGGGTTTCTCTGACCTCATCAGCAAGCCTGGATCTTATGGGCATGGCCTCAGCATGCAAATCTCCAGGTTTAGCTATCTTGTGGCCTCTTCGGAACGGCTGCATCTCTAAACCTTGAATCTATTTATCCTATCACTACCAAAATAGAAACCCCCCAAAACTACATAGACCTTCCAAGAGGGCCTGAGACAAATTCCCAGGCTTCAAGGCAACCCAGTGAGAGCTTGGCAAAGGAAGTGTCTCACCACTTCCGTGCCTAAAAGAAAATCCCTCCAAACCCCGCATCCAGGCAGAGGATGTGTTTGCTGTCCCCTTGCAGAAGATTAGGGTTAAAATACCTTAGGACCCAATTGTGCTCTGCACCCTGCCCTGGGCACCAGGGAATCAGATGATGCAGACAGAGCCCCTGCTCTCCAGGAGCAGCTGGGGAGATGGGCATCCCTAGAAGACGGTGACGCAGCAGACAGCACAGTGGGGGATGATAGGGAAGCACCATGAAAGGCCTTGGAGGCTTCCTGGAGGATGACAGGACCCCCCTTCCATAGGGGGTACCAATGCCAAGTCTTACAGAGAAGCAAGGGTTGGTGGACGCAGGGACAGGGAAGTGGAAAGGCCATTCTAGGTGTCTGAGGAGTAGGCAGAAGGCACAACAAAAATAAAGGCTTGAGGCTAGAATGGCATGGGTGTACAAGAAGCTAAGCAGGTCAGTGTTGCTGGCATGTCATATGGGAGGCAGGGCATGTACAGGTAGGAAGCCGGAGAGCCAGGCAGGCCAGGTCCCAGGGGGCTTTGGCTGTCATGCCCCTATGACATGGCTGTGAGTCTGTGGGCTCCCAGGCAGTTACTAGAAGGGTCAGGTGGGAGAATGACAAGGTGTGGATTGGGAGGATCACTGGGGGCTCTAGGGATGGGGCATCTGAGAGGAAGCCCTGAAAGCAGGGGTCCAGCCAGCAGGCTGCTGCCCACACCAGGGGAGAGGAGGGCTGGCCTCCTATTCTCCAGGCAGGCATCTGGATGCCAGCCAAGCTGTGCCAAGAGCACTGGTAACACTGCGCTGCTCAGAGTCGGGCACTGCACCCCAGCCTCACTTGGCAGCAGGTGAGGATGGAGGTGAGTGGGGGCGGTGTGGTGTAGGGCAGCCAGACAGAGCTCCCCCTTGGTGGCCTGCTTGTGGGTGGCCACTTCCCATGGTATCTGATATCTTCTGGGTTGGGTGGCCCTTGGCTGGGAGGTCAGCAGGGTTGCGAAGGTCTCTGTCTGCCTTCACATGTTCTGTCTGCCAGAAATTTCTGACAACTCCCAGATAGGGCTTTTGGCCCATGGAGGCAGGACAGATTTCTGGCTATAGCCATGGGCCCCAGTGTTGTTTCCTTTGGGAAGCTGTACTGGGGATGTCAGACACAGAAGCTGTGTGCTGGCATAACTTCCTCTCCATCCCTTCCACGCAGGTCACGATGGGGACTGACTCCAGCAAGAAAGGGCTGACTGATGCAGATCCTGCTCTGCAGACCCAGAATTGGAGGTGTGGAGGCCTCGAGCTGGAGGAATTGGAGGTGTGGAGGCCTCGAGCTGGAGGAATTGGAGGTGTGGAGGCCTCGAGCTGGAGGAATTGGAGGTGCGGAGGCCTCGAGCTGGAAGCAGCAGGAGCAAAGGCATGAAGTTCCAGAGTAGAGGGAGGTGGGGGCCATGACGAGCCATGAGTGGGCCACAAGGAAGCAGGAGCCACGAGAGAAAAGGGCAGCGAGTAGGGAGGGGAGCAATAAAATGAGGGGAGCCAGAGTCCAGCAGGGAGAGCTCAGCACGCCCGAGTGGGGCAGAAGAAGGGACATTGACCACCCCCAGAGGTCCCTCAAAGCTAACCCCATCCCCACAGGCAGGACTCCGCCATATGTGAGCATCCCCATGATCCTCTGTGTATTTCTCAACAAATCCCCATCACCCTGGGACCAACGGAGCCAAAGCAGGTGTGTTGCGGGTAGCTTTCCACCTTCGGATCCCAGGCCCTGCCTGTGTCTGCACAGGTTGGGACACCCCACCCTCCAGTTCCATTTATGCCTCAGTCCCAGACTTCAGGGATTGAAGGACACTTGGTGGCCTCTAGGACAGCACTTCCCAGGTGTGGGCCATGAGAGGATTTTAGGGGGCAAGGAGAAGGCTTTTCTTTAAACATTTAAAATGTATGCATTGGCCAGGTGCAGTGTCTCACGCCTGTAATCCCAGCACTTTGGGAGGCCAAGGTGGGTGGATCACAAGGTCAAGAGATCAAGACCATCCTAACCAACATAGTGAAACCCCGTCTCTACTAAAAACGCAAAAATTAGCTGGGCATGGTGGTGGGTGCCTGTAGTCCCAGTTACTTGGGAGGCTGAGGCAGGAGAATCACCTGAACCCAGGAGACAGAGGTTGCAGTGAGCCGAGATCGTGCCACTGCACTCCAGCCTGGCGACAGAGCGAGACTCCATCTCAAAAAAAACAAAAAGTATGCATTAATTTTAAGACGCATTAGAAAAATCACATAACTAGCCTGTCGTATACATGCTTTCAAGATAGAGTTTATAATGAGGATGGATTTAATTAAGTTTTTTTAAAAAGGAGATAATAAAAAGGTAAGTGTTAAGTGTCAGTGCAAGTGGAGGGCTGATTAGTGATGGTTGAACTTGAAAACTGACACTTACGGAAAACTGCTCCTGGATGGTCCTTTTCTCTCTACCATACTTCAGGCAGGAGCCTTGAATTCTTCTCAAAATGAGCATCTCACTACAGATAAGGCAGCTGTGGCCCTCTGTAGATCCAAGAATCTGACTTACCCTGGCCCCCAAGTTTGGCTCCACAAACATACACTATCCTGTCTGGCGCACCTGGTGCTGGACTTTGTGCTGGGGATGTGCAGTTGAAAAGGTCACAGCTCTGCCTCTTTGTCCCATGCCTTTGTCTCTTCGAAGCTTCCGTTTCCCATCTGTAAAGTGAGGATGCACCCCTTAAATCAGGAAAGCTCCTGGCTTTCCTGGTAGGTGATCAATAAATGCTCCTTCCCTTTTCCTTGACCCCCTTGCCAAGTTCTTTCTTGTGCAACACAAAGAATGGATGTCATAAAAAGAGTACAGTGTTAGAGACTTCTTGGATAGCTGCGTGACCTTAGGCAGGTCACTCAACCTCTCTGAGCCTCAGATTCCCCATCTATAAAGTGGGGATAACAATATCACCTGTTGCACATTTATGTGGATAAAATGAGGTGTTATTTGCAAAGCACCAAACACAATATTTGTTCAAACTTCCCCCTTAAAAACTCTTCTTGTCTGAACAGAGCCTGCCTTTCTGTAGCTCTCTCTCAGGGCCAAGCTGTGGATAAGCGCAGGGTAGCCCAGCAACGAAGAAGGCTGACCCTTCTGGGAACTGCTCATCCTTTGTGTTCTTTTGTTTTTTGTTTCTTGTTTTTTTTTTGAGACGGAGTTTCACTCTTGTTGCCCAGGCTGGAGTGCAATGGCGTGATCTCAGCTCATTGCAACCTCCGCCTCCCAGGTTCAAGTGATTCTCCTGCCTCAGCTTCCCAAGTAGCTGGGACTACAGGGATGCATCACCAGGTCCGGCTGATTTTGTATTTTTAGTAGAGATGGGGTTTCACCATGTTGGTCAGGCTGGTCTCGAAGTCCTGATCTCAAGTGATCCACCTGCCTCAGCCTTCCAAAGTGCTGGGATTACAGGCGTGAGCCACCGCATCTGGCCCCTTTGTGTTCTTTTTCTCTTGTAGTTCAAAGTCCTCTCCCACTCCTCTTGGGCCCCTTAAGTCCCACTCAGTCTCTGACCCTCACCCTACTCTTTCATCAGCAGCTGGATCATGGGGTAGGCTGACTCTGCATGGCCAAGCCAAAAGCTGCCACCTCCACCCAAGCCCACCTTGGCTCTCTCCCCATTGTGCCTCCCTCTCCCTCCTCTTTTAGGCCTTCCTGCTTTCAGAAGCTACCTCCAGACAACAGTCTTTTTTTTTTTTTTTTTTTTTTTTTTTTTTTTTTGAGACGGAGTCTCACTCTGTCACTCAGGCTGGAGTGCAGTGGCACGATCTCGGCTCACTGCAAGCTCCGCCTCCCGGGTTCACACCATTCTCTTGCCTCAGCCTCCCGAGTAGCTGGGACTACAGGCGCCCGCCACCACGCCCGGCTAATTTTTTGTACTTTTAGTAGAGACGGAGTTTCACCGTGTTAGCCAGGATGGTCTCGATCACAACAGTCATTTTTTAATACTCCCCACCCTGCTGGTAGGAGATCCTACTGCATCCTGATGACAGAACCAATGAGGTTCTATAAAGTCAGTGGGACTGTAAACCCATCAGCTCCAGTCTATGACAGACAAAATACAAGGTCTGCCCCCACAACTGAGAGCCCTGCTTCCCTCTGCCCTTTGGATGTCATTGGAGATGAGTGCTCTGAGCTTGCAGGCATCTGGAATCCCCTTCTAATGGTGTCTTTGTTCTGTTTATTCCACATGTCATGGACAACTAAGTAGAGTGTTCCTCTCACTTTCTGGAGCCCTGGCACTGTGTCCAGCACTGAGGATCCAATCAGGAAATGTCTGTGGAAGGGAGGGAGGGAAGTCTGGTAACAATGGCATCTGCATGATGGCCAGCCTTCTTTCATCTCTGGTTGCCATTTACTTTCTTTGCAAGGGACTCCCTTGGGCAGCACTCTGGCCAGTTCTAGAAATGCACGTGGGGGCCACGGCCTAGGGCCTGCGCCTGAGTCCCCCACCTCTTCAGCATTGCTTGCACAACGCTCAAGTGTCCCAATGCGTTCCTGGGTCACATGGCTGGGGGACATACCCCCTGTGGGGCTAGTGCCATGTGCTGTGGCTGCAAACACAGGGCATCTTTGCGAGATCATCCAGATAACAGCGGCAGCCAGCTCTTCAAACGTGCCAGGCCCAGGGCCCACAGCCATCTTCCCACACGTTCTCACAGCAACCCCTCGAGGGAGGAATCCATGCTGATGAGGAAATTGAAGTTCAGAGAGGCAGGGAGACTGCTCAAAGTCACACAGCAGCAAGCACTGAGAATGGATTTGAACTCCTGTCTGCCTGATTCTCAAGTCAGGCCTCTTGATCCCATGCTGTGCTGCAAATGGGGCTGACTGAGAAGGGACATAGGCACTTCCCACTGCGCATGGGCGACAGCTAGGGGCTGGCATACAGTGTCCTCAGTGCGTCCCGATTAGGGGACAGAGGTTGAGAAGTCTACTCGTGGGGCAGGGATGGACAGAGCCCGAGTGGCCCAAGGCCCACTGGATAAGCAGAGGTCCAGCTGCAGAGAGGGCTTAGGGGGAAAGGGTGGACAGAAAAGGCCCTGTGGCCCAGGCTGGGTCAGAAAGCCTGTGATCTGGGGTCCAGTTGTGCCTCTTTCCAGCTGTGTGCCACTGGGCACGTTACCTCCCATCTCGCTGCCTCTGCTTCAACATCTGCACAGCAGGAAAGTTGTGGAGGACTAGCACCTCTGTCCAAAAGTACCTGGAGGGGGTCTGGCTGGAGGACAGGCCCGGCCAAGCCTGTGCCCTCTCCCTTCCTTCCCTCTCTATGTCCATTCTCCCTCCCTCCCTTTCTTCTCTCCCTTTACCTCCCTTCCTTTATTTTCTCCCTCTCCAACCCCCTTTTTGGAAATTCCTTTTCAGAGGCTTTGCAGAGACCCAGTCCTCCTTCCAGGGTGATCTCAGTGCTCCCAGTGGAGCACTGACTCTGAGGCCACCTTTCAAGGGGTTTGGGGGGTGGGGTGGTGCCCTGGGGGCCCCTCCCAGGTGCTCTGGCAGCCACAGAGACCGCCTTCCAGCAGGGCCAGAAAAAGCAGGGCTCCCAATCCCCCACAGACTAAACCTAGCAACAGCCAGGGTTCCTATGGCAACCCACAATTTATTTTTAGTCGTACTTTAACATTAACATGATGTGAGGGGATCTGAGACTTATATTACTCGCTTTTAAACAGTGCCCAAAAAAAGGAAAGAAAAAGGAAAGAAAAAAAGAAAAGAAAGAACGTCTCTTTGGAAGGAGGCATTGGCCAATGGGGGAGGGGAGAGGAGACAACAAATCCCCAGTGGTATCTGCAGGGAACTGATCTTGGAGAAAAGCAGCAACTCTTTTTCTCTGGTGTAGCCAACTGGGCTTCAGGATACTCAGGCCACAAGGAGGAAGAGGGGCTGTGAGTGGGGTCAGCCTAACCCACACAGAAACAGCAGCAGCCCTCCCTTCCTCAGCTTCGTGGCCAGAGTTGGAGAAGAACATAAAATAGTCCACTCATTTTGTGAAGGACCACTGAGCTTCCAAGTGAACAAGCAAGGGAAAGGGAGAGAGGGAGAAGAAAAGAAAGAAAGGAAGGGAGGGAGGGAGGGAGGGGAAGGAGAGGAAGGATGGAAGGAAGGAAAGAAGGAAGGGAGGGAGGGAAGGATAGATGGAAAGAAGGAAGGAAGGAAGGGAAGGAAAGATGGAAAGAAGGAGGGAAGGAAGGAAAGGAAACATGGAAGGAAGGAAGGAAAGAAGGAAGGAAGGAAAGGAAAGATGGAAGAAAGGAAGGAAGGATCAACCATGAAGCCAAGTAACCATGTGACCTGGGATGCCAGCCTCTGGGATTCCAGCCCGACCTCGGGGACTCAGAAGGAAAGAAGGGCTGGCGTCCGCCTACCAGCCAGAGGACACAGCAGTCCCGGGAGCAGTGCCTAGAAGAAGGCAGGGCACAGGCAGGCAGAGAGCAGAGGGTGGGTTCAGATGGAGGCCGTGGAGAGGACACTGGACGCTGGCTGTAAAGACGTGTCAGCCCATGCTCTGTGACCAGCCCCATAGCAGGCATCGGGGCCGTGGAGATGTGGGGTCTAGTCCTATCTGGAGAAACTCGCATTTGGGGGAAGAGGATGTGGAGACAAATAATCCAGAGGCAGCTTGGAACATGCATATGCCTGTGCAAGGTAGGTTACGCACAGAAACGAAGAAGCATCTGAGCTGGTTCTGGGTTTTCAGTTGTTTCGCTTGGGCTTTTTTCTGGCCAGGGAGGGCTGCTTATTCCCCTGGTCCTAGATGGCACTCCTCTGGTCAGAGGCCTGGCCACTTAAAATACTGCATCCTCGGCCAGCGTGATTGGCTCAAGGAATGGGCACATGACCCAAGCACAACCAATCAGAGCCTTCCCTGGGACTAAGCTACAGATATCGGGAGACAGCGGCTCTCCCTCTTCTGGGTTGCTGGGCCGGGGCTTCTGAGAGCCTCAGTCTTGGCCTCCTGGAGGCAGCACAGCAACAGGAGGAGAAAGAAGGCCGACGGCAAAGAGAAGCAGAGACAGACAGAATGTTGACTGACGGGCACCCACATGCTTCCTTTGCTGCTGGGCCCTTTGACGGGAGCCTCTTCAGTTTTCTTTTAAGCCAATTTGAGTTGGCTTCTGTCCCTGACAGTAGAACCAACCTGACTAATTCAGTTGGTCACTGTGATTTTGCTCACATGAGGGGACAGTAGCGCCTTCTGAAGGAGAAAGAAAGGAAGGCTGCTTCCTGCACCTGCTATGAATCAGCACCATGCCAGTGACTTGCAGATCTTTTTCAGAGCTAATCTTCACGGCCTTCTTGGAAATTCAATATTAGCGTAATATTACCTGCAAGAAGCCTGGGGCACAGACAGCAAATGATTAGCCTAAGGGCACACAGCCAGCAATGCCAGAGCAGGGCTGACCCCCAGGCCTTCCTGACTCCTGGCTGAGCTACACCATCTTTCCTTCCCAACTCTGGAGTAGCGGCCCCAGGACAGGTTGTCTGGGTGTAGCCTGCGATTCCCAAAGCGTAATCCTTGGACAACGCCCATGGGAAGCACCTGGTGCTGAATAAAAACAGATTCCTAGGCTCAAGATCTCTCTCCAGCCTCCATTCTGACCCCCTAACACCATCATCCCTACCCCAGCAGCCTGTGTCCCCAGCAAGCTGTTCCCTAAACACTGCATGAGCTCTCTGGTTACTGTGCCTTTGCTGGTGACCACCCTCTTTGTCCACCAACTGGGCTGACCTGTTACCTTCCTCACCTCAGTTTCCTGTGACTCTTCAACATCCCCCTCCCCAACAAAAACATGCACAAGGCTGGCCCCTCACCCTGGCAGAATCTATGCCTCCCTGCCCTGGCCTCATACAACACCCCTCCCCAGCCCCCTGTCCTGGCCCCATTCTTGTGCCTCTGGGTCTCGGCATGTTGTCTGTCCTCAGCCTCGCTCCCTCCCACCCAGCTGGAAATTCTAAGACAGCAGGTCCTAGCAGGGAGCCTGGCAGACAACATGCATCTCTGCATGGCCAGGCTGCCTCTGACTCTGTTTCTCGGAAAGGGCTGAAATCCTCTACTTCTAATGCTGCATCTTTTAAAGGGTTAACTTCATTCACATTTTATTTATTTATTTTTTAATGTAGGAAGACAGCTTCGCATGGGGCTAAGCACAGAGAACACCCAGGCCTCTGGCTGGTGTGACTTCTGTGACCCCTGGGCAAATGACCCTCCCTCTCTGTGCCTCAGTTCTCTCATCTGGAGATGGGGAGAATAACAGCACCTTATAGGGTTGTGGTGAGGAGAAAGTGAAGTGGTGCCTGTCAAATGTCAGCTTTCATCACTGTCGCTTCACGGGAGCCAAGACATGGCTGGTAACCCCCAGAATTCCCACAGGGACACAACTTTAGACATTATCTCATTTAATCCTCTAGATAAGCATAAGCATCAGAAACATTACTATCATTATTTAACAGTTGGCAAATCTAAGGAACAGAGAGGTCAAGTGACTTGTCCAAGGCCACACAGCCTACAAGAGGAAGAGCTGCGATTTGAACACGTTTGTGGTTGAGCACAAACTTTGACGTTACACAGATGTGACTTCAGATTCTGGCTCCGTTCCTCGCTAGCTTTATGATTAAGACAATGCATTTCACTTAACTGAGATGAACTGAGATCCGCCACAGGGGGTCCGTTAGCTCCAACTTGAGTGTAAATCCTGGCTCAACAATAGTTGCTTTCCACCACAATGAGCTACCTCCCAGCTGCAAGGCATGCGGAACTCAAGATGGCTCCCTTCTCATGGAAACCCTTGAGTCCTAGGGTTTTCCAAGCTTCCTTCCCAGAACCCTGGCCCCCTGGGCAAGAAGAAGGTAGGCCAGGAAGAACTGACTTCCCCTTTCTGAGCCCTGGCATCCTCATCTGTAGGATGCAGATAGCAGCAGTGCCCTCCTGACAGGGATGTGGTGTGGCTCTCACAAGGTGACCTCACAGTGCACTGAGTGAGACTCTGAAGGTGCAGGTGTAGAGACAGCCACCAGGCAGAAACATGCACTGTGCCTGGAGACACAGCTCACAGGTGCTGGGCTCTGCAAGGGGAGAAGGAAAGAGACGGGCAGGGAACAGACAGAAAGAAATGCAGGGAGAAAGCCAGAGAGTACGAGGGCCAGGGAGGAAGGGCTGCAGTGCTGGCTGAAAGTCCCTTTCAGGAGGGGACTCCAACACTGCACCACATCTGTATTTCTGTGAGTAAACCCCTCCTGATCCCTCACCTCACATGTTTAGGAAATGTCCCTCACTCACAAATGTTCAACCAGCTTGGAACGGAGGGGGCTTCTCCCTCTGCTTCCTGTTAAACTGGGTCATTCTCTTAAATCCTCCTTCCTCCCTAGGAGCCAGGGACAAACTCCATGTTTGGGGATCTTTTTCTTCCTCCCTTCCCTTCCCTTTCCCTCCCTCCTTCCTTCCTTCCTTCCTTCCCTCCTTCCCTCCTTCCTTCCTTCCTTCCCTCCTTCCTTCCCTCCTTCCCTCCTTCCTTCCCTCCTTCCCTCCTTCCTTCCTTCCTTCCCTCCTTCCCTCCTTCCTTCCTTCCTTCCCTCCTTCCTTCCCTCCTTCCCTCCTTCCTTCCCTGTTTCCCTCCTTCTTTCTCTCCCTCCTTCCTGGATCTTTTCTTCCTTCTCTGTCTTCCTTCCACCCTCCCTCCTTCCTTTTTTCCATCCCTCCCTTCTTCCTTTCATCCTTCCCTCCTTCCCTCCCTCCCTTCCTCCTTCCTTTTCCCCTCCTTTCCCTCCTTCCTTCCGTCCCTCCCTTCTTCCTTCCATTCTTCCCTCCCTCCCTTCGTCCTTCCTTCCCTCCTTTCCCTCCTTCCTTCCATCCCTCCCTTCTTCCTTCCATCTTTCCCTCCTTCCTTCCTCCCTTTAACAGGGAAGAGAGAAGAAAATGTATTGGCTTAATATTTTCAAAATATTCCTAGAAAATTTTCATCTCCATCTGACAGATGGGAGGGGCTCAGAGCTACACAGTGAGGACTGTGACCAGGTCGGCCTGTATTCTTAACTACAAAGCTCTCCTGCCTCCCTGGACATGACAGGTCAAAGTTGTTGACTCTAAAAGGCCATATAGGGCTAAAGCGGTGATGACATCCCCTCCCCCTCTCCAGATTCCCAGCCAGAACCTCAGAGTCCCCATGCTGCCCAGGCGCATGGCCACAGGGAAAGAGGATCTTGACAGAGTCACTCACTTCTTTGCCTTTAAAGGAAATGCCCAGTAAACAACCTTTCTGCTTTGAATCGAGCCCAGATGGTGGGATTTTAGGCACTCAAGAGGGGGATGTCTTCAGGCCAGGGTGCCGCTGAGAAGCCTCCCCAGTCACTGCCCAGGATGACAGCCTGCCCTTAAATGAACACGCCACCTTAAGTTAACCCACCACCTTCCCTCAGAACAGGACTGACGGGGCTTGGCCTCTTGGCCGGCTCCTGTTGTTCTGACAGAGACAGGTGGGACGGGGCGGGGCGGGGCGGGGGCAGGAGAGAAAGCAGATCTCCGACCCGGGTGAGTGTTTCCAGCAGGGTTTAGGCTGTAGTACACCTGCCTTGAATAGTTCCCTCAGCAAGGAGCTTTTCAGCCAAAATCAGGGGGACTTTTCCATCTGGACAACATCAGATTCTTGTCTAACTCAGACTCAATGTAAACGAGGTGGTGGGGAGTGGAAGGGAGCACTGGGTGATGGGTAATCTCCATCCCACCCCATCCCCAGCACCACGAGAGCACGTCCCCACATGGAGCCTCGGAGTCCCAGCTGTGTGGTGAGCCAGGTAGACCAGATGATCCAGAAGGACTCTTCCTAGCTCTCCCCATTAGGATGCCTGTGGCGTGAGGGGGGCGACCCCCTGTGTGCATGTGTGGGTGGTGAGGAAGGGATGTCTATCGCCTCCTGAGCACTGCAGTCAGAAAATCTGAGGCCTCAAAGAAGACTGGAACATGTAGGTTTGATAGGCCATCTGAAGAAAAACAACCATCAAAGATTTAGGAGCCAGGTTGCCCTGGGTTCAAATCCAACACTAAGACGCTGTGTGACCTTGGGCCATCCAGGTCTGAGCCTCAGTTTCCATGTCCCCCCATGGTTCACCCACACCTTCCAATGGGCAGGGCTCCGTTAGGACATGTGTGGGCCCTAGGCCATTTGTCTCTATGGCCCCTTATTCCAGAAAAAAATATTGATAACTATGAATGCATTGGTATAGAGACGAATATATCCAGAGTACATTATATTCATTTTTTCTTGTGATTTTACAGTAAATCAGAACATTTTTGTGGCCCCTGCAAGTCTGGTGGGTTCTAAGTGCTATACAGTGCCCAGGAGAACCTCTCTCCTGCTAAGTATTTATGGGGAAGCCTTGTCGAGATCAGCACTTCCCACAAAAGGATGGGGCTTGGAGGCTGGGAATTTCTGGGAGTGTGGATGGGGGCTGGATGAGGGCAGGAGTATCAGGAGCCTGCTGGTTTTGAGCTCAGTCAGATCCAGGAAGCCCGGCAGTCCGAGTTCCCAAGAAGCAAGAGTCTGACTCGGGCACATGTAGTGCCCCAGGACCTGGGGTCCTACACTTGCTGGGGTGACACCAGCTCACCCCATGTTATTTGCTGATAAACTCCCATGGGCCAGGCCTATAACACACCAAGTGCCTTGTATGTACAATCTCATTTAATGCAGGCAAGATTATTATCCCCATTTCCAAATGGAGAAACTGAGGCTTAGAAGGGGCTTACCTTCTCCTTCTAACTTATCTCCCGAGCTTCTCCTGGGGTCTGATAGAGCCATTGACTGGCCCCTGATCCATCCTCTGGGCCTTTGCACATGCCACCCCTGCTGCTGGGAACTCCCTCACTGCTGGAAGCTCCCTGCTGGGAATATCCCCCCTGCTGGGAACTCCCTCACTGGTCCCTTCCATACCCTCCTTCAAGGCCCAGGTCCAGCCCCACCTTCTCCAGGAAGGCTTCCCTGACTGCTTCTGCTCCTTGTGACCATCTTGTCCTTTGAAATCCCTGGACTTTTTCCAACAGTACATTTATTTAACCCAATAAATGTTTACTGTGCATCCACCCTGGGCCAGGCCCAGGGCATCTTGTTGGACTCAAGACACAAAGGCAACTCGGTCTAGGCTGGACTGGAAGGAGCTCCCGCCCTGTCCTGTTGTGGGAGACAGGCATCCATGGCTTGTGATGTGACAGTGCAGACAGTACAGTCCAGGACTTAGTGGCAGAGGACCCTGAGGCTGTTGACAAGAGGAGAGAGGGCCCCCCCACCCCACTTCTGAAGGGGTGGATGTTGGAGCTGGGGATGGAGGATTGGTCAGCATTTACCTGGCCTGGAGGAAGGGAAACCCAGGGAATGGTTCAGGCAAAGACCCAGCAGAGGAAGGGGCGTGGCTCTTTGTGAAGGCCACACTGGCCTTTATTCTGTTCTCAGATTCACTGAGCTCAAGCCTGCCCCAGCCCCTTTGCACTTGCTGTTCCTCCGCCTGAAAGGCCCTCCCTCCAGAGCCTCCCGTGGCTGGAGCCTGCTCCTGGTCCAGCTTGCATCTCCTCAGAGAGGCCTTCCCCGGCCACCCGCTCCAGCACCTCTCCTGCCCCGCATCCCTCTCTGGCCACCCCTCTGCTTGATTTCTTCTTAGCACACATCACTCTGTGAAATTGTTTCTTTATTTGCTGGTTTCACCTGCCTCCCCACTAGAATGTCAACTCCATGGGGCAACAGGGACCTTGCCCGTTCACTGTGGTGCCACCTGGAACAGATAATGGCACAGGGTAGATGCTCCATCGATATTTATGGCAGAAGGAAAGAGGAAAGGAGGGGGAAGGGAGGGGAGGTGGCAGGGAAGGAGGGGAGGAGAGGAAGGGAGGAAGGAAGCGGTGAATGAAGGTAATGCATCCGATAGGATTTGGAAGATAACCTAAGTATACTCAATCTGGTAATCTGAAGAGTTATTTTCAAAGGGGTGGGCAGAGTGTAGGGAAATCAGCATGGCATAGTACAAGCCCAGAGCTGGGCAGTGGGGAAGCTGGTCATGCCCCGGGCTGCAGGCAGTGTTGCCTGGGCGGAAGCCAGCCCACAGAGGCCCTATAGGGACGCAGCTGCAGCAACGGTGCCGTGGCCCCTGCCACACTCTTGTCATCTGGACCCAGCTAGAAGTCACCATGCAATGGAGCTACTATAGAGGCCATGGAGGTTGGCTTCCAGGGGCTCAGGTCAGGGAGCTGAGTGGAAAGTGAGTCCAGAGCCACACAGGGAGAGTAGAGGTCAAGGAGGTCATCTGCAGAGACCATAGGGCCCGAACTCTGTTGTTCTGCTAGAACCCAGCTCAGGACTGCACCAGGACTGGGGACACCTCCCTCCCTCCCTGTCCATCAGGGCTCTGATGTTGGTGGGAAACAGTTGTTTCGGCGGGTCCTATCTAGCTTCAGCATTGTTAAGATGTCACTGAGTGTCATCTGAAAATAGAAGGTGCCTGGGCCTGCCATGGAAACACTATTGCAGGAGGAGGCGTGGCCTTCTGCGCCCGCCTGTGGGTGAAAGCGGCTTTCGTCTGAATGCCTGTTCGGCCACCAAGATAGAGTGAGCGTCTTCCAAGAGCACCCACATGCCAGGCACTGGGTTAAGCTCATTCCAGACATCATCATGTTATTTTATTCTCACAGCAACTCTCTGTGGGTGGCCTCTTCTTCTCCCTGTTTTATAGATGGGCAGCTGAGGGTCAGGTGGTAGTAACTGCTCAAGACCACATCCAATAGGTGATGGGGCTGGTATTTGGATCTGATGCCAGAAGCAGGTTTCATGAGTTCTCAACGGAGAGAATGTCCAGGAAACCAATCAACTTAAGAACCATTCCATCCATCCATCCATCCATCCATCCATCCATCCAGTGCAATAATCAGTTATAAGAAGAGCCAATGTTTTTCGAGTGGTTACTGTGTGCCCAGCCCTGTGCTGAGGCTTTCTCACACACTCTCTCAGCTAATCTTTATAATAACATTGGAAAGTAGGTACAGTTCCTACCTCCACTTTATTAGTTGTGAAACTGAAGCTCAGAGAGCCCAAGCAGCTTGCCCAAGGCCACACAGCAAGGAAGAGGTAGGACAGGCACTTGAGGCCAGAGCTCCTCACACTCACCAGCCAGGCCCTGTGCCAGTCGGTGTCAATTCACATGTGAATGAGGTCTAGGCCTTTCCCTAGAGGTGTTCCTTGTGGAGGGAGGTGACCTTGAGGAGAATTTGGTGGCCTTTTTCTTGGAAAGGTGTTTCAGAAAACCCTACCTACCCCTTTTGACAAACTTCCAAAGATGCTAAGCCAAGTGGCGATGTCTACAGAGAGGTGGAGTGTCCCAGCCCAGCTCTGTTGGCCCCACCTTCCTGCACTGGTGCAGTGGGGCAGCCCCTCCTACCTCTCCGAGTGCCTCACCTTCCCCTTAATGGGGAGAGGGTGCCTCTGGGCGATGGTGCTACAGACGGGAGCCCGGCCTTGCTGCAGCTTCCCAAGGACAGCAGATGGAAGAGGCCATTTCCTTCCCTCCCCAGCTGTCAGGAACTGAACTGTGTCATCCCCAAATTTACACGTTGGAGTCCTAACCCCCAGTATCCCTAAATGGGACCTTATTTGGAGATAGGTTCTTCACAGAGGCCATCAAATTAAAATGAGGTCTTTAGGGTGGGCTATACTCCAATATGACTGGTGTCCTTATAAAAACACAAAATGCGGACACAGAGAGACAGACACAGGGAGATGTGAAGATAAAGGCCAAGATCGGGTGACATGCCCACAAGCCAAGGAACACCAAGTGCCTGCAAACCGCCAGAAGCTCAGGGAGAGGCAGGGAACAGGTCCTGCCTCACAGCCTCAGAAGGAACCAATCCTGGCAGCACCCCGATCCCGGACTTCTGGCCTCCAGAGCAGTGAGACAATGCACTTGTGCAGTTTAGGGCCCCCAGCGTGTCACATGTTGCTACAGCAGCCCTCATAAACTTGTGCTTCTCCGCAAGCACTCAGCAGGAGAGAGCTGCCTTCTCTGCGAGGGGCAGGCCTTCTTTGCCAGCAATCTGGGTTTTCCCACCCCATTTCTGAATGTTCCCTGGCAGACCACAGGAGAAAAGGAGGTCCCAGAGAGAGCAAGTCTTCCAGGCCAGACAGAGGCTGTGGCAGTCCCCAGCATCCTCATTCAGTCCTCATTCAGTCTTCCTGCCAACCTTAGAGGGGTTCCCATTTTACAGATGGGAAAACAGGAAGAGAGGTCTTTGTCTAGGGTGTGGCAGAGCTGGGATTCAGATCCAATTCCCTCTTATTCCGAGCCAAAGATAGAACCACCATGCTCTCCTGTTTTCCAGGGGGCATGACAGTGGCAATCCAGGCAGAGCTGTCCTTGTTCCCTGGGAAGTTGCCCACAGCTTGTGTACTGAGTCCTCCTAAAGCCCTCCCGGAGCCAGGTACTGCCTGAGAAAAGCCACCAGCTGCCATCAGCGTAGCAGGGCCCACTAGGCTGAGACTGGCTGCCTGCCTCATCCCTGGATTTCACTTCCTGCAAAGCCCCTGGGCCACAAGCGACATGCCCCTATTCCTCTGCAGAGAGAGAGGTCTTAAGAGAAATGGTGTGTCTTCAGTGGGCTCTGCACCCTTTATTTCTCCCAATCTGCTCTTGCCAGCTCCTTCCCCAAACTCAGCCCCAGTTGGGTAGTCAGCCACCAAGTCTGATGTCCATAGAGCTGGGTTCAAATCCTGTTTTTGCTTCTGCTAGCTGGGTGGCCCTGGCTAAGTCATTGTCACTCTGAGTCCTCATTACCTTATTGGTACGACAGGGGTAATTAGAGTACCCACTTTACAGGGCCATTGAGGGGAGCAAATGAAAGGAGGATGCACTATTGCGCTTAGCACCGCACATCATGTCCTCATCTGTACAGCGGGGATGGAAATCCTCACCTCCAAGAGCTGTTGGAAGACTTGAATGAGGAAACGCATATGTTGCTGCCTGGTCACTGGTTGGAATTTACGAACAAACCAGGAGTATCTCCTGCTGCCAAGCTGCTCCCCAGCTTTCACAGAGCGGATCAAATGAAACAATGCAGGTGAAAGCTCCCAGCACATGGCAGGTGCTCAGCCAGCGTCTGAGCCTGAACAAACAAGTTGAGTGTTTGCCTAAGACCGTGTGTATCAATGTGAGCGCTGCTCGTGTTGGTTCACCCACCCATGCTGCTTAGCGTGCATTTACTCAGGCAATCGATTAGGAAAGGGATCTTATCTCTCAGGAATGGTGAGGGGCCTCCCAGGCCGTGTCTTGCAGGGGCAAGACCTACCTGGCAGCAGCAGTCCCGATACAAACCTCAAAGGAGCCCTTTGGCATGGTTCTGGGCTGGGTATACGAAGCTTGTGGTGTTTTCTTTGCTTGTTTATTTGGCTTATAACCTTCTGGGATGTTCATCTGCTGGCTCTGTTCCCCCCACTCCACCCTGTGCATGATGGGAGGGGACGGGGAGGAGGTTGTCATCAGCTCATCTTTGTCCCCACTTCTCCAGAATCTCCTTGGGAGGGTAGCTGGTCTCCTGTCTGATGGGATCTGGGAGTCGGAAGTTTCCTTAGTTGGTAGATGGGGATACTGAGGTCCAAGAAAGGCAATCAAAGCTAATGAGAAACCAAGGCAGCATGCAAGCCCAGGGCTTCTGATCCCACATGAGGGAACATGGCTGGACAGAAAGAAGGGCTTACTGACTGATCCCAGGCAAAATTTGAACAGAGACCTCTAGGAGAGTTGCAGTAGGATACCTTTGTGGTTGGAGACAGTTTTCTTACTGAGGCTTAGCATACTAGGAAAACCAAAGCTGGGAGAAGAGGCAACTTGCCTAGGGTCCCAGAGCCACTGGGCTGTGGTAGCAGAGTCTTGGAAGGCAGGTCTCTCCTGGACAGCACCTGGGGGTGTGGGCTTGCCTGGGATGTGCTGCTGCTGGGGGTGGCCTATGCTGGCCGGGGGCTCTCCTTTCTGTTCCCCAAATGGTCAAGTGCGGGCATGTGTGCTTGGCTGGTGGAGTCCGGGTGGCTTGGCCTCACTCCCAGGTTCACCTGGCATTGGGTCCCCACAGCCAGCCCCTTCCCAGTGGTCTTTGATGCTGTTCCTGGAGCCCCCTTGCTTGCTTTTGAACCCATCCCTTTTCTTTCCAGTTCCATGGACCAAACCATGACCTGAAGTCCACCCTCTGCCCTGTCAATGCTGGCAGGAGATCACCACCATTTTGTCAGTGTGAGCACTGCCAACCCTCCCCTGGTTCTTGCTGCTTGTGATGTAAATCCATTTTAACCAGCTCATAGCAGACCTGCAGAGGGTGCACTGACTTCTTCTCTGCCCCAAGGGCAGAAGACTGTGAAGGTAGCTAACACAGTGCTTGGCACAAGTGAGTGCTCAATAGCCATCTGGCCTCTGCCACCCTTTATGTCTTCCTCTCCTGCCTTTCTCTCCTGGGCTCCCTGGGCTTCCGCCTCACTGGCCTCCCCACTGTTGCTAGGCAGCACCAAGCTTGTTCCTACCCCAGGGCCTTTGCATTGTGTTTCCTCAGGCTGATACACACTTCCAAGCTCAGCTCTTCAAGTTTGCTGTCTCCTTCTTGTCACTTAGGGCTCAACTCAAATGTCACCTACTCAAATCACCTTCCCTGACCTCCCAGACTAAGGTCACAGCCGCCAGCCCTGGTGGCTCTCTATCATATCACCCTGTTTTATTTTCTTCATGGCATTTATTACTTTCGGAAATTATTAATGTTTAGAATCTCTTTCCTCCCCCTATATGTTTAACTCCAATATGACGGAGTCCTTGACTCTCACATCTACTGCTATGACCCCATACGAGGAACCATGCATGGTATGCCGGAGGCAATCTCTAAATATTCACTGGGCACACAAATGAGCAAATGCAGAAGTTCTGAGTGTACAGTGTCAAGTCTGAAGTAGCTGGCCTTGCTAGCAAGACGTTTCTTTGAAATCTTATGGTTTATCTTTAAACGTCACATGAATTTTGCACGGTCATGCATTATCTCCATGTTTGTTTCAATTTTTAGAAATGGGTTTTTGCCTCCATAAAGATGAGTAAAACGAAGCCTCTTGGAGGGTGCATTTCACTTCTCCTGTAGCCTTGTAAGCTCTTGCACTATGTTGGAGAATCACAGATCTGGCCCGCATGCTGGCAAAGTGCACAGACTCTATGCATGACACGTTATAGGGAAACGGTCTCTCCTGCCCACTGCCCATGGGGTGTAGACTGAACCAACCATTTAGGAGAGCAATTCGGCATATCCAATAAAATGGAAAATGTACATATTCAAAAACCATAGTAGACTGCAAAAAATGGCCCCAATTCCTCCCCTCCCTGTGTTCATACCCTTTGCAATGTGACTTGCCACTCTTCCTATCAAGAAGTGAGTTTTCCAGTCTGAGCAATAATGAGACTTCCATTCTACAAAAAAATTTACAAATTAGCCAAGCGTGGTGGTGAACACCTGTAGTCCCAGCTACTCAGGAGGTTGGGGTGGGAGGATCACTTGAGCCCAGGAGGCAGACTGTAGTGGATTTTATTTTCCCATCTGTTGAATCTGTGGGGTCTCCTGATCTGCTTTGGCTGATAGAATGGAGCATGAGTGATGGTGAGCCAGTTCTAAGCCCAGACTTCAAGAAGCCCTGAGTAATTCCACTCTCTCTCAGGCCCCTGTCCCCACCACGGGAATGAACCCAAGCCAGTCTGATTGAGGAAGAGAGGCCACATAAAGCAGAGATGAGTTTCCCAGCTAAGACCATCCAAGACCAGCCAGCCCCCAGCTGACCCGCCAGCCAGCCCTGAACACATAAGTAACACTCAGCTGTGATCAGTTAAGCTGAGGTCAGATCAGCAGAACTACCCAACCAACAACCAGTTGACTGATGAGAATAAACGATTGTTGTTTTAAGCCATTAAATCTTGAGTTGTTTGTTACACAGTATTGTTGTGGCAATAGATAACTGATACAAAACCTTGATGGTTCCACTCCTTGGAATCTGCCTTGAGAAACACACACATATCAGCAAAGAAAGCAAGGACAAGGATGTTTGTTGCACCACTGCAACAACAAAACACCACGAGCAAACCTAAGTATCCAGCAGTAGGAAAATTGATTCATAAACTATGATTCATCCTTACAATGGAATTCTAACCAACAAAAAGAACAAGGCAGATCAACATGTACTGACATGGCAAGACCTCTAAGAGAGTTTGATGATTGGGAAAAGCAAGCTGAAGAATGATTTGTACAGCATTTTATCATGCATGTAAGAACACACCCATAAAAACATATACTGGATATTTGTGATGGGGGGGACATGTCTGCAAATATAAAGAAGGGGCTGGGCGTGGTAGCTCACGCCTGTAATCCCAGCATGTTGGAAGGCTGAATCAGGCAGATCGCTTGAGCTCAGGAGTTCAAGACTAGCCTGGGCAACATGGCAAAACCCTGTCTCCACAAAAAAAAAAAATTAAATTAGTTGGACATGGGGCACGCATCTGTGGTCCCAACTGCTTGGGAGGCTGAGGTGGGAGGATCACTTGAGCCTGGGAGCTGGAAGTTGCAGTGAGCTGTGATCGCACCACTGCACTCCAGCTTAGGCCATAAAGCAAGACCTTGTCTCAAAAAACTAAAAATAAAGAAGGATCTCTGAGAAGAAACAAGGGGTTATAAAGGGATCCCTCAGTGCATTCATGGGAGTCTCAAGTCTTACATAAGACATTTTTCCTATTCTTGCAAGATGAATACATTTATGTATATTACTCATGTAATAAACCATTCCAGTTTTAAAAGTTAGGTTAGGAGAGGTAGGGATAATGGCACATGATCCTCTAATCCCCTCCCAAATTTCCAAGGTCTTCTCATGGGAGTGTCAAGGCCTTGGTTCAAGACTCCCCACATTTCATTTTCAAAATCCCATATGAGATGCAAGCCTGTGAAAAGATACTTAACATTATTAATCACCGGAGAAATGCAAATTGAAACCACAGTAAGATACCTACTAACCCCTACTAACAACATGGCTAAAATTTAAAAGATTTCCAATATCAAGTGATGGCAAGGATATGGAGTAACTAGAACTCTTAGACATTGCTGATGGGAGTGTAAAATGTACAGCCTCTTTGGGAAAAGACTGGAAGTTCCTTATAAAACTAAACATACATTTATAATATGCACTAATAACTCCACTGATATTTACTCTCCTGGTATTTACTCAAGAGAAATGAGAGCATATGTTCACCCAAAGACTGGAAACAACCTAAAATGGTTATTAGTAAATGAATGAGTAAATTAATTGTGTCGTGTCCACATAAATGCAATACAACTTGGCACTAAAAAGGAATGGACCCGGCCGGGTGTGATGGCTCACGCCTGTTATCTCAGCACTTTGGGAGGCCCGGGGGGGGTGGATCACTTGAGGTTGGGAGTTCGAGACCAGCCTGGCCAATATGGTGAAACCCTATCTCTACTAAGAATACAAAAATTAACCGCGTGTAGGGGTGCACGCCTGTCATCCCAGCTACTAAAAATACAAAAATTAGCCAGGCGTGGTGGTGGGTCCCTATAATCCCAGCGACTCGGGAGGCTGAGGCAGGAGAATTGCTTGAACCTGGGAGGCGGAGGTTGCAGTGAGTCGAGATCGCGCCACTGCACTCCAGACTGGGCGACAAAGCAAGACTCCATCTCGAAAGAAAAAAAAAAAAAGGAATGGACCTGTGATTCACTCAGCAATGTAGGTGAATCTCAGAAACATTTCGTGGCATGAAAATAGCCTGATGCCAAAGAGTCCATCCTAGGTGATTTCATCCATATAAAATTTTAGAAAAGGTGAAACCAACACATAGTGACAGAAGGCAGATTAGTGATTAGTTAGGGCAGAGTGGGTATTGACAGATGGGGCAAGAGGAAATGTTATTGGAGAGATTCTAAATCTTGATGGGGGGGGGTGATGATTTTTTGGTTTTGTGGGTTTTGTAGGTTTTTAGTAGGTTTATCCAAACTGTGAATTTTATTGTACGTGGATTATATCTCAATAAAGCTGAGAGCGTGCAAAAGACTTTATTCCTTCCAGCCAGGTCCATGGGTCCCAGCACTGCTGCCTCCTTAACTGGTTGCAAAACAGAAACCGGCACTCTCTCTCCTCTCTCCTTTCTCAGGTTCCTGGGCCAGTCTCCCAAGACAGTGAGTAATTAGCCGCGAAAGAGTCTTGGATGTGAAGCCAAAAACAACAGCAGTGTCACATCAGATGCTGAGACATCTCCAGCTAAGAGCTGAGCTCAGCCCCCACCCGCCCCCTCCACCCCCCAGCCGCAGCCACCAGCAGAAGGAAAACAGCCCCGTGCGGCTGAGTTCAACCAGGGCTGCCTTTCTCCACCGTGTCCGCCATTCTGGTCTCGTGCCGCAGCAGGCATTGCTAGATGATTGCCGTCATGGCTCATACTAACAATAAATAGGTCCTCCCGGGGACCCACCACCCAAACTCCTTGTGCCGGGAACAGCTACTAAAGGGGAGGCCCTTTCCATATTCCGCTTCATTCTCCCCTCCTGGCGTGCCTCAAGGAACGACCACTGTCCCCAGGTTACAGGTGAGGAAGCCGAGGCTCTGAAATATGACTGCGCCAAGTGGCCAGAATCTCGAGCAGCCTGACTGCCTCCCGCCCCAGCCCCTGGAGGCCTCGAGTCCTCCTTTACAGAAATGCCTCCCACCCCCAGCCCAGTTCATTCCAGCAGCCTCCGAGCTCCCCCTTCTCCATCCCTCCCTGCGGTCTGAGCCCTGCCTTCCGAGCCCTGCCTTCCCAGTGTGGAAGGGGAACTGGGTGGGGTAAGGCACCTCTGTTTTCTCACGAAAAAGTCCCTCTCTAGGGCGGAGGCCCTTGAAGAAGAAGGAAAGGCTGTGGGGATTGATGGGCCCCTGGAGGACTGTCATGGGGGGTGGGTGTCTGCAAGTCCAGAGGCACATCCTGCCCCCTTTCAGGGGCCTCTGGTGTGGGGTCTGGAAGTGAGTGGCTGGTGCAGGCTGTGGTCTTCCTGCTAAGCCACTAGGGCTGCTGGGGCCATAGCCTCCAGAGCCTGCTCACAACTGGTCTACTCAGCCTCCAGTCCAAGCCGCTGAGCACAGATCTCAGGGCCCTGCACGTTCTGGGCCGTGCCTCCTGACATCTGAGATGAGAACGAGCCCTCCAGGAGGTCCCATATGATGTGCCCCTGTGACCTGCATTGTCTGGAGGCAGTAGACCCAGTAGTTGGTGACCAGGAGTGAAAATCTGAACAGTCTCCTGTGTGTCCCTGGGCAACTTGCTCAACCTCACTGATCTCTGAAAATGGGCACGATAATAGGACCTGGGTGGTTGAGAGTACACCACAGGACCACATGTGCCTTTCTTGGCCCACACTGGTCCTTCTGCCTGGAATTATTTTCCACTTGTCAGGTGCTTCTTCACCCCAACAAGGCTCAATCAAGTGTGTTCTTCTCTGGGAAGCTGCAGACATCTGACCCCAGGCCACAGAGTCATACCCAGTCTGGCTCCCACAGCCCTCCCAGGCTGTCTGGTGTCAGTGCAGTGCTGTGGATGGGAACACACCTCTACCATGTTGAGCTGCTCTGAGGTTTAAATGCGTTACTGCTAATTGGGATCTTGGAACAACTCCTGGTGCATAGTGAGTACTCAAGAAAATGTGATGTCTCTTTATTCTCTTAGCAACTTTTGTCCTGGGTGAAAGTTGTCTGCCCTCCTCACCGGCCTGCAGGCTCTTCTAGGGCAGGATGGGGCTTGGTTCCTGTCTGCATCTGGTGAATCCCCTGACACACATTAGGTATCCTTACTCAAGGGAAGAGGGGCTTGCCTTTGGGACGGGGATGATGAAACTCAGCAGCCTTTGCAGGGTTTGTGATTTAGCCTGTGTCATTTTTGTGTGTCAGCGTAACTCTGGCTTGGCTTAGCTCTGTCAAACTCTGTGGGATAAGAAGAGCAGAGCATGAACCTGAAAACACACCCCAACCCCAAATTATTTCTGTTTCCAGGACACACACAGGACAGACTGGAATAAATACTGGTGGTTTATCACAGGAAGGCTGGCCTCAGCTTGGGAGAGTAAGCGTGCATGCATACACAGCCAGCTGATTTATTGTGACCCGAGCCAAGCACTGAACAGAGCGAGGCCATTTATCTACTTGGTTGGAGGAGAGGTCAAGAGAGAGAAGTCAGAGATTAAGCTAAATAGTTCAGTGCCTTTGTTAACTCCCGGGGCGTCTCCTCTGCGCGGCTTGTGTTCCCAGGGAATACTGTCATGAGCTCCACAGGGAAGACTGGACTCCTTCTTGGGGAGACAGCCCTGGCCCCAGGGAGCAGCGTGGCCAAGGACATTCTCAGCCTCTTGGGGTTGCCAAAAGGGAGCAGAAGCAGGAGGAGGGAGGGGGGGAGCTGGGAGGAACACCCCATCGTGGAAGACCTGCTGCCAATGCGGGGCTGCAGTCCCAGTCTCTGCCGCCACCAGACCCTGGTCAGGAGACATCACAGACAGGCTCCCTTCTCCCGCCTTCATTCAGGGCTCTGCTCAAACAGCCCATTTGCAATAGGACTTCCTGCAGTGTCCTAGTTAAATACCCCAACCCATGCCCCCATCGTACGCTATCCCTTCCCCTGCTTTATGTTTCTTCATGGTGCTCAGCACCCTGACATATCTATGTCTGTATTTGTTTACTTATTGTTGGGTCTGTTTTTGAATGAAGTGCTATGTCTGTGGTGTAAAGTCCAACATGTGGCAGATTCTAGGTGCTCAATAAATATCTATTCAGTGAATGACGAATTGTTGCTAATAGTTTACAACTGCTGAATATGTGCCTAGATAAGCTTTGTAGATCTCACTGTATATAACACCTCAACAGTACCATGCTGTACATACTGTCCTTAGGCTCAGAGAGGCGAAGTGGCTTGCCCATGGCCACACAGCTGGAACCAGATTCAAACTCACCTGGCATCAGGGCCTGAGCTCTCAGCCACTCTCCCAAGAGAGGACATGGCCATGGACTTGTTTAGAGAAGGATTAGTCACGCCCCAGCCCAAGGCATCCTAGGAAAGGGGAACCTTGATCTGAAAAGAAATACTTTTTGCCTTCTCCCTGCCTTCATTCAGGGCTCTGATTCATTGCAAGAAGGCAAAAAAGAAAATTCTTTTTTAACAGTGAGATGACTTGGATGATTAAAGAGGAAGCTAAATATCCTAAATATTGAAAGCAAATTCCAGCCAGGCGCAGTGGCTCATGCCTGTAATCCAGCACTTTGGGAGGCTGAGGCGGGCGGATCATGAGGTCAGGAGAACGAGACCAGCCTGAAACCCCGTCTCTACTAAAAATACAAAAATTAGCTGGGCATGGTGGCACACGCCTGTAGTCCCAGCTACTCGGGAGGCTGAGGCAGGAAAATCTGGGAGGCGGAGGTTGCAGTGAGCCGAGATCGCGCCACTGCACTCCAGCCTGGCGACAGAGCGTGACTCCATCTCAAAAAAAAGAAAGAAAGCAAATTCCACCTAAAATGGAATTACCACTGTTTATTGAAAACCGCTGTGTGCCAGGCATCAGCCAAGAGCTTCCCGTCCATGACCCTGTTTAATCTTCCTGATAACCCCCAGCAGCACATTCTGTTATTATCACCATTG
The DNA here is from genome assembly GCF_000001405.40 of Homo sapiens. Taxonomy (NCBI): domain Eukaryota; kingdom Metazoa; phylum Chordata; class Mammalia; order Primates; family Hominidae; genus Homo; species Homo sapiens. Next base: position 172,555,869 of record NC_000005.10, on the reverse strand, counting down.
TAATAATAGCATGGCAGAGGAAGGCCTAGTTGTTTTCCTAGGGTCGCTGTATTAGTCAGGGTTCTCTAGAGGGACAGAACTAATGGAATAGATATACATATAAAGGGGAGTTTATTACGTATTAACTCACGTGATCATAAGGTCCCACAATAGGCCGTCTGCAGGCTGAGAGCCAGTCCGAGTTCCAAAACTGAAGAACTTGGAGTCCGGTGTTCGAGGGCAGGAAGCATCCAGCATGGGAGAAAGATACAGGCTGGGAGGCTAGGCCAGTCTCTCTTTTCGCATTTTTTTGCCTGCTTATATTCTAGCCGTGCTAGCAGCTGATTAGATGGTGCCCACCCAGATAAAGAGTGGGTCTGCTTTTTCCAGCCCACTGACTCCAATGTTAATCTCCTTTGGCAACACCCTCACAGACACACCGAGGATCAATACTTTGTATTCTTCAATCCAGTCAAGTTGACACTCAGTATTAACCATCACAGCCAGTAAGTTAGTGAGCAGCCCATCTCATTCCAGAGCCTGGGTCATCTCCTCTTTAACCTGCTGCTTTCATGCCTCATTGTATTAGACATAAAGTTGTAAGCTCCCAAATTGTACCATGCATTTGGCAAGGGGAGAGTCGGGGTCTGGCTTATCTTTTTATTCTCAGTGCAACGCTGGCTATAGGTGGGTGCTCGGTGAGGGTTTGCCGACTGGCTGGATGAATGAATGGAGGAGGGATGTGAGTGAAAAGGGGAGTGGTTTTCAAGTTAATCTGAAGACATCGTCTCTAGAACACTGAGGCCTAGATCCCTAGAACACTCTCAAGAACACTGCCTCAGAAGCCCACATGCGGCTCGTTAAGTGTTCAGATTCCTGGACTCCAAGGCAGCCTCTGGTCAGAAGACCTGAAGCCTAGAAAACTGCATTGCCAGGAGATTCTGATGTTCACCGAAGTTCGAGACCTGCAGCCTGAAGCTCAGCTCAAATATCCCCACTGAACTGGGGCCCCTTTCACACACTGGAGCCCCTGGATGCTGCCAATTGGCATCTGCCGGCTGCATAAACGAAGGCCGGCTGGAGGCGGTCCAGGGAAAAGTGAGAGAGATTACCAAGGGTGAGGAAGATGACTTATTAGGAAAGATGGAAGGAACCGACGGGCAGCGTTTGCATGAGGAAAAACAGGAGCCACACGTAAATCTTGAGGGCCAGCTGGCAGCCGATGGGGGAGAGGTATTATACATCCTTGCTCACAGGCATTACCGGGCCTAATGGGGGCAGGGATTATACGTGAGAAACTTGAACTCTGTGCCGGGGAGACATTTATAACGGGCGACTTAAGCTGCTAGCCCATTATGATTTTGCAACAAGATTCATCAACTCTGGACCTGGAAGACCTTTACGGAACATCTCATCCATTTGTATTCAAGCTTTTAAAAGGTTGTTAGAAGCAACAGATTTCTTTGTTCAAATGAAATTTTTTACATGATCCAAACATATAAGACAAATGAAAATGAAAATGCTCAGTCCACCACTCCCCCGGGGCATCTCCACAGAATTCCAGGGCCCCAAGGGACCCAGTGTGAGAGCCACTGACCCTCATTGGTGGATCCTCATTTTGGTCCTCATTTTGCATAAGGAGAAACTGAGTCTCCAAATAGAGAGATAGGACTTGCCCCAGGGCACACAGTGAGTTGGTAGCATTACCAGGAGCAGCCTGGGCTGCTGAGGGCTCAGGGTGGACAGATAAGTCTCCTGCCTTGGAGGAGGGCCCAGGCAAATCGCGGAAACAACAGCAGTAAAAACAGCGAACACACACAGAGCACTTTCTCTGTGCTGGGCTCTGTTTTCAGTCCTTGATTTGCATGATGTGGCTTCATCCTCACTACAGCCCTGTGGTGACTCCTGTTTTTAGGGTGAGGAAACAAAGCACAGAGAGATTGAACACTGTAAATGAGGTCACACAACTAAAAGGAGTAGAGAGGGAACCGGAAACAAGACCGAGGGGCTCCAGAACACATCCTTTCCTTACCCCTCCAGACTGCTACCCCCAAGAGCACAGAGGTTCTAAGTTGGAGTTGCTCTTGCCTGCTTCACATCATCCTCCCCAGAGAAGCCAGACTGTTGTTTTTAAAACACAAATCTGGCTGGGCGCGGTGGCTCACGCCTGTAATCCCAGCATTTTGGGAGGCCGAGGCCGGTGGATCACCTGAGGTCAGGAGTTCGAGACCAGCCTGGCCAACATGGTGAAACCCCGTCTCTACTAAAAATACAGAAAATTAGCCAGGTGTGGTGGTGTGCACCTGTAATCCCAGCTACTCAGGAGGCTGAGGCAGGAGAATCACTTGGACCCGGAAGGTGGAGGTTGTAGTCAGCCAAGATCGTGCCCTTGTACTCCAGCCTGGGCAACAAGAGCAAAACTCCATCTCAAAAATAAAAAAATAAAAACAAAACCACAAATATGATATGGAGCCCCTCTCCTGCTCAAGCACCTTCAGTGGCTCCCCACTGCCCCTTAAGATACCTCTCCAGCCTCATGTCAATGTACTGCCCCACTCCTTTCTGGATTCCAGCCACAGCAGCCTTCCTGGTTCTTTCCAGCCTCCCCACCTTTGTATATATACAACAGTGGTCTCCACATTTTGTTGACAAGCACCACATTCATAGAATTATTTTCAGCACACCTCCAATACTGGTACACTTTTTATCATCAAAAGTAGCTACCTGTACTTCTGTGCTAACATGTTGCATACATTTAAAGTATACTTCAATAGTTGAAATGAATGAAAGGCAAGATGAAAAATAGACATATAAGGCAAATGAAAATGAAAATGCTCAGTCCACCACTCCCCCTGGGGCATCTCCACAGAATTCCAGGGTCCCAAGGAACCCAGTGTGAGAACCACTGATCCTCATTGGTGGATCCTCATTTTGATCCTTTTATTGAATGTTTATCAAGATTTTTAAAAATTTAGTGATTTCTTCCTGTACCCCAGGGAATTACCTTGCACATTCCCCGGGGTGCCCATGGTCACATTCGAGGCTCCTGGTCTGTGCTATCCCTAGGCTGGGGCACCTGTCTGAAGCCACTGCTTCCGACCTTGGTAACCATCATTCTTCCTTCAGATCCAGGCGGTCACCTCGCTTCTTCCAAGAAGCCTCCTCTGCTCCAGGGCACCCTGAGTATCTTCCAGCCCTGGTCTCTCTCGTAATCATTTAATGGAGTCTTTTAAATCAATTGTTGCATCTGTCCCCCTGTCCAGACTGTGTGTGCCCTCCAGGAGGACGAGGCTGGGGGTGGTTTTATGTGTGACCCAGCACCCATCAACCAGGAGCTAACACCATTTGTTGACTGATTAGGCGACTAGCACAGGGCTTGGTACCTCATGGGTGATCTAAACTCTAGTCCAGTGGTTTTCACACTTGAGCAGGCAGCAGAATCACCAGGGGTTCCTTACAACACAGACTGCCAGGTCCCTCCCCAGGGTTTCTGATTCAGTAGGTGTTATGGGCTGAATTGCATCCCCCCAAAAAAAATTCGCATGTTGAAGCCCTAACCTCCAGTACCTCAGCATGTGATTGTATTTGGACATAGGGCCTTTAAAGAAGTAAATGAGGTAAACTGAAGTCGCTGGGGTGGGCCCTAATCCAATATGACTGGTGTTGTTATAAGAAGAGGAGATCAGGACACAGTGAGCCACAAGACACAGAAGGATGACCACCTGAGACACAGCAGGAAGGTGGCCATCTGCAGGCCAAGCAGAGAGGCCTCAGAAGAAACCAACCCGGGCTGGGTGCGGTGGCTCATGCCTGTAATCCCAGCACTCTGGAAGGCCAAGATGGGTGGATCATGAGGTCAGGATATCGAGACCATCCTGACCAATATGGTGAAACCCCGTCTCTACTAAAATACAAAAAAAAATTAGCCGGGCATGGTGGTGCACGCCTGTAGTCCCAGCTACTCGGGAGGCTGAGGCAGGGGAATCACTTGAACCCGGGAGGTGGAGGTTGTAGTGAGCCAGGATAGTGCCACTACACTCCAGCCTGGTGACAGAGCAAGATTCTGTCTCAGGAAGAAAGAAAGAAAGAAAGAGAGAGAGAGAGAGAGAGAGAGAGAGAGAGAGAGAGAAGAAAAGAAAGAGGAAGGAAGGAAGGAAGGAAGGAAGGAAGGAAGGAAAGGAAGGAAGGAAGGAAGGAAGGAAGGAAGGAAGGCAGGCAAGCAAGCTGGGCAGCACCTTGGTCTCATACTTTTAACCTCCAGAACGAAGAGAAAAGAAGTCTCTGTTGTTTAAGCCACCCAAACTACGGGACTTTGTTATGGCAGCCCTAGCAAATTATTACAGTGGGTCTGGCATGGGGGCTGGAATGTTGCATTTCTGACAAGCATGTGAATGACACTGATGCCGCTGGTGCAGGGACCACACTCTGAGAACCGCTGCTCTGGCCTCTGAGTGATGGGGAAGAAGGGGCTGAAGAATGAGGGAAGCCTGGAGGGGTAGAGGGGAAGGTTGCTGGCCAAGAATGCTGCCCTGGCATTTCCTGGGCTCCAGGGAGCAAGCGCTCCCCTGCGGGAGTGAGCCCTGGTATCGGCCGAGGTGTTCTGAGCTGTTACTCACTCTCCCTGCTCTTGGCTGGGGACCCTGGGAAGGAAGGGCTGGGAGTCGGGGGTCTCCCCAGGTATCACATCTCCCTGCTGGGGACTCCGGGAAGGAAGGGCTGGGAGTGGGGAGTCTCCCCAGATATCACATCTCCCTGCTGGGGACTCTGGGGCCCAGTCACAGGGAAGTCAGCTTGCCCAGTCTCTTCTCAAAGAGCAAGGCAGTGCCGGGCAGGCAGAGGCGGGAGGAAGCCAGCAAGTTGATGGAATCCTCAGCTCATGCCGAGAAGATGTAATTTTTTTCTCCCAAAGCTCTGAGTGAGTCTACTCATAGGGTCTACTCATAGGGTGTTACCTTGGTGGGCTTAACAGTCAGTCAAGGAAAAGACTCTCACCCAACTGTCCATGACAATCAGATTCCGCCCCAATGAGAGAGAGAGAACCAAAGCCAGCACCACTTGTGTCGGTTGGATTCCCCTAGATCTTGGATGCATGGTTGAAATCCTTTCCCACCAAGGAAGCCCTTCTCCAGTCCAGCACATGAGGCCATGCCCTCCATGTTTTTCTGTTCACAGAGCTTATCTGGTCTCCCACCCCAGATGACACAAGCCAGGACTGTTTTGGTTGCAAGTGGCAGAAGTCCAACTCCAGCTAGCTTTAGCCCAAATGGGCCTTTATTTGCTCCCAGGACTGAAAAGGCCAAGGGCAGAGCCGGCCTCAGGGGCTCTACTGTGTTGTCGGGAAGGGCCTCTTTGCGTGTGGCTCTGCTCTCTGTGGGGCTATCGTCTCAGGAGGCCCTCCCCACAGAGGCAAGATGGCTGGCAGCAGCACCCAAGACCCCACTGTGCCAGCTCAGCCACCCCAGCAGATACAGCCCTCAGCCCCAGCCTCCGGAGGGGCTCTGAGTGGCCAAGCCTGGGTCATGGAGCAGAGGAAGGTGTTTCCCCAAAGGGAGGAGAGGCCAATGGGCAGAAACATAAAGACACACTCTCCAGGGACTTAATCGGGCTTCCTGGCCCCCCTCCTCTTTGCCATGTGACCTTGGACCAGTCACTTCCTGTCCTGAACCTCAATTTCTTAATTAGCAAAACAGGGTGACCTCCCGCCTGTGAGGAATGCTTGAAAGCATTCAATGAGTTAAGGTGCATGAATTGCCTCGCATGGCACCCGGCATGCAGGGGGCACCAGGCCTCTGCCCCACTGCCCGCCGTGTGCACCCATACCCAGGCAGGGATGCTCCCAGCCTGCGGACGAGCTGCTCCTTAAACAGCAATTTAATTACACCCTTTCCCCCTCGCAGGCATCTCTGCCTGTGAGCTGTTCCAGCTGCCGTCTCTCCTAGCGCTCTCCTGAGACTATGAAGCTCTTAAGTGGAAGCCCCTAGAGACAGGTGACAGCAATAACTACTCATTCAACACACGTTCCCCAGCCCTGTTAGGAGCTCAGAAGTGTCCTGGGCACTGTGGATGCAGCCGACAGCAAGGCTGACCCGGGCCCTGCCCTCATGGGGTTTGCGCTCACCCACGGGTGTGCCCCTTGCTGTGCTGGCCTGTGTGCAGGCCATCTCCTTCGTCCTCCTAGCAAACATGAAGTTAATATTATCTCATTGGCTCCTTTGCGTTTCCTTGTGCTCATTTCACAGAGGAGGAAACTGAGGCTCAGGGGGGCAAAATCCCCTCATGTAAGTTGATCATTCAGCAAGTGAGAGGCAGAAATAAGACACTTCACTCCTTCACGCTTCCTTCCCGGACAAAGCCTGAGTCAGCCTCCACGCAGAACTCAGTGAAGGTTAATTACAGTGACAGCTCCTGTAAAAATCAAACAGGCCATCTCCCAGGAAGCTACAAGAGAGGAAAAAAAAATCCTTGTGCAAAGTCAACGCAGGGTCTGGGGAGAGCCGTGTTGAGTCCATACATGGAAATCCACATCCACCAGGATGGGCCGCCCCAGAGGCAGGCGAGAAGCCCCCAGCAGGCGCCCAGTATCAGGAGGAAACGAACAATTCAAACTGCGACCAAGAAGCTGAGAGCAGACAGGCTGTGTTGAAACAACTGGCCGAGCTGCCATCAGGCCCAAAGCCGCCCTTTGGGAAGTCCTGGGGTCCAGGGGAAGGCCACGCAGTCCCTAACCCAGCCCACCAGCAGCCACCAGCCTGGTCCATAAGGAGGCCTGGACAAGATCATCCCACAGCTCCAATCCCTGCATAGTTTTACAAAAACTAAAGAGCTAACTGGCTAGTCCAAGGCAGAGACTAGCAGTCAGCAGTGACTTTGTAACCCAACAGAGCATTCTTGGCTGTAGGACTTGGGGCAATTGACTTCCTCTCTGAGACTCAGTGTTCTCGTCTGCAAAGTGGGAATGCCTAATACCTGCCTTAGAGAGTAAGGAATAAATGAGGCAACGGTGCAATCACTCTACACATGTTATACCACACAATCCATGCAATTAGGGATTGAAATTCTCAGCTGCACACAAAGAAACTGAGGCTCGGGCAGGCCAGTCCCTTGCACGGTCACACAGCTGGTCAATGGCAGATACAGGTTTGAAACCCCGATCTGTCTGAGTCCACAGCCCAGCTCTGCCCACCTCACCCAACACACAGCAGGTCCTCGCTATGTGCCAGGTGCTTTCTCTGCATACTTCCATTCTGGCAGTTTCCAGTTTAATCCTGCACGTGTCCTGCTGGGGTATTAGTTCTGAAAGTGTTGGCTGTGTTTGCTTCCTGGTATGCCATGGAAGACTTGGGAATTCAAATATACTTGTGAAATCCAAACAGATGCATTTATTAGTGGCCCACAATCAGGCAGAGCCTATTCGCTGAACAAACAGACAATACAAGGCCTTCCTCCAGGCACAGAAGAAACAAAAGGTTCTTTCTAGCTGTCAGAGGCTGGGCGGCAGCTTAGCTCTTGGAGGAGATGACAGGCATCCTCGGTGGATAGCCGTGGCTCATGCATCTGTACAAGACACAGGATCTGGATAGCGAAGTTCTCATCGTACTTCCCACTCACCACACTCTCTCTGAAGCTACTCACACACACTGTTGGCTTACCCTGCTCAGGTGTGAGGGCATCAGAGGGCCGGTGTGTGCAGCAGCCTGACAGCTGGCAAGGCCCAGAGAGTGAGGGTACCAGGGGACAAAGAAGAGAAGGGCTGGAGGACCAACTCCCCTTCCCAAATATAGTACAAGCGGCTCCATAGAACCAAGCCCTTCACCTCTTGCAGGTAAGGGACTGCACGTTAAGTGCCAGGAGGAAGGCAGAGATGGAGCTGACCTGGGCCCAGCTTTCGAGGAGCACAAGGCTGATGTGCTGCCTCAGTTTCCCCTGAGTGATCAATTTTTGGGATGCCTAAGGCAAAAGTTACAGAAATATCCGGCCTTCAGCAAGTTCAAGGTTTTTCGGCCATGCAACTTCTCTTTTCCTCCTGGTGGTTCCTGACAAACACTCCAAGCCTGGCTCCCTTTGCAGGGGGTATCATGCTGCCGACACAATTTGGAAATAATGGCATTCACCTTCCCAGGCTGCAGGGGGAGGAATTTAAGAGGCCAGTCTCCAGCTTAACCCTTGAAGGTTCCCTGGTGTCCCTGCAGACCTGGGTTCAAATCCCAGCTCTGCCCCTTCCTCCCTGACGACTGTGGGCAGTTCACATAGTTCACGTTGCATTGCTGAGCCTCCATGTCTGCACCTGTAGCATGGGGATTGTGATAACAGTGCCTCGAAGGCTTGGTGGGGACAGACGACATAATGTGCAAAAGGCCTGGAGCAGAGCAGTCATCAGATGAACGCAGCTCTTTAGGACCACTGCCCAAAGCCCATCTTCAGTGAAAAGCGCACCTTTGTCTCAGGCAGACAGCGAGAACTTGGATTGAAGACACCCACATTTATGTCGCTATCCTGGACCTTGCCCCAGAAATGGACTCACGTATCTGATGATCTCCTGGACTCACACTTGATACGCACAAGGTTGATTTCTTGATTTTGCCCCCACCCCCTCCAAACTTGCCCCTCTTTTGCCCCTCCCCATCTCAGGAAACGGTGCCTGCTCTGCCAGTTACTCTGGCCAAAAATCTTGAGACCATCTTTGATTTTCCTTGGCCACCCTGTATCTAATTCTCCTCGGCTCTACCTTCAACATGGAGCCAGAATCCAGCTACTTGCCACCACCTTTTCACACCTGCCATGCTGCCCAAGCCCCCTTGCCTTTCTGGGGGATGGTTGAAAAGCCTCCCGACAGGTCTTTCTTCTTCTTCCCAAGACTACTTTTAGTTCTCTGCAGAGGAGCTACAGGGATCTGTATTAGTTTCCTGTGGCTGCTGTAACAAATTAACACAAACTTGATAGTCTAAAACAACACACATTTATTCTCTTACAGCTCTGGAGGCTCAAAGCCCAAAAGCAGATTCACTGAATAAGGTCAAGACATCAGCAGAGTTGGTTTCTTCCAGTGGCTCTAGAGTTAATCTGGTCCTTGCTCTGTCTAGCTTCTGGAGACCACCTGCCTCAGCTCACGTCTCTCCACGTCTTGCTTCTGCCATCACCTCCCCTCCTCCTCTGGACCAGCATCTCCTTTGCTTCCCTCTAATAAGGACACCTGTGGTTACATCCGTGGGTAATCTTCCCATCTCAGGGACTTTGACCTTCATCACGTCTGCAAAGTTCTTTTAGCCATATTCACGGTCTGGAGATTGGCTGTAGATGTCTTAGGGGTGCATTTTTCAGCCTACTTAAAATGTACGTTGGGTTCTGTCTCTCCTCTGCTCATCCCCCACCCCGGAAGCCCTCCATCTCAGAGTAAAAGCTAGAACCTTACAACAGCCCTCAAAGCCCTCTGAATCCCACGCCTCTCTGACTTCAAATCCTGCCCCCCTGCCCTCGCTCACTCTGCTCAGGTCATGCCAGCCTCTTTGCTGTGCCTCATCTATGCCAGATACACTCCTGCCACAGGAGTGGCAGTCCCCTCTGCCCAGAATGCACTTCCCCCCAATGCCCTCATGGCTCAGTGCCTCTATCACTCCAGCCTCTACTCAAGTGACATCATCGCAGTGAGAACTTCCTAGGCCTCTCTAAAAAATAAAGCCTCCTGTAGCCCCTATCCCTCTCTGTCCCCCCATTCTGCTTTACTTTTGTTTTTAATCATTGTCACCCTCTGAGATAGGTTTATTGGCTATTTGCCTCCCTACTAGGTTGTAAGTTTTTCAAGAGCAGTAATTTTTTTCATTGCTGTATTCCCAGTGCTGAAATCAGTGCCTGACATGGAGTAGGTATGCCAATAAATACTTGTAGATGGATGCATCTGTGTGACCCAGAGTCTCAAGCTCTGAAAGGATTGAACTCTAGCCATTGTATACTGTGTTGATCCCAAAACTCCCCCAGCACGTTGGCTGGAAGATCTCAATCCGAAGGTGAAAATGCAATCGCCAATAGGATTTGGAATGTTACCGCCCCCATCTTGCTCCACCGCTGGTTCCTGGATGGGCTCAATCCCAGACCAGGTGGAGAGCTAACAGCTGTGTTAGCTCTACGTCCTGGCCCCATGTGGCAGGACTAGTCTATGCCCTGCCCATGAATTAACTCATTTAATCCTCAGCACAGCTCTGGAAGGCAGGCGCTATTGTGGTCATCCTCATGTTACAGATGATGAAAATTGAAGCGGGGACAGTTCCGCTGTGGGCTAAGGGCACACGATGCTGTGCTTTTCCCACGGGCAGGCTCAAGCCTGGTCCCTCCCTGAATTCCCACCAAGAAGCCCAGACAAGGGCAGAGGGTGGGTGTTTAGAACCTCAGAACAGCCGAGAGGAAAGGAACTTGCAGGTCCATCGAGCCCAACCACCCCTCCCAGGCACCAGGCTGCCCTGTAAATGCTCAGGGGCCCCAGGTCAGGTAGGAAAGGTTGAGAGGCTGGGCCCTGAGGCGCTGGTCTCCAAGGGGTGCTCAGGCAGCCCTGGGGATGTGATGAGATGGGGACAGGGGAGCACAGACCTCCTCTCAGGCAGGGACTGGAAGGATTGGGAAGAATCCTTCTACAAACTCCTCTGGTTGGAGGTTAGACCCCATCTAGCCTAGGTCCTCAAGATGAGAGCCTCTGTAACCACAGAGAGGCTTTCTGAAGGGACCAGGGACAGCAGGTGAACAATGGGGCTTTGTTTTGTGGCTGGGTGTCCAAGTGGGAGCTGGAGCCCAAATGCCAACCACAGTACAGGAGAGGCTATGGCAGCCACCAGAAGGGCCCTGCCTTCCACGACACAGGGAACACAGTCTGCTCAATATGTTGAATGGATATTTAAAGAGTTTGGGTTGGAAGGCATGACAATTCTTCTCCTGCCCAGACATCTGCGTGCTAACCCTGAATTCACAGTGGGCTCAGTCGCCCCATCAGGCAGTTGGCATCCTCTTCAGAGCCTCCTGGCGTTGCCAAGAACAATGCTATGGGTGTCAAGTAGGTTCCATCTGTCTGCATCTGGTGGGCAGCCAGCTGCACTAATAAAACTTCTCAGCCCCTGCCTGACCTGTAAGAATCTGAGCCAGATCAGTGTGACAAGATCTCAGCTGATTTTGGTGGCTTTGGGAGGGTAGTGGGTAAATGGCTTTGTGGGGATAGTGGGTAAATTTGATGAAAATATGATGAATGAGTGAATGAATGAATGATATGTACCCAAGAAGAGCATCACATATCAGACCCAAATAGTGCCTATTCTCCCTGATATACTCCACTCTGTAGCTAAGACCTTCTAACATATGACCTCAAAGGTTAGTTTGCCTCTAGCTCAAAGCCTCCACCTCAATTAGAGGTAATCTCCTTGTTCATGATGATAATAACCATCTATTATTCATAACCGACCTTCCAAACCCTGTACCGAGCATTTACTAGCCAGTATTCTAAGTCATGTCAACAGCCTTCTGTTGTGGGTATTGCTAATCTTACTTCACAGATAAGGAAGCCGACATAAAGAGAGGGAAAGCCCAAGGACACGCAGCTTTGAAGTAACAGACCCAGGAGATGAATGAACCTGGTCCTTCCAGCTCAAGACGTTGCACTATTCACCACTCTGCTCAGGCACTGCAAACCAGAGGCCTGGCCACAGCTTGCCCATGAACTCGTGTGCTTATTTATCTGGCTGGTAATTGTTCACACATGCATGCTGTGTACACGTGTGCACACACCTACACACACACCCCTCAGGAGCATAAGCTCCATGCTAATGAGCACTTCGCATGTCTTGTTGCCGGCACGTGACTCAAATACGTGCTTCTTACTGACTGAATGCCTATGCCCCTCCCCCAAACTCATGCTGAAGCCTTAACACCTGTGGTGAGTGTATTTGGAGACAGGGCCTTTAGTAAGTAGGTAAGGTTGAATGAGGTCACGAGGGTGGGGTCCTGATCCAATAGGATTAGTGTCTTCAACAGCAGAGACACCAGAGAACTCACTGCCCTCCCTCCATGCATGCACAGAGAAGAGTCCAAGTGAGGACATTGCCAGAAGGTGGCCGTCTGCAAGCCAGGAAGGGAGCCCTCACCAGAACCCAGCCCAGACCTTGACCTGAGACTTCCAGCCTTCAGAACTGTGCAAAAATACATTTCTGTTGTTTGAGCCACCCAGTCCGTGGTAATTGGTGGTGACAGCCGGAGCTGACTAATACAGTGCTCAATACATTTTTGTTGTGCTGCACAGATCTAGTTTGGTGCACACTATTTTTAAAAAGAGAATTTTTTTAGCTAGAAAAGAAGAGTTATAATGTTCCAACACAAAGAAAAGATCAATGTTGGAGATGATGGCTATCCTTAATACCCTGATGTGATCATTACATATGGTATGAGTGTATCAAAATATCACATGAACCCCCAAAATATGCACAACTATTATACACCAATAAAGAAATTTTTAAGAGGATTTTGAAGGTTCCAACAGCCCTTCCTCCTCAGCATCCCTCATTCTTCTGCCCTGAGTTTGCAGGGGCTCTGGGTTTGTGGGGACCCTGGGTTTGTGGGGGCCCTGGGTTTGTAGCTGTGCTCTGAGCTGGACTCAAGCTTCAGTGTCAGGCCAGGTCCAAGTCAGGGTTCGATCCATGTGCATTTTTGGGTAGGTTGAGAGAAACAAGTGGTCCCTCTCATTCCCCCCTAGTCTCCGCCCAAGGTGGGAGCACCCAGGCATGTATGTTGGGGACAGCTCTCTGCTGGGCCTGGGAGGCTTTCCCTACCTTGCAGCTGCTGGCAGCTCCCGGCCTTCAGCTCACTCCGCAGGGACAGGGTCTCGCAACCCCCACACGGCATGTGGGGAGAGGTTCTCTGGGGACCTGCTCGCTGCATGGTGGCCCTGGTAAAGGGCCCAGCTCCGGCAGCACCCCTGGTCCTCAGAAACAGCAAGGTACGGGGAAGATGCTGAACACTTCACTAGCCCCTAAAGGCCCACCCAGCGTGCAGCCTGGAGAGTGAGGAAATCCAAGAGGGTAACTAGAGTGGCTGCAATGCCCAGGGGAGAGACCCGCCCCTCTGCCACCTGGCCCTCGGAGTCCAGCTGCCACTCACCATCCCACTGCAAAGCACAGGTGGGCAGCAGCGGGCCTGCCGGGGCGCCAGCAGGATGGTGGCCTCTCCAGCTGGGGTGGGGGATGTGGGGGTGCAGAGAATGGAGTTCTGCCCCAGCATGGTCACCAGCACGCCTGAGTCAGGAAGCTGTTGCTTTGCCTGGGTGAGCCTTGTTTTTCCCTTGGAGAGATTGTCCGAGATGAGGGATGGTGGAGGGACAAATATTGACCAGGCACCTACTAGGTGCTGGGTGTTCATTCCTGTGTTAATCATCACAGCTGGTCCCGACTGAGCTCTTGCGGGGCCAGGCACTGCATACATTACCAGTGCCATACATTATCTCACTTAACCCTCACAAAATGGCTATGAGTAGGTATTACTACCCTTGTTCCATGAATGAGGAAAGTGAAACTCAGAGAAGTAATCTGACGGCCCCAAGATCACACAGCTGATGAAACACAGGTTTGGGATCCAGCCAGGGCTGGATCCAGCTAGGGCTCCCAAACACTGTTCCATATTGTCCAATGGACAATAATAAATAAGCTCTCAAATTTCTGGAGTGCTTCCATGTGTCAGGAAATCTTTTGAGCATTTTGCATTCGTTAACCTATTTAATTCTCCCCATAGCCCTTTAAAGTAGGTACTTCTATTATCACCATTTTATAGATGAGGCAACTGGGGTACAAAGAGATTAAGTGACTTGCCCAAGGTCATACAGCAGCTAATGAATGGTCACAGCAGGATTTGAAGCCAGGCAGTCTGGCCCCAGGGCCCTAAAACTACAAGGCAACCCTGGCTCTCAGCTCAGCTCCTGTGATCCCCCAACTGAGCCCCAAATTGTATAGAGTTAAGTTCTCGGTCCAAGGTCACCCAGAGGGCTAAGAGCAAAGCTGGGATTTGAATCCAACCATTTCTTGCTGTGTTCTTACCACAGTAATAATTACCGTTCCCATTCAATGGGCGCTTACTACCTGTCAGGCTTTTAACCAAGAGTGTTACCTGTATCCTCACATTGAAGTTTCACAGCCACCTCGCGAAGGAGAGATTGTCTCAGCCAGGATAGGCACAGTTATGCTGTGATAACCAATAATTTTAATTTTAACAGCTTCAAATTTTAAAGCTTGCATTTATTTGCTTATTTACTTTTTTGCTGACAATACATATTTTACCTAAGGGGCTTCACTCAGAGGCCCAGATTGAGGCCCCATTTATGTGCAGATTTACCAGAACACACAAAGGGAAGATTCAATTCAAGCAGTTAAATGTTCCCCCTGGAAGTGACACATGTCACTTTTACTCACAGCTAGTCATGTGGCCCCACTCAATCACAGGGAGGCCAGCACGTGTAATCCTATCATGTACACAGGAGGCAGAGGGCCCCACGAGCAGACTACCCCAATATTATCCCAGCACTATAGAAGGGGAAAGCCAGGCTCCCAGCTGATAAGTAACAGAGCCCCGAGCCAAACCAGACGAGAGCCCGTCGTCTTCCGACCACATGTAGCCCCTGAGACACAAAGCAGACCCATGATAAAAACACATTTAGCCTGTAGTTTACAATGAGTGTTCCCACTCATTATCTCATTTAACTCACTCGGCCCTGGTGCGGGGGACAGAAGAATCTTCCTCAGTTTGCGGCAGAGGAAACGGAAGTTCAGAGACAGGCAGTCACTGGATTAAAGCCAGGCTGATTTTGAAGGGTGGGGCAAGGATGAGAACCTGGGTCTCCTGACTACGGCCTCCTGCTTGAGGTAGCCCTCCCGCCCTCCCAGTTCAGGACAAAGAAGAGAAACTTAGACTACTTTTCTTTTCTCACAAGGTGAGAACTGAAAAGAACAGAGCTGGCATTTTTATACTAACAGAAGGTGGAGAGACAAGCCAGGCACAGACCAAGGTCAAGGAGCCTGATCATGTCTCAAAGGTCCCCACTCATGGCCAGGAACTTCCGAGAATCCAACCTTCATAAGCTCATCAACAAACCTTTGTGGCCCCAGCATCTTATCCAGTCTTCACAACAGGCAAGTGCCATAGACATAACCATTTGGCCCATTTTATAGATGAGGAAACTGAGGCTTAGAACTTAACAGAGAGCCTGACACAGAAGACTCATCAAAATTTTGTGAGCAGAGGGCCAGCTGGGTCAGAGGGGCTGAGAGCTTAGCTCATGGGTACCCAGTTCATGAGGACAGGAATTAGTCTCAGCCCTGGCCAGTTTGCTCAGACTCTAGGTTTACTGAATGAGGTGGGGGGTGGGAGGGGGCAAAAATCCCAGCTCTGCTACCCTCTGGCTGTGCCCTTGAGCAAGTGACTTCTCACCTCAAGTTTCTCACCTGCAAAATAGAGGTAAAAAGAGACTACATAGGGTTGTCATGGGGATTAGTTAATATCTGAGAAGCGCAGCCTGGCGCAGAGGAAGTGCTCCCTGAAGGTCAACCCTTTTTGCTCTTGTGGTTATCAAGTTTCCAGTTTGAAAAGGAAAACACTTCAAACATCAAAGAATAACATGTATAAACCAATAGTGATGGCCATCTATGGGCCAGAAACAACAGACGGGAAATATAAGAAGATTGATTGGCTGACAATTATGAGCACACAGGATAAGAATGTCTCTCCGAGTCTCTCTCTCTTTTTAAAATTAATTGGTTAATTAATTTTTAAGTTGACAGATAAAAAATGTATATACTTATAGTGTACAACATGATGTTTTGATATATGTATACATTATTCTCCAAATCTTTTAAAGCACACATAATTATAAATGTGTGTCTTAGTCCATTTGGGCTGCTGTAACAAAATATCATAGACTGGGTGGTTTATAAACAACAGAAATTTATTTCTCTCAGTTGTGGAGGCTGGGAAGTCCAAAATCAAGGTGAATTGGATTCTGGTCCTTCCATTTCCCAGCTGTGTGACTGTGGCCTAGTTATTCAGCCCCTCTGAGCCTCCATCCCATCACTTGTAAAATGGGAAAAAAATCACCCCCTCTAAGATTATAATTAGAGAATCGTTAGTTTTCAGAAGTGGGATTGCAGGTTAGCAGGCAGTCACAATTTAAGGCTCTTGGTATCTATTGCCAAAATGCTTGAATTGGAGTGCAGCTCTTCACCAACCCCAGCAACATTGCCACTGCTATAGTCTGAAGGTTTGTGTTTTATGAGATTCAGTGTTTTATGAGGGTTCCTATTTCGTAGATGGCTGTCTATTCCCTGCGTCATCACATGGCAGAACGGGCAAGGGAGCTCTCTAGGGCTTCTTTTATAGGGACACTAATCCTATTCATGAGGGCTCCACCCTCATCATCCAATCACCTCCCAAAGCTCCCCCCTCCAAATACCATCATCTTAGGGGGTTATGAGTTCAGCATATGAGTTTTGGGGGACACAAACCTTCAGACTATAGCAGTGGCAATATTACTGGGGTTGGTGAAGAGTTGCACTCCAATTCAAACATTTTGGCGATAGATACCAAGAACCTTAAATTGTGACTGCCTGCTAACCTGCAATTCCACTTCTGAAAACTAACGATTCTCTAATGTAATCTTAGAGGGGGTGATTTTTTTCCCATTTTACAAGTGATGGGATGGAGGCTCAGAGAGGCCAAATAACTAGGCCATAGTCACACAGCTGGGAAATGGAGGACCAAAATCCAACCCATGTCTGACTGCAAAACCGTGCTCTCCACAGCTACACTTTATGATGACAGTCCTGCAAATACAAGGATATACAGAAATATAAGGGTTCAACATCCTGATTTGCAGTGCCACAGTGGCTCTGTGGAAAATTCCAAAGTATCCATGAAAAAGCAACTTGAACTAACTGGTGAATTTAGCCAGGTCATAGCATACAAAGTCAATACATAAAAATCGATTTAACTTCAATACTCCAAAAATGAATGATTGGAATTTGAAAAATTTTTTAAAGTTCAATTTGCAAAGTATCAAAAACACATGAAATACTTAGAGATAAATCTAATAAAATATGTGCAAGATCTACATACTGAAAACTATCTAACTATAAACCACTGAGAGGTATCAAAGAAGACCTAAACAGAGAAATATACTGTGTTCATGGATTGGAAGACTCAATATACTTGAGATGTCAGTTCTCCTTGAATTGATCCAAAAATTCAATACAATAGCATTTAAAATCCAAATCGGCCTTTTCTGATAGAAATTGATAAATTAAGATTCATATAAAAAGGCCAAGGAACTAGAACAGCCAAAACAATTTTGAAAAAGAAGAACAAAATTGGAGGACTGTGTTACTTGATTTTAGGACTTCTTATAAAGCTGCAGTAATCAAGACAACGTGGGACTAGCAAAAGGATGAACCCATAGATCAATGGAACAGATTGGAATCCAGAAGCAGATCCACAGATATATGGCCAATTGTTTTTTCTGTTGTTTTGTTTTGTTTTGCGAGATGGAGTCTGCTCTGTCACCCAGGCTGGAGTGCAGTGGTACGATCTTGGCTCACTGCAACCTCTGCCTCCCAGGTTCAGGCAATTCTCCTGCCTCAGCCTCCCGAATATCTGGGACTACAGGCATGTGCCACCATGCCTGGCTAATTTTTGTATTTTTAGTAGAGATGGGGTTTCACCATGTTGGTCAGGCATGTCTCAAACTCCTGACCTCAGATGATCCACCTGCCTCGGCCTCCCAAAGTGCTGAGATTATAGATGTGAGCCACCATGCTCAGCTGGCCAACTGATTTTTGACAAAGGTCCAAAGGCAATTCAATGGAGAAAGAATAGTCTTTTCAGCAAATGATGTTGAAACAGCTACACATACAAATGCAAAAAAAAAAAAGTACCTGAACCCCTATCTCATACTATATATTAAAAAACACTTGAAATTAATCATAGACCTAAATATATAAAACCTAAAACTCTAAAACTTCTTGAAGAAAACACAGGAGAACAATCTTTGTGACTTTGGGTTAGGCAAAGATTTCTTAGGGCACAAAAAGCACAAAGTAGAAAAGAAAAAAATTGATAAATAGGACTTTATCAAATTTTAAAATTTTGCTCTTCAAAAGATGTTATTAAGGTGCCTGTAATCCCAGCACTCTGGGAGGCCAAGGCTGATGGACCACTTGAGCCCAGGAGTTCGAGACCTGCCTGAGCAACCTGGTGAAACCCCATTTCTACAAAAAATTATCCAGGTGTGGTGGTGAGTGCCTTAGTTCCAACTACTCAGGAGGCTGAGGTGGGAGAATTGCGGGAGCCCTGGAAGTCAAGGCTGTAGTGAGCCTGGGTGACGGAGTGAGACCTGGTCTCAAAAAAAAAAAAGAAAAAAAAAACCAGAAAACCCCCAAAAAACAAAAAACACATTATTAAGGGAACAAAAAGACAAGTCACAGGCTGGAGAAAATATTTGCAAAATACAGATTTGATAAAAGACTTGTATCCCAAATATATAAAGTGCTCTCACAGTTCAGTAATAAGAAAATAAACAATCCAATTTTTAAAATTGGCAAAGGAGTTGAACACATAACTTCATCAAAAAAGAGATGTAGATAAGAACATGAAAAATGCTTGACATCATTAATCATTAGGTAAATGCACATTAAAACCACAATGAGATTACACTACATACTATTAGAATGGCTAAAAAATTCTTTAAATGCTGACAATGCTAAGTGTTGGTGAGGATGTGGAGCAACTGGAACTCTCATTACGTGGCTGGTACAGCCATTTTGAAAGCAGTTTGGCAGTGTCTTACCAAGTTAAGTATCCACTTACCAATATGACCCAGCTATGCCACTCCTAGAAAAGAAAATCTGTTCACACAAAGACGAACATGCAAATATAGTAGCTTAATCCATCATTGCTAAAACTAGAAACAACCCCAAAATCCACAATTTGAGTTATATCCACACAATGGAATACTGCTCAGCCATAATAGAAATAATTTATTAATACACAGAAACAACATGGATGGATCTCAAAGGTATTATACAAGTGAAAGAAAGAAGCCAGGCACAGGCCAGGCACAGTGGCTCATGCCTGAAATCCCAGCACTTTAGGAGGCCAAGGCGGGTGGATCACTTGAGGCCAGGAGTTTGAGACCAGCCTGGGCAACATGGAGAAAACCCATCTCTACTAAAAATACGAAGATTAGCCAGGTGTGGTGGCGCACATCTGTAATTCCAGCTACTGAGGTGGTTGAGGCACGAGAATTGTTTGAACTCATGAGGCAGAGGTTGCAGTGAGCCGAGATCACACCACTGCACTCCAGCCTGGGTGACACGGCGAGACTCTATCTCAAAAAATAATAATTTTTAAAAAAGAAAAGAAAGAAGCAAGACACAAAAGGCTACATTTAGTGTGATTCCATTTATTCAACTTTCTGGAAAAGGCAAAGCTATAGAAATCAGGTCAGCGATTGCCAGGTGCTGGGGCTGGGGAAGGGATAAACAGCAAAGGGGCATAAAGGAACTTTCTATGGCGATGGAAATACTCTACATCTTGATCATAGTGGCAGATATACAACTGTATACATTTGTGAAACTCATAAAATGGTACAATTAAAAAGTGTGAATTTTATTTTACATAAATCATCCCTCAGTAAAACTGAAAAAACAATAAGTGAGGTTGGCCAAACAAAACATTCATTTGACAACAAAAATTTATTGAACATATACTATGTGCCATCAACAAAATGGATAAGGGTCCTCCTCTCATAGAGCTTCTGTCCCTCTGTCATGTGTGTGTGCATGAGTCTCAGTCAGTACGTTTATTGATTTCGTGGGTTGAAGTCCCTCTAACTTGTCTGCTTTTGTTTGCTCTCTGGCATTTTTAAATAGTTGTTTTAAAATTTCATCCACAGTTGATCGTTGTTGTCTGTCAGAGGATTAGTCTGATACAATCTATTCCACTAAGACTAGAACTAGGACTGGGGTGAGATGAGGACATTGATGCTGAGAAAACTGTGATGACTTTGGAGACGTCACAAATAACCCCAACAATAAGCATACATGATTCCAGAATAATTTTAATATTCAGCTATTCTAGTATTTCATAACATGCCTGCAATCCTGATTACATACAGTGTTGTTAGGAAATGGAAGATAATCAGTGTGTTCCATGTACTAATAAATATGTATGTATGCATTTATTTATTTATTTATTCACTCAACAAACATGAGCTGGGACAGAGCCAGTGCAAAATGATAATTTAGAGCTCCTTGTTCAAAGATCATGAAAAAAGCGCTGTTAAAGTTTCTTCTTTCTTCCATGGTCTTTCTCTTGACTTCTTATGATGCTATTCATTTGCTATTTGATGTTCTAAGTAAAGAAAAAATAAAATTTTTTATTACTGGCATGAATTTACTGTTCATCTTTATATTGTGAAATTCCAGTTTCAAATGCAAAAGAGCGAGCATTTAATGCATTATCAAAATCACTGAAATTACAGTTTGTATTATGTGGCTCAACCCTATGGGAGTGCCTTAAGTGGCCATAAGAGACAAACAAGCCAGAAACAAGGCTGAAAAGAGGAGGAGAGGAACACACACACACACACACACCCAACACACACACACACCCATACCTACGTACATACACACATACACACACACCTGACACAGAGCCAGCTGCTGGAGCATTCCTGGGTACAGGGATACTCTCTCTGGTATGGGGGATACTAGCAGGGAGAGGACAGAAGTTCACAAGTGCCTGGGGCCTTACCCTGCAACATGGGACACGCATGCTTGCTTGAGTCTGAGGGCAGCTGGGTTCACCCTCAGCCAGTGACTGGACTGACAAGACCTGCCCTGGCTAGGGCGGGGTCTGGGGAAGCTGAGCCAAGCCTGCCTCTTCCCACAGCCTGTTCTCCAACCCACCGCAGACAGGGATCCTTGGGAATGTTTAACGCTCTAAGCCAACATGCTCTGGGTACCTGGATCAGGGGTGGGCGAAAGGCTGGACCTGGCTGAGACACAGCCTCCAGCTGGCCACCCACCAGATGCACTGTGGTGCTTAACCCTGGAGCATGCCCTACCAAAAGATGCCACCAAGTGTGCATGCCTACCCCTAATCCTCTGTGTGCCTGCTGGGTGGAGGACAGCAGCAGTCATAGGGCAGGGGCAGGGGGTGGAGGTGGAGGGATGGGTATCTGACCCACCCTGGGGAGGTGATGGAAGGCAGGACTGTGCGAGAGCTGAGGCTCCAAGTCCCTAAAGCATGCTTAGGGGTCCCATCAGACTTCACTTACGAAACACAAATTCAAAAAAAAATTATTAAAAATTTCAAGACAATGATGGTGACATCACACGTGGTGACCAAGGCCCCATCTTTCTAGGGCCTTATGTGATGGCACTGGTCGCAAGCCCATGAAGCCAGCCCTGGGTGATGCCCAACCAGAGATGAGTCAGACACAATTCCTGCCCTCTGTTTATGTCATCAGGCAACAAGCATGTGTCAGGCACTTAGGCTAGGCACTGAAGACAGAGGAGAGACCACTAGGAAAAGTGTCCCCACTCTTAAAAAGCTCACAGCCTGGCTACAAGGCAGGCTGACCTCTGCTTGGTAGCCAGAAACAATGGGATCCCAGGGGCAGGGGCTGCCAGCCAAGCCTCAGGGGTCCAGGGAGGCTCCAGGGAAAAGCAGAATTCATGCAGGATCTGGAGAATGGGATCTGGGTGAAGACATGGTGCAAGAACAAACAGTCCAGGCAGAAACTGGGTGTGCCAAAGCCCCAGGCTGGAGGGAACTTGGCATTTCGAGATACTGAAAGGAATGCCTCATTATTCAGAGTGATAAGCACTGTGCCATCCCACAGAAACGTCCACACTGAATTTTTCACTGTAATCTCAGCCTCCTATTTATTACTGTGACATGAAGTGCAGTTGCCTGATGACCCACCTGGGACACACTGTGTCTGTGAGTCTGGTGGGCGGTTATTAGAGAAAGTACAAGTAGTCCCTGACTCTCTCTAGTTTCATTTATAGCATGGTCTGTCGGCTTAACGAGAACATGTGGTCTCCCCACAGTGGCTCGGCCTGCCGGGTTCAATCAGGGGCCCTGCTGCCCACCAGATGCCCACGTTAGGGCCCAGGATTCTGCCCCCACTCCTGGGCTCCCCCTCCCCGACTCTTCACACCAGTTGGGCTGTAGCCTAGTCCTCCTCCCACCCCTACCTCTGTGTGGTTGCTGCAAAGACCAGAGATTCTCCTGTGGCGATATATACAGCTTTAAATACTTCACGTGACAGTGAGGCTTGTGGCTTGTACGGGACACCTGAGCTCTTTTTGTATCTGTCTGTGCTGTCTTCCTTTTTTGCAACTTGGCTCTGACCCAGCATGTAAACATGGATTAGTCTTTTGTACTTTTTGCAGGTTGTATAATACCAGTACAGTGTGAATAGAATAAAATAAATGCTTGCAAACTAAAAAGAAGAAGAAGAACCTCATGCCCAGCCCTCCCAGTTCAGGGAAGGCACGAAGAAAGCCTCCGCCCGGAAGCACCTTTTCAAGCCCCCGAGCTCCCTGTGATTGGACCAGCTGGGATCACGTGCCCATCTCTGAACCGATCAATCCTGTGGCCAGGGTAGTCAGTATATTGACCGGCAGAGAGTAGGGTGGGTCCCACTCAAAGCAAGAAGATGGACGATTGGGGAGCTATGGTTTCCTAAAAAAGAAATTACGGGGCCACTTCCAAAAAAGGGGTTGGATGGGGCAGCCAGAACACCCCTCAGAAGTCGACTATCCCTGTCTTTTCCTATTGATGCTAATATCCAGCCACATGGCTGGTGTAGTGGAGAGAACGCGGCTAGTCTGAAACAGACCTGAGTGCTAGTTCTGGTTTCTCTCCTCTACTGTCTGTGGGTCTCTGGGCTACAACTCCCCGAGCCTAAGATCCCTCCTTTATTAAAAATGCCGGTGAGAATACACAGCAAGCTGTGAGGATTAAATACAAGGAAAGTGCCTGAAATGCAGTAAGTGCTCAATCAATGCTAATTAGCAGCTACACAAACAGTGTCTTGCACCCACACAAATACACAGCCTTCGAAAATGCTGATTCACTTTTCTGGAATGCACTTCTCTCATCAGCACATCCCCCCAAACCCCATTCTTCCACACACCACCCACCCTGGGTGCCTCCTCTGTGTACTGTTACAGCAGAGTGGTTAAAAACATGCCATTTGGACCGGGCACGGTGGCTCACGCCTGTAATCCCAGCGCTTTGGGAGGCCAAGGTGGGTGGATCACCTGAGGTCAGGAGTTCAAGACCAGCCTGGCCAACATGGCAACACCCTGTCTCTACTAAAAATACAGAAAATTAGCTAGGCGTGGTGGCGGGCACCTGTAATCGTAGCTACTTGGGAGGCTGAGGAAGGAGAATTGGTTGAACCCGGGGAGGCGGAGGTTGCAGTGAGCTGAGATTGCACCACTGTACTCCAGCCTGGGTGAAGAGCGAGACTCTGCCTCAAAAAAAACAAAACAAAACAAACCAACAAAACTTCACATTTGGAGTCAGATAGCACTGAGTTCAAATCCACATAACCTCTTGGAGCTCCAAGTTTTCCGTTTGTAAAATGGGCACAACAGTACTCATCTCGAGGTTGTTAGGAGGATTGAGCAAGCATCCAGGCAAAGTGCCTAGCACACAGAGTAGATACTCAATGAAGATGAGCCTTTGTTATGCATCCCACCATTTTGTAAGTACCTTTTCTATGCCAGCCTCTTAGGCTAGAATGGGAGCTTCTAGATGGCAGGGGCTCTGCTGGAGTCACAGCTTCGTTTCACTTTCACCCATGACCCTACTGCCTTCATGCCCAAGCAGGACCTGGTGTCAAGCAGGTGCCCTGGAAATGCTTAGAGGATGCTTGGATGAGAGCCACCTCTTGCTGCAGGAAGACTGCCTGCCTTCTGCGAAGAAGGTAAGGTAGGCCAGTTTCTTCCTTCCCACTCACCCCCTTTCTCACTTGCCAGCTGCTGTCACTGTTCTGCACTTGGATGGGGATGGCAGGGAGAATGGAGGGGAGGTAAAAGGGGACAGGAGAGGGTCCACTTGATGGGGACTGCCTTATACTGTCCTCTGCTTGCAAGCATAAAGCTGATTCTCGTGGGTGCTTTTGTGAGTTCTTCAGAGACCTCCCCCCCCAGTGCTAGGCCCTCAATGTGGGTGATGTCATCTCTTGAGTCTCATTGCTTCCTCTGTCGATAGCCTTTCGGAATCAGCTGCCCCCTCCAGCTTCCAGCTGCTAAGAGCTCACCTTCTCCTGGGGAGGGGGCCTTTTGGACAGACCTTGGATGGTCTCATTCCAGCCCTTTTGCCCTGTGGCCCTCATCTAATCCATGGGAAATGTCCATGTATGCCTTCCCCAAGAAACTCGAGAAGGTGGCCAATCCCACTGCGGCCACAACCTCTCTTTCACGTCTGCTGTTGGGGCAGTCAGTGAAATCACTAAGATGGTCTTATCTTGTCGATTTTCCAAGCGAGAGCCAGACACTGCCCACTACTGTATCCCCTGACTGCAAGGGACAGGGATGAAGCCCTCCAAGTGTTCTATTGAAATTCCTCTCTCTTGACCTGAAGTAAAAGAAAAAGCACTCTTGGGATAGGGTGGGGCTCCTGGCCCCAGCTCCTCTCCCAAGCTTCATTCGCTTCCTTTTTACAGCCTCCACGTGAGTGAGGGGCTGAAGAGTCAGGTCACCAGAGGCTGGATAAATCATTTCACAAGTGCCCAGGGGAACTCATCTCAACATGTAATTTAGTTTCTGATATTTATTGTGTCATGGAGCTTCCTCTGAAATTTTCAGTTTCACTTCTTACTACTTGAATGAATAAAGAACTCGAACACATTTTGGGGATCGGTAGGCTGAATTTCCCCACCCCCACCAAGATGTCCACGTTTCTCCATCTGTAGGTTAGAAAATCCTAAAGGAGTTACTTCTCAGCCCTTAAAATCAGTAAACAGGCTCTGGACTCAAACAGATTCCGGATTCTATAGGTGACTTCTGGCTTCTCCTCTTAACGGTTGTGTGATTGTAGATAACTTATCTTACGACTCTGTGCCTCAGTTTCCACTTCTGTAAAATGAGATGCTAATAGTGTGTGCTTGACGTGTTCTGCGAGGATTACCTGAGGAGTACGTGGGAAGCATTGGCCTGGTGCCCGCCGAGGGCTCACTGTTGTCTCCTGCTGTGGTGCTGATGGGCCTGCCCTGAGCCTGCCTCTGGAGTGGGCATCAGCAGACCCAGCTCCTCTGGCCCCTCCTTCAGCACTCTGCACATACAGTGAAGCCAGATGCAGGTTTGAAGGACTTGTGTACTGTCAGTTCTAACCCTCGCCACTTTCCTAGGGGGTCACTAGCCATCTCCTGCCTCTTGACATTCACCCAATGTCTTGTCACTACCTTGTCCTTCTAGTAAAAATGGCAGCACCATCCCTAGTGTTTTCATTCAGTCTCTGTTGATTGTGAGGTACTTCATCAAGTTGAATATTTGTCCTTTTGGAGGCTTCTCAGCACCATGCCCATCACTTCAGTTTGTGAACCCCCTGACACTGTGTATGCTCCTGGAAGATTCAGGGCCCCCAGGCCTCCCCCAAATCGAAATGGGGATCTACTCTCCCTCTCACCACTCCCTGTTGACCAGGGTGTGTGAAGTGCTCCCACGTAGAGCTTGGCATTCAAAGTGCCAAGTGCCAGAGGGATACCCATGGTCAGGACAAAAGTGCCTAGGCCACCCTATTCCTGATAAGGACAAAAACTAAGTGGTGTCCATGCCTCTCACCTCCTCACTCCCCCATGCTACCTCCTCTGTACCATCAGGGTTGGGAGTCTGCAAACTTTCTCTCCCAGTTTCCCTTGCAATGACCTTTTATTAGGGTCTGCCAATGGGACGCATTCACAGGAAGTTAGAAGGTAGAAGAAGGGAGAAGCCATTTGTTTCAGGTTTCTGGCAATGGCTTTCAGCAGCAGCAGCAAACAACTGAGCATAACTGCAGGGGACTTCCAGTAGCATCGATGTAGCTGCATCTGCAGGAGTATGGCCCTGGGATTCCTACCCAGCTACAGTAAGGAGGTTTTAACAGCAGGAGCAGTGGCACCTCCAGCAGCTCAGTGGGGCATGTGGGCTCTCAGGCTCCAGCCCAGGGACTGGTGGCAGCTTCCTGTCCTGTAGAAAACAGCCTTATTCTTCCTTGTGAGTCTTCTCTCTTTTGCTTGTCAGCCCTTCCAACATCTTTGTAATGAATTCCCTGTATTAAATACCTACTGTTTGAAATATCTAGAGTGGTTTCTGATTTTGACTGTTATTGTGTTTCCTGATTCTTGATCCCCCCTAGATCTATTTTGTTCTGCCCACTTATCAAGCCTGAGTCTACAGCCTCCCATCAATTCTATGAGCCCTGATATGCCTTCTAAAAGTCCCCTTTCTCTTTAAAAGTCAATTTCTGCAGCTTCCAATCAAGAACCCTTACTCTAAACCATTAATTTGATTTTAGCTTGTAGGTTTACAAATATTAGATAAATAAAATAATAGCTAATATTTGCTGAGGCTTTTCTGTGTGTCTGGCACTATGCTCAATCATATCTGTTTTTTAATTTATTCCTCACAATAACTAGGTGAGGTAGATATTATTACCAGCACCATGTTGCATACACAAAATGGAGGTTGCTGCAAAGTTAAGTCATTTGATTTAACTTTTCTACAGCTTGGAACTGGTAGAACCAAGATTTGAACTAAATTCATCCAATGAAAGATCTCTCATTTTTAACTAATACAGTCTATTGCCTGGTAACACATTAAATATGCACTTCAATTATAAGATGCATTCTAATTTCAGAAACATAAACTCCCACACCATTCTAAAATACAGTATATACATACTAGTTTTCACTCTGGGAATTTGCTGGTGGGGCACTGCTGGCAAAAAAAAAAAAAAAAAAAAAAAAAAAGATGGAGTCATTTTCAAGCTTAGAAGCCAAGTTTCTCCTAAGCCAAAAATATTTCCATTAAATTCCTGTCATAGTGCCTGAAATTCCCACCATTCCATCTCCTTGCATTAGGGCATTCTATCCTCAGAAGTCCCTTGTGAAAGTGTGAACATGTTACTTGACAAGACAGTCAAAAGCATATTTTCTTCAATTGTCCAAAATATTCCCCCAGGAACTTCTTCTCCTGGTAACAAATCTTAGCCCCGTTTCCCATAAAGGCAGCACGTGATTCAGTCTGGACCAATCTTAGCATTCCATTCCCCTGGCCACTGACTGGTCCAGAGAAGGACATGTGACCCAAAGCGGGCCAATCAGAGATCTTCTCTGGGATTTTTTTTCTGACAAGATTTGCAGGAGAAACTCTTCTTGTCCCTTGGGCCATGGACCTGGAAGGGTATGAAGCCACAGAGCCCAGAGCTAGAGCCAAAGCCAGAGAAAAGGGCAAAGCTGGGAGTAGCGAGTGGCACATGAGGCCCTAAGACCAGCTCCATTCCCAGCCTTTCCTCAGACTGGCTATGAGGAGCCAATAATATCTTTTGGCGTAATCCCATTTGAGTTTGGTTTCTGTTCCTTGCAAACAACCTCACATCAGTTGGCTCCTACTGACACAAGCTCCTGAAATGGCAGAACACTGGACAGATAAATTTAGGAGAAAGGGAAGATATCAGGCATGGGCTTGAGGGGGGACAGGGCTGGAGGAGTGGACAAGACCAGGGACAAACCAAGCAGCCTCTCTACAAACTTTTGTGAGAACCTCAAAGCCAAACAGCAAGAAGTTCCATCAGCTAAAACCAGCTCCTCTACCAGCAGGTGTGATAAATGTGCAGGGTAACTTTCTTAAATACCTTCCCCTCTTTCCTATTCCATATGAAACAAGCATTCGTTGCAAGCTCCTTCTCTTTGAGCAGAAGCCCTGGAGTGAGGACACCTGGTCCAGCTCAGTTGCGTGCCCTGGATCCAACCACTTCCCCTCTTCAGAACTCACCGGAAAAACAGGAATAATGACTGCTTCCTTCCAGAGTCATTACCAGGATGAAGCAAAATAGCACACTGATGCGTTACACCCCAGGAGACTCTCAATATGTGGAGGTCATTTGGAGAGAAGGTTTCTCTCTAGGAAAGCTATCCCAGACACACAGAATGGGTGTGGGGAGCAGAAAAGTGCACAGGCTGACCTGAGACAGGTTCAGCCCAGCACCACAGAGTTGGGAGGTGTGTATTTTCTTATTTTCTGTATGCTTGATGCTCTGGCATCTGTGGCCCCACTGAGGGAGGAGAGACTGCCCTTCCCAGGGCTAGCCAGTTTTTAGAAATAGCAAACAAGTGTGCCTTCCTTACAAGCGTCCCTTCCATATGCATGTCAATCAATTTAGCCCAACTGGACTTTATCTTTTTTCCAACTACCCATCAAACTCTTCCCATATCAAGCCCCTTCTTCCCATATCCTCCTGCCCTAATCAATCCAGGGCCGAGTATCAGACTATGAGAGGCAGTCCCTACACCTGGGAGCCCACTGAAATTATTCAAACCGGCCAGTCCTAAACCTGCTTAACCTGTCTCACCCATTTTTTCCCATGGAAACCACAATCAATACTTTTGGACAACCCCTTCCCTCACTCCTTCTACCTCCTGCTGAACCTTGGCGCTTCCCCATGTGGCCTTGCACGGCGTGCGATGCCTCCTGTTTCTAGGGACCTAGAATGCTTTAAACAATTGCTTTTGCAAATTAAGACAATTTATAATATCCCGTGTGGAGGAAGGGGCGGAGAGATAGGTACTCCGGTGCCCTGCTGGAAGTTGTGTAAGTATAAACACTTCGTCCTTCGTGACAGTCGTGGGTCTTACCATACCTAATTTAGACAAATCCTGGGTACGTTTTAAAACAGAAGGTGTAAGTTCAAATCCCACCTGCCCTACTGCTCACCTGCAGTGGGACTAGGCCAAGCATTTCCTCTCTCTGAGCCTCAGTTACTGTATTGAGAAAAATAAGGGCAAGAATCATAACCACTTCGTGTGGCTCTTGGGAGGAATCATGGAAACCAGGAACAAAAGAAACCCCACACACTGTAAGCTTGAAACCACTGTGTCCGTATGAGCTAGTATTATGTAAGACTTCACCAGGAAAAGGGAGCAGCCCTGCTGAGCACAAGGAACAGGGGAGGCTTCAGGTTAAGGCCATAGATCGAGATGGGGCCCCATAGGTAGAGATGGTTAAGGCCATAGATAGAGATGGCCCCATAGATAGAGATGTTTAAGGCCATGGATAGAGATGGCCCCACAGATAGAGATGGTTAAGGCCATAGATCGAGATGGCCCCACAGATAGAGATGGTTAAGGCCATGGATAGAGATGGCCCCATAGATAGAGATGGTTAAGGCCATGGATAGAGATGGCCCCATAGATAGAGATGGCCCCACAGATAGAGATGGTTAAGGCCATCGATAGAAATGGCCCCATAGATAGAGATGGTCATGGTTAAGGCCATACATAGATTGAGATGGCCCCATAGATAGAGATGGTTAAAGCCATAGACAGAGGTGGCCCCAGCGGGAACACACCCCTGATTCCTTCACTACCAGGGAGCAGAGCAGCCACCGAGGAAGACAGGAGAGTTCTCAGCCACGCAGAGAGGACCACAGGACCGGGAAGCAGCAGCCCCAAAGTGGAGCCCCCAGTCTGTTCACCAAATTCCTCTTATCTGCCCTGGCCTGGCTGAGGAGTCCACAAAGGGAGCGGGGCTCAGGGAGAGAAAATAAAATCAGGCTCCAGAAGGGATACCTCAAATCCCAGGATTTCAACAGCCAAAGAGAAACACAGACACTTAGCTTTGAGCATTCCTGGCTCTTCCCTGCTAATGCTTTAAACAATTGCTTTTGCAGATTAAGACTATTTATAATATCCAGGGTGGAAGAAGGAGCAGAGAGATAGGTACCCCAGTGCCCTGCTGGAGTTGTGTAAGTTAATATGCCTTAAAGTGGCAGTTCCGCATTGAGTATCCAAAGTCCAAAAAGGGCATGTTATTCTTTGGCCAGCAATTCCACTCTTAGAATTTATCTTAAGGATTTACTCAGACAAGTGCACTAAGATGTATATACAAGGATATTCATCACAGTGTTGTTTATAACAGCAAAATACTGGAAATGATCTAAATATCCATCAATAAGGGATTGTCTAAATGAAGTGTTACATCCCTACTATGGAATGCCATGCGGCCTTCTAAAAAAGATGTTGCAAATTTACTTTTGTTGACAGTGGAAGATACCCATCATATGTTGTTGAGTGAAAAAAAAAATGGGTTGCAAAATAGCACATATAGCATGAGCATGTTTCTGTCAAATTATGCACATCTCTAAATCTACATGTAAATATGCAGATTGGAGGGATGATACCAAAATGAAGACTAGTTGTCTCTGGATAGTACGACTGGGGGGCATTTTTGCCTTCCTCTTTATACTTTTGTACTGTAACAAGATATAGACCATTTCATTCAGCACGGTTCCTAGAAAGCGGCTTCTTAGCCTTGGGATTGGAAAATTCTTCCTCGTAGGAGACTGCCCTGTGCATATTATAGGATGTTTAGCAGATCCCCAATTTCTACCTGCAAATACCAGTGGCACTTCCCTAACTCCAGCCCCCATTGTGACAATAAAAAACGTTTCTGGACACTGCCAAATGTCCCTGGAATACAAAATCATCCCTGATTGAGAACCACTGTCCCAGAGTAAGGAGAAGGCAGACTAGATGACAAGGCTGCTCCCAAGAAAAGACTTGGAAAGAAAGATTAGACCACATTGCCCTACAACTAACAAGGAAAGAGCCCGGGGCAGTCTGGGGAATGGGATTGAGCAAGATGGCAGAGGGCCAGATGGCACTTGACTCTATTACCCCTCAAGTCTTTGGTGGAGTTCAAAATCCTGAGAATCTTGAGCAAGACAGGTGTGCTGTGAAAATTGTGATAAGGCCAAACCAAGATGGAAGGCTTGGGTGCGGAACAGGCTGGTAGGGGATCAGTAGGAACTTGGTGGGAGCTGGCGGCATCTGGGAGGCTGCAGACACACATGGGCTGTGCCCCGGAGGCTTGAGGCTGCTGACACAGAGTCAGAACAGCACGCTAAGCCTTCACTAGCTCCATGCCTTACTCCTCTTTAGTTGTCATGTGCGATTGTTGTCTCCATCCAAAACAGGGCTGTCTGGAGTTTGTCAGGGCTTTGTGCCCACAATAGGTCTCTGAAAAATAAAAATTACTAGCATTTATTTAAGATTGTAACCACATGCCAGGCACTATTCAGAGACTTTTTTTTTTTTTTTTTTTGGGAAGGAGTCTCGTTCTGTTGCCCGGGCTGGAGTGCAGCGGCACGATCTCGGCTCACTGCAACCTCCACTTCCCAGGTTCAAGCGATTCTCCTGCCTCAGCCTCCCAAGTAGCTGGGACTACAGGCGTGCAGCACCACACCTGGCTAATTTTTGTATTTTTAGTAGAGATGGGGTTTCACCATATTGGTCAGGCTAGTCTTGAATTCCTGACTTCGTGATCCACCCGCCTCTGCCTCCCAAAGTGCTGGGATTACAGGCGTGAGCCACCGTGCCCAGCCCCAGAGACCTTTTAAAGCTATTACTTGTGTAATCCTCACAGCAGCTGTATGAGATATCATGACCACTCCCAGGTTACAGATAGGGAAACTGAGGTGTGGCCACTTAAAGTAAGTCAGCCAAAGCCCCCTAACTAGTATGAGTGAGAACTGGGTTTCAATCTGGCTCCAGAGCCTATGGTCTTTACCACTTCACTATTCTGTACCTGAAGAAGGGCCATGGGGCCCCAAAGCGAGAATGACAACATTCCCGACCACTGTGCTGAACTGCCTCTTTAATGCCAACACCTGCCATTAGTCCAGTGCCCCACACATGCCCGTGCAATAGAAGGTAATTTACATATACTATTTTTATTCCTCACAACAGCCATAGGAGACAAGCACTATGACTACTACTCTCATTTTACAGATGGGGAAACTGAGGCTGGATTCCCTGTCCTTTGTGCTAACTTGGTGGCCCTTTGATCCCCATGTTGCAATTTATCATGCATCTGTATCCCATCTGGTGGCAAGGGCTGTGCCTGACTCTCCTCTCACCCTCGGTGCCCAGCACTGGAAGTACGACACTGCAGTCTGTGCTCATCACTTTTTTGTGCGCCCAACATCAGAGCCCCTTCCTGGGTTTGAAGAAACAGCCACTGTGTAAGTCCTATTGAGCACCACCTCTCTCTACGGAAGCCGAACAGGCCAGACATATGTTTTCCTGGCCCCTGAAATTCAGCCAGCCTGTCCAGTGACTCCATCTGGGACACAAACATGTATGCAAGACAGAAAGAAGCAGAAATCCTTCCTATTTCATCACAGAGTTGGTGGCATCTGGGACCTTGAGTACTGGGCTGCAGCAGAATGGAGTTGCAAGTCCAGTGGACCAGTGGCCAGTGGCAGCCAGGACAGCAGTAGCAGTGTTCTAATCAGATCTGAGGATGACGTCTCTGTGTGTCCTTGGCTCACCAGCCTCTCCCTCAGTCCTTCTACAAGCTGCCAAGCCAGGATCCTTGCAATAAACCCTTTTTTTGCACAAGTCCAGATTGATTTCTGTAATAACAGTTGCAAATATGCAACTAAGATCCTAATGCTAATCAAGAGTAAAAAAAGAAGAGAGGGCAGGAAGAAAGGAGATAATGCAGGAGAGCAGGAGGGAGGGAAGCCATGCATCACTTTCACCCTGTAAGAATCACTACGTCGGCCAGGCACGGCGGCTCACGCTTGTAATCCCAGCACTTTGGGAGGCCGAGGCGGGCGGATCACGAGGTCAGGAGATCGAGACCACGGTGAAACCCCGTATCTACTAAAAATACAAAAAATTAGCCGGGCATGGTGGCGGGTGCCTGTAGTCCCAGCCTCTCGGAGACGCTGAGGCAGGAGAATGGCGTGAACCCGGGAGGCGGAGCTTGCAGTGAGCCGAGATGGCGCCACTGCCCTCCAGCCTGGGCGACAGAGCAAGACTCCGTCTCGAAAAAAAAAAAAAAAAAAAGAATCACTACGTCAAGTAAAATGTCACCAGCACTTTCTACTTTTGCCACTTGAAGCATCAGATGGTCTGAGTGGAAGCACTCACTTATGCAGACTCCGCAACCAGCTGCAGATGTGGCCAAATCAGACACAGGAGATAAGGGAAAAGATCAGCTTTGGGGTACCGAGCTGAAGCCACTGTTGGAAAACCCTATTCCTACTGAAACCCCACTCTGAGCCAACCTAACTATAGAAATAGCCTGAGATTATATTATCCTAATTGCTCCTGCAATTCAGGTATTGAGACCTCCCTTGTTCAATGCACTAGAGGGGAAATTGGCCTAAGCACCTTTAGTTCTACATGCTGTGGAGTCCAGGATCCCAAGCTTGCAGTGGATGAGTCAGCTGGGAATAAGAGTCATGTGATACTAAATATGGCCACACCAGCCCAAAAGGTGGCCCAAGAAGGCAGCCAGTACTGGCACCTTGGGGCCAGACAGTACAGGCCAGGAAGATAAGAAGGGCTCTGTTCTCTCCTCTATGGCTCCACCCTTATCATCCCTTCCCTTGGAACCTTCTCTGCCCTTAGCATGAAGTGGTCAAAGAAGCCTCAATTTTTATGTGGTTGTTAGGCTCATCCTGGCCTCTAAATTTCCCCCACCTTGCCCTGGCCCTTCATTACCATGGGCAGAGCCCATCCAGATATAGAGCCTGCCAAAAATCTCCCTGTATTTCTGCAGGAAGAACCCTTAATGTGGACAGGCTGAATTGAGCCTTCATAGACACCTAGTTATTCCTCCCTAAATAAAATTGTTAGTTTTGCCTGTTTTTTAAATGCTTTTAAAAATAGATTCATACTGTATGTATTCTTTTGTGCCTTACTCCAATTTGCTCAACATTATATTTTTAAGAACCAAGGTTGTGAGTAGTTCATTCATTTGCATTGTATGAATATACTACAATTTATCCATTGTACTCTCAATGAATATTTGGATGGTTTCATATTTGGGTATTACAAATTATGCTGTGAACACTTGTGTGTTCTTAAAGCCTATTTTATAGGAATTTAACACAGCTACATCAGTTTTCCCTTGCTCAGCACTTCTATAGTATTTCGTTTTCTATCTTTTTATTTTTAACCATTCTGTATTCTTATGTTTTAGATGTGACCCTTATAAATAGCATATAGTTAGGTTTCGTATTTTCCCCCCCGAGTCTGACAGTGTTAATCTTTTAAGAGAATAATTTAGTCCATTTACATTTAATATAATTGCTAATAGTTCTTTTTTCTGCCTATAACTGTTTCATTTTCTCTTATGTATTGACTTCTTTGGGATTTTTTTTCTCTTCTAATTTGTAAGTCATTTACTTTTTAGTGCTTACCCATGCATCCTTGACTCATCAGTGTCTAATTGATTTGTATATTTATCTTCCTCACAAATAGAAAGACTTTAGAACATGTTAACACCATTCATCCCCCTCCTGACTTTTGTATTATAGTTGCTGTGTATTTTAGTTCTACATATATTTTTAAGGCTCCATTGGTGTTCATTTAAATTTACCACTTTCTTTGCTGTTCATTCTTTCTTTCATTTCCTTTTTGTTTTGCTAGTGTTAAGGTTATGTTTACCTTTTTAAAACAACTTATTGAGTTGTCATTTACATACCATAAAATTCACCCACTTAAAGTGTACAATTCAGTAGATTTTAGTGTGCAACCATCACTACAGCCAATTTTAGTACATTTAATCACCTCAAAAAAAAAAAAACCTTTGTACCCATTAGCTCTTACCCACTATTCTCCACCACTCTCTTCTGTTTCCATAGATTTCCCTACTCTGGACTATCATATGAATGGAATCATATAATATGTGAACTCCGATAATGGACTTCTTTCACTTAGCAAAACCATTTCAAGGTACATTCATGTTGTAGCAAGTATCAATACTTTATTTCTTTTTTAAAAAATAATAAACTTTATTTTTAGAGCAGTTTTGAGTTCACAGAAAAGTGGAGCAGAAAGTATAGAAATTCTTCCCAGATTTCTGTACACTGCCTGTTCTCAGTCATGCAAAATTTCCCCGCCTAGTAACATCCCACACCACCATGGTGTATTTGTTACAATTTATGAACCTACGTTAGCACATAATTATCACCCAAAGTTCATAGTTTATATTAGGATTCACTCTTGAAGTTGTACATTCTATAGGTTTTGACAAATGTAAAATGACATATATCCACCATTGCAGTATACATAGTAGTTTCAACTGCCCTTAAAAGGTCCTTTGTGCTCTGCTATTCATCCATCCCTCCATACAGGCCCTTGGCAGTCACTAATCTTTTTATGGACTCCATAACCTTGTCTTTTCCAGAATGTCATGTAGTTGGATCCATAAAATATATAGCATTTTCAGATTGGTTTCTTTTACTTGGTAATATGCATTTAAGTTTCTTTCATGTCTTTTAATGACTTGATAGCTCAATTCTTTTAGTGTTTAATAAGTATCCCACTGTCTAGATATAGAGCAGTTTATATATCCATTCACCTCCCAAAAGACATCTTGGTTGCTTCCTAGTTTTAGCAATTATGAATAAAACTACCATAAACTTCCATGTATAGGAGCTACCATAAACTTCTATGTGCAGGTTTTGGGTGGATATAACTTTTCAATTCATTTGAGGATGTACCAAGAAGTGTGATTTCTGAATTGTATGGTAAAAGTGTATTTAGTTCTGTGAGAAACTGCCACATTGTCTTCCAAAAATGGCCGTACCATTTCGTTTTCCCACCAGTAATGAATAAGAGTTCCTATTGTTCTACATCCTCATCAGCATTTGGTATTGTCAGTGTTTTGCACTTTGGCCATTCTATTAGGTATGTAGTGGTAGTATTGTCTTAATTTGCATTTTTGTAATGACATGATATGGAACACCTTTTCATATGTTTACTTGCTATCTATATATCTTCTTTGTTGAGATGTCTGTTCAGGTCTTTTGCCCATTTTTAAATTGGGTTGTTTATGTTTTATTGTTGAGTTTCAAGAGTTCTTTGTATATTTTGAATAAGTCATTTATCAGATGTGTTTTGCAAATATTTTCTTCTAGTCTGTGGCTTGTCTTCTCATTCTCTTGGCATTATCTTTTGGAGAGTAGAAGTTTTTAATTTTAATACAGTTCAACTTATTATTTCTCTCATGAATTATGTTTTTGGTGTTGTACCTAAAAGTCATTGCCATACCCAAAGTCACCTAGATTTTTCTCCTATATTATCCTCTAGGATTTTTGTAGTTTTGTGTTTTATATTTACATCTATGATCCTTTTGAATTAGTTTTTGTGGAAGATGTAAGACTTATGTCTAAATTCGTTTTGTAGCATGTGGATGTTCAGTTGTTCCAGTACAATTTACGGAAAAGACTATCTTTGCTCCAGTGTATTGCCTTTGCTCCTTTGTCAAATATCAGTTGACACTTTTTATGTGGGTCTATTTCTGGGCTCTCTAACCTGTTTCATTGACCTATTTGCCTAATCTTTCACCAATATCACACTGTATTGATTGCTGTAGCTTTATCACAAGTCTTAAAGTCAAATAGTTTCAGTTCTCTGATGGGGTTCTTCTCTTTCAATAACAAGTTGGCTATTCTGGGTCTTTTGCCTCTCCATATAAACTTGAGAATCAATTTGTTAATATCCACAAAATAATTTGCTGGGATTTTGGCTGGGATTGCATTGAATCTATAGATCGAATTGGGGAGAACTGACATCTTGACAATATTATGTCTTTTCATCCATGAACATGGAATATCTTTACCTTTATTTACTTCTTTGATATCTTTCATCAGAGTTTTCTAATTTTTCTCATATAGATCTTGTACATATTTTGTTAGATTTATATCTAAGCATTTCATTTTTCTTGGTGCTAATGCATATAGTAATTTTTTAAATTTCAAATTCCACTTGTTTTTTGCTCAATATAAAAAAGCAATGGACTTTTGTATATTAACTTTGTATCTTGCCACCTTGGTATAATTGCTTATTAGTTTCAGGAGTTTTGTTGCCAATTTTGGGAGGGAGGATTTTCTATATAAATGATCACATCATCTATGAACTAAGATAATTTTATTTCTTCCTTCCCAGTGCATATACCTTTTATTTCCTTTTTTATCTTATTGAATTAGATAGGACCTCCAGTATGATATTGAAAAGGAGAGGGGATACTCTTGCCTTGTTCCTCATCTTAGAAGAAAAGTGTCTA
The DNA here is from genome assembly GCF_000001405.40 of Homo sapiens. NCBI lineage: Eukaryota > Metazoa > Chordata > Mammalia > Primates > Hominidae > Homo > Homo sapiens. The sequence goes on along the minus strand of NC_000005.10, from coordinate 172,518,526 downwards.
GTTTCTCACCATTACATATGATATTAGCTGTAGGGTTTTTTTTGTAAATGTTCAGTAAATTTATCTTTATTCCTAGTTTTTTGAGAGTTTTTATCACGAATGGGTGTTGAATTTTGTCAAATGCTTTTTCTGCACCTATTGATATGATCATGTGATATTCCTCTTTAGCCTGTTGATTAGTGGATTACATTAATTGTTTTTTTGAATGTTGAACCAGCCTTGAATACCTAGGGTAAATTCCACTGGTGGTGGGCTATAAATTTAATTTTTATATATTTTTTATTCAATTTGCTGATGTTTTGTTGATGATTTTTGCATTTACGTTCATGAGATATACTAGTCTGTAGTTTTCTTGTAATGTCTTTTTCTGGTTTTGGTATTAAGTTCATGCTGAGCATATAGAGTGAGTGAGAGAGTTACCAAGTATTCTGTCTAGTTTTATCTTCTGAAGAAGGTAGTAGATAATTTGTATAATTTATTCCTTAAATGTTTGGTAGAATTCACCAGTGAACCCATCTGGACTTGGTGCTTTCTGTTTTGCAATGTTATTAATAATTGATTGAATTTCATTAACAGATATAGTCTTATTCAGATTGTCCTTTTTTGCTCATGTAAGTTGTGGTAGATTGTATCTTTCAAAGAATTGGTCATTTCATCTAAGTTATCAAATTGGTTGGTATGGTTTTTCATAATATCTTTTATTATCTTTTAAATGTCTATGATATCTGGAGTAATGTCCCCTCCTATATTTCTGATATTAACAAGTATCTTCTGTCTTTTTTTCTTAGTTAGCCTGGCCAGAGGTCTATAAACCTCATTGATCTTTTCAAAGAACCAGCTTTTGATTTTGATTTTCTCTATTGATTTTCTGTTTTTAACTTCATTGATTTCTACTATAATTTTTATTATTTCTTCTGCTTACTTTGGATTTAATATGCTCTTTTTCAAGTTTTTTAAGGTGGAAGCTTTCATCATTGATTTTAGGTCTTCTTTTCTAGTGTATGTATTCAATGTGATAAATTTTCTTCTAAGCGTTGCTTTTACTGTATTCCACAAGGTTTGATAAGTTCTATGTTCATTTTCATTTCATCCAAAATATTTTTTAAATTTCTCATGAAAGCCAGGCATGGTGGCTCATGCCTATAATCCCAGCATTTTGGGAGGCCACAGTGGGCATATCACTTGAGCCCAGGAGCTTGAGACCAGCCTGGGCAACATGAAAAGACCCCACCTCTACAAAAAAAATACAAAAATTAGCCAGGTGTGGTGGTGTGCCCCTGTAGTCCCAGCTACTCAGGAGGCTAAGGCAGAAGGATCAATGGAGCCCAGGAAGCCGAGGCTGTAGTGAACCATGATGGTGCCACTGCACTCCAACCTGATAGAGTAAGACCTTATCAATCAGTCAATCAATCAAATAATCAGTTTCTCATGAAGTTTTCTTTGACCCATGTGTTATTTAGAAGTTTCTTGTTTAATCTCCAAGTTTTGGGGGAAATTTTCTAGTTATCTTTTTGTTATTCATTTCTAGTTTAATTCCACTGTGGTTTGAGAGAAGATATTGTGTGATTTCCATTCTTCCAAATTTGTTCAAGTGTGTTTTGTGGCTCAGAATCTATCTTGGTGAATGTTTCATGTGATCTTGAGGAGAAGGTTTAATCTGCAGTTCTTGGATGAAGTAGTCTGTAGATGTCTGTTATATCCAGTTGATTGATAGTGCTATTGAATTCAAGTATGTCCTTACTGATTTTCTACCTGATGGATCTATCCATTTCTGGTGTTTAAATCTCCAACTGTAATAATGTTTCATCTATTTCTCTTTGCAGCTCTATCAGTTTTTGTCTCATGTATTTTAACACTTTGTTGTTAGTTGCATACACATTAAAGATTCCTGTCTTCTTGGATTATTGGCCCTCTTATCATTATGTAATACCCCTCTTTATCCTTAATAATTTTCCTTGCGCTGAAGTCTGCTCTGTCTGAAATTAAAATACCTACTCCCACTTTCTTTTGATGAGTGTGAGCATGATATATATTTTGCCATCCCTTTACTTTTAACCTGTGTGTGTTTATATTTAAAGTGGTTTTCTTATAGAAAATATATATTTAGGTCTTGTTTTTGGTCCACTCTGACAATCTGTCTTTTAATTGGTGTACTTAGACCAATTTTTATGTTTAAAGTGATTATTGATCTAGTTGAATTATATCTACCATGTTTGTTACTGTTTCCTATTTGTTGCCCTTGTTCTTTGTTCCTACTTTAGTCTTCCACCATTTTTCTGCCTTTTGTGATTTTAATTGAGCATTTTATATAATTCCATTTTCTCTCTTTTCTTAGCATATCAGTTATACTTTTTTGTTTACCTCTTTTAGTGATTGCCCTAGAGTTTGCAATATACATTTACAGCTAATCCATGTCCACTTTCAAATAAAAATATACTGCCTCACGGATAGTGCAAGTACTATATAGTAATAAAATATTCCAGATTCTGTCTTCCTGTCACTGATACCATTGCTGTAATTCATGTCATTTATATATAATCATACATAAGCATATATATATATATACATATATCTAAGTACATTGTTGCTATTATTATTTTGGACAAACTGTTATCTCTTAGATCAGTTATGACTAAGAAAAACCAGTTTTTTTCATTTTACCTTCACTTATTCATTCTCTGATGCTCTTCCTTTCTTTATGTAGATCCAGTTTCCAACCTACATGTTTTCTTTCTCTCTGGAGAACTTTTTTTAACATTTCCTGCAAGGCAGGTCTACTGGCAACAAATTCCCTCAATTTTTATTTGAGAAAGTTTTTATTTTTTTCACTTTTGAAGAATAATTTCATAGGGTAAAAAGTTCTAGGTTGGTGGGTTTTTTCTCTCAACACTTTAAATATTCCATTCCACTCTCTTCTTGCTTGCATGGTTTCTGAGGAGAAGCCAGATGTAATTCTTATCTTTGCTTCTCTATGGGTAAGGCATTTTCCCCCTCTGGTTTTTTTTTTAAGGTTTTCTCTTTATTGTTGATTTTCTGAAGATTGAATATTATATCCTAGGTGCCGTTTTTCTGACGTTTATCTTGCTTGGTGTTCTGTGAGCTTTATGTAATCTGTTGTTTAGTGTCTGGCATTAATTTGAGGGAAATTCTTAGTCATTGTTGCTTCAAATATTGCTTCTGCTCCTGACTCTTTCTTCTCCTGATATTCCCATTACATGTATGTTACACCCTTTTGTAAGTTCTTCATAGTCTGTTCTTGGTTAGTGTGTTCTGGGTGGGTGGGGGGGTGGGGATTGGTCTTTTTTTTCTCTTTGCTTTTCAGTTTTGGAAGTCTCTACTGTCATACCTTCAGATCAGAGATTCTTTCCTCAGCCATATCGAGTCTACTAATAAGCTGATCAAAACCATTCTTCATTTCTGTTACACTGTTTTTGATGCCTAGAATTTCTTTTTTATTCTTTCTTAGAATTTCCATTCTTCTGCTTACATTATCCATTTGTTATTATATGCCTTCTACCTTTTTCATTAGAGCCCTTAGCATAATAATCATATTTTTAAAAACATTATTTGTCTTATAATTCTAACATTCCAGCCTTACCTGACTCCTGTCCTGATGTTTGTCCAGTCTCTTCAAAATGTGTTTTTGCTTTTTAGTATGTCTTGTAATTTCCTGTTGAAAGGTGGATGTGATGTACTGGGTAAAAGTAACTCCAGTAAATCGGCCTTTAATAATGTAGTGGTAAGGTGTGGGGGAGGGGAACCATTCTATAGTTCTATAATTAAGTCTCAACCTTTTTGTTTTGTTTTGTTTTGTTTTGTTTTGTTTTCACTCTTGTTACCCAGGCTGGAGTACAGTGGCACGATCTCAGCTCACTGCAACTTCCACCTCCCAGGTTCAAGCAATTCTTCTGCCTCAGCCTCCCAAGTAGCTGGGATTACAGGCATGTGCCACCATGCCCAGCTAATTTTGTGTTTTTAGCAGAGACAGGGTTTCTCCATGTTGGCCAGGCTGGTTTCAAACTCCTGACCTCAGGTGATCCACCCACCTCAGCCTCCCAAAGTGCTGTGATTACAGGCGTAAGCCACCACACCTGGCCTAAGTCTCAGTCTTTTGATGAACCTGTACCTCTGGACTGTGAACTTCATCAGTGCCTCTCAGTTTTGTTTTTCCCCCTATGTGTGACAGGATGACTAAGGCTGGCTGGAACTGGGTATTTCTCTTTCTATAGGCCAATCAGGCTCTGATATATCCCAGCAGATTAGAGTCTGGTAAAATAGTTTCTTCTGCAGGCAACCTTTGTTAAGAAGAACATAATGCTCTGGGGCAGTGGTCCCCAACCTTTTTGGCACCTGGGACAGACTTCGTGGAGACAATTTTTCCACAGCCAGAGTTGGGCAGGGGATAGTTTGGGATGAAACCGTTCCACCTCAGATCATCAGGCCTTCGTTCTCATAAGGAGCATGCAACCTAGATCCCTTGCATGAGCAGTTCACCATAGAGTTCACACTCTTATGAGAATCTAATGCCGCCACCCATCTGACAGGTGACAGAGCTCAGGCCATAATGCTTGGTCACCTGCCGCTCACCTCCTGCTGTATGGCCCAGTTCCTAACAGTCCTTGGACCAGTACTGGTCCACAGCCCAGGGGTTGGGGACCCCTGCTCTGGGGTATTTCAAAATGATTCATTTTCCCCTCTGCTGCTGGAAGCATAAGGGGATTTTCTCTCTGATTTTTCACTGTGAGGACCTAGTAGAGCTTCTGGAGATAAAACTCACAAAAGTGTGGTGGTCCTTCTATGACTGGGTCCCCCTGGAGTTTTAACTGTCAAACTAAGCCTCCACACTAAGCCTCTAGCAATTCACAGTTACAGTTCAGGTTTTCCTGTCCTGGCACTGACTCTCACGGAGGTTTCTACTCATGGTTTCTGCTCTGGTATGTTGTGATTCTCTATATTCACCCATCTGTCTCTCCAGTTTGGGGGCAGCCATTTGCCCGGTGACCTCACTTCTCTTACAGATACAAGAAAAGTTATCTTGCAGTTTGTTCAGCTTTTTACTTGTTAAGACAGAGTGGCAACTTCTAAGCTCCTTATATGATGGGCTGGAAACTAGAAGTCCCCTTCCTTCTTTTTATGGCCAAACAATATTCCGTTGTATGGATATACCACATTTTTAGCCATTCATCTATTGCTGGACATATGGGTTGTTTCTACCTTTTGGCTATTACAAATAATGCTGCTATAAATATGTGTACATGTTTTTGGGAGAACATATATTTTGATTTCTTGGGCATATACCTAGGAGTGGAAGTGCTGAGTCATATGGTAATTCTATGTTTAATTATTGAAGAATTGCCAAACTTTTTCCAAAGTAGCTGTGCCATTTTACTTTCCTACTAGCAGTGTATGAAAATTCCAGTTTCTCTACATCTTCACCAACATGTTATCCTTTTACTTTATTTTAGCCATTCTAGTGGGTATGAAAAAGTATCTGAATGGTTTTGACTTGTATTTCCCTGATGACTGATAAAATTGTACATATTTCCATGTGCTTATTGGCCACTTATGTATCTTCCTTGGAGAAATGTCTATTCAGATCCTTTGTTCATTTTTTAATTGGGTTATTTTTTATTATTATTGAGTTGTAAGAGTTTTTAATATATTCTAGATATACATTTTTATAAGATATATGATTTGCAAATATTTTCTCCTATCCTGTGGGTTGTCTTTTTTTTATAGTGTTCTTGGAAGCACAAAATATTTTCATTTTTATGAAATCCAATTTACCTATTTTTTCTGTTATTGCTCATCTTTCATTTCTGATCTTCCATCTGGAATTATTTTCTTCTGAAGAATACCTTTAGTGAGTGTCTACTGGTGACCATTTATCTGGGGAGTGTTTGGTCAAAAATTGCATTTATTTTACTTCCATTTCTACAGGATATTTCCATGTGTACTAAGTTAGGGGTTTGGGGTACTTTCCCCCAGTACATCAATGATGTTATTTTGCTGTTTTCTGACTTCCATTATTGCTATTGAGAAGTCAGCTGTTCTATCACTCCTTTGAAAATACTATCCCTTTTCTCCAGCTTCTTTTAAGATTGTTTTCTTCAGATTCACTATGATATACCAAGATATAGATTTTTTTTTTTGTATCCTACTTGGGCTTCTTGAATTCATGAATATTGAAATTGGTATTTTTCAACAGATCTGAAAATTCTCAGCCATCATCTCTTTGTATTTCTCTTTCCTTCTAGAACTCCACTCCAATTACAATAGTTAGAAGTTCTCACTGTGTTTTATCATTCTTTCTTAAATATATTTAGTCTTTTTGTCTCTCAGGATACATTCTGGATACTTTCTTCTGATCTGTCTTCCAGTTAATTAATTTTCTCTTCAGCTGTATCTAATGTACCATTAAACAGACTGTGAGTTCTTAATTTTTTTATTTTTTAGTTTTCAAAGTTTATTTTGTTTTTTCAATTTACAATATAGTTTCTCATAGTTTTTTGTCCCCCAATATTTCTTTAAGCATAGTACACATTTTCCTTATATTCTGTGTCTAACAATTCTAATAACTAAAGTTTTTGTGTGTGTGCTTCTGTTCTCACTCAGGTTTCTTATTTCCTTAAGTACCTGACTATTTTTCACTGTGTGCCAGACATTTGATTTGAAAAAGTATTTGTAAGAATGATTTGTTACCTAAAATGGTGCTATTTTTCTGCACAAAGGAATTTGGTTTGCTTTTACCAAGAGTCTGGAAACTCTACCAGCATGGAACCACCTTAATTCAAGTTCAAGGTTTGTTGTTTTCTGGATGACCTAGATGACTAGAACCTATAAGTCTGTGGGAATTCATTTACTTATGCTTTATCATAACTTTCAGAGATAGCCATTTGGGATCCCAGCCGAAAGGGAGGAAAGAGAACAGTTATCACAGGCCCTACTTTTGGTAGACTCTGGGCCTTATATTTTTTCCTGAGGCCACCAAGACCATAGCTGTTTCTTCTGGATTAGTAAATGTCCTTAGGGAAAATACAGCTTTGCATACCAGGTTTACTTCTCTGGGTTCTCATTTTTTACTGGATTTTAGTCAGCTAATTCTTTACTCTCTTATTAGCTCTTTGATACATTTAAGATGTTATTTTCCATATAGCTTTTCCCATTGTCCTCTTTGGATGGTTTGGTCCTAATTAACGGTCCCCCATACAGTGTCTCATGCAAGCTTCATGGCAGTTCTATTGGGTGAGAAAGCAAAGAAACTTTTTTATATGAGGAATGTGAGCCCCCTTTAAATTATCAGGCCCAGGGAGGCGTTGGAATGAGACAGCAGTTACATCCCACCCCATTCCCTTGAGCTAAGTAATCATCTCCTGAAGCCACTTGTTATTTGGACTCTAGACTCACTAACACCCCAAGAAACTATAAATTAAACTAACAATGTTGCACGTGGACATAATAACTCATAGCCTATACTAATATATAGCCAATTACTAATCAATGTTATTTCTGCTAACCTATGAGAATTCCAGAGAAACATCTTTTGTAATCACCCCCTCTCCTGATTCACCCTGTCTTCTTTCAAAGCTGGGGCCTCTCCTTTATTCTCCAGAGCACTTCCCAAGGTAACTTGGAAGTGTTTTCCAGGTTGCAGTCCTCAAATTTAACCCAAATAAACTCTCTACTTATATTAATTTTGCCTAAATTTCTTCCATGGGTACATAGTATTACTTACATTTTGTTGATGTAGAAACTAAGGCTCAGAATGGAGAAATGACTTGCCCCAGATTGCACAGAGGATGTGGTAGAGCATGAATTGGACATCAATTAGCAAAAGTTCCATTAACCACCTCTTTCATAAAACAGGTGCCAACTATATCTGCAAAACAGGCACAATGCCCTTCTCTACCAGATATCCGGGTGGATCAACTGACATTACAGTTTTGAAAGAATTTTCCAACGTGAAAAATTCTCTGCACACTGCAGAGGTGATTACAATGAAATTTTACTTAGCAATGACAATGACCTTTTATAGAAGTGGCTTTGATACTCACTGGGAACTACATTTTTAGCTTAGGAGTTGAAATTGGGATTAAAGTCACCTCCTCATTCATTGTATTCATGCCTTTAGCATGTAGTTAGCATCTACTCTGGGCAGACCTGTGCACAGAGATCTCCCGTCTCAGGGAGGATTGGACAAGACTGTATGATATGGTGTGATCAGTGCCTGGGGAGGTGCTGGGAGCAGTAGTAGGACAGCAGCAGTAATAAACAAAACAACTACCATTTATTGGGCAGTTACCATGTACCAAGCACTGACTACTCTGAATTAGATACACACACCCACACACACAAACATACACACACACATTTGGTCCTCAAGGTATGAGGAGGTATACTGATCACTTTCCAGCTGTGAGACCTTGGATAAGTTATTTTGCATTTTTGCACAATGCGACTAACAGTAGCCCCTACCTCCTAAATGCATCAATATAAAGAGTTTGATAAAGGCAGCTATTATATACTAGTCCTGTGGTCAGATGAAAACACCAAGGCTCAGAGAGTTTAATCTACCTGCCCGCCTTCCACAGCTGATAAACAAACATTACTCAGTACCTGCTGTGTGCGGGCCACAGTGCTAGGGGCTGGGCCATATTCAGAGCAAACATGGCCCCTTTCTCAGACGGCCGAAACAGCCCAGTATCCAACTCTAAAGGCTATGACTTTGCCCCAGCATGGGCAGCAGAGCATGGACAGGTCATGGGAGACTTCCCTAGGGAAATTCCTCCATCTGGCTTACAAAGCACAAAGACGGGTTTTGCAGATGGAAAAGTTGAGCAGGAGTGTTTCAGGCAGGGAGAACAATGCACGCCGAAAACGAGGGCACGGACCTTTTTCTTTCTTGTTCTGTCTGGGGAGGAGCACATCCTTCACCTGCATTTTCCATCCAAGTGCTGACGCAGCATCCTTGTTACAAGGAAGTAGGTCACATTTCCAGTCCCTCAAAAGGAAACTGCTACCTCCATTGTGACAGAGTGTGAAACAGCCACCTCCGCTGCCTCCCCCACGTGCCTGTGATCCTGGCTCCCTGGAGTTTGCTATTCCCAGAGCAGCTTTCCTCTCCCTGACCGCTGAGTGAGCCTTGCAGGGGAATTCAGCAGCAGCCCCTGAGCTGGCCCTGATAGAGGTGGGGGTGCGGTGGGGAGAATCTGAGGCTGGCGTGGGTGCCATAGCCCGCTTTCTGACGCAGCTGACTTGTACCAAGAGGGGAGTGGCTTTTCTCAGGGGGAAAAAAGCTCAGGTAGTGAACCTTGCAAAGGAAGTGGGGTCTCAAGCCCTACCTCGCCTATGATCTACTCACACAGAGCTTTGGAGCCTTTCTTTAGAGGACTGCAGAGACTCTGGGGTCATCTCAGTATGACAGTAAACCTAAGCCTGGGCAACAGATTACACCAAGGACCTGTGGCCATGGGCTCCATGCTGCCTGCATCTGCTTCTTGGAGCTGCCAAGGAAATGATTGATCCCAGGCCCAAGCCATGCAGCTAAGTGTTAGATTCGAGCTAATGATGCCGAGTTCTCTGCGAAAGAGTTCTCTGGGAGAGTGTGTAATGTGGTGGAAACGGTGAAGATTTGGAGACAGATGGGTATCATGAGCAGAACTGTCTCAAAAGGACCCCAGAATCTCATCCCATGTTGTCTAAGCAATGAGCTACAGGAGGACCACCCTGTTTCCACAGATTAATGGCCCCCTCTTCCCACCACCATGGCAGGGGAACTATAACATCCCACTGGCCCCCAAGATCCCCAAGGCCCCTGGATGCTGGCAGTCAGCATCCCCAAACAACCTCTGCAAACAGCCATCTCCCCAACTCCACTCCGCCTGGATCCAAGCAGCTGTGATGCTCCAGGGACTGAGCCACTCTCTCTCATGTTTGCCCTTTCAAAGGGAGACTCCAGGGAGAGAAGGAAGGGGCGTTGGGAGACCTCTGGCTCAGAAGACTTCAGACTGGGCCATTTCCCACTCTCAGTCCTCAGGGCCCCCTCCAATCCTGCCTCTTTGGAGAAGGAATGAAGCCCTGGGTGTGGACAGTGCCATCCAGGAAGGGCTCCACTGGGCAAGGACCTTCCCACTGTTGTTTTCCCCAAGTTCATTCCTGTATTAGTTTCCTAGGTCTGCCATGAAAAGTTACCACAAACTCGGTGGCTTGAAACAACAGAAATTTATTTTCTCATAGTTCTGGAGGTCAGAACTCCAAAACTGAGGTGTCAGCAGGACCAGGCTCCCTCTGGAGGCTCTGAGGCCGTCTCAACCCAGGCCTCTCTCCCAGCCTCTGGTGGCTGCCAGCAATCCTTGGTTTTCTTGGCTTGTAGCTGCGTCCCTCCAATCTCTGCCCCCATCTTCACATCACCTTCTCTCTTTGTGTCTGTCTTCTCCTCTGTGTATCTCTTTTAAAGACACTTGTCACTGGATTCAGGGTTAACTGGACAATCCAGGATAATCTCATCTCAAGATCCTTAACTTAAATACATTGACAAAGATGCCTTTCTCTCTCTCTCTTTTTTTTTTTTTTTTTTTTTTTTTTTTTTTTTTTTTTTTTTTTGAGACGGAGTCTCGCTCTGTCGCCCAGGCTGGGGTGCAGTGGCGCGACCTCGGCTCACTGCAACCTCTGCCTCCCAGGTTCAAGTTATTCTCCTTCCTCAGGCTCCCGAGTAGATGGGGTTACAGGCACCCACCACCACACCCAGATACTTTTTGTATTTTTAGTAGAGATGGGATTTCGCCATGTTGGCCAGGCTGGTCTTGAACTCCTGACTTCAGGTGATCCACTGGCCTTGGCCTCGCAAAGTGCTGGGATTACAGGTGTGAGCCACTGTGCCCGGCCCAAAGATGCCTTTTTCAAGTAAGGTTTCATTAGCAGGTTCCAAGGACATATCTTCTGGGGCGGCCACCATTCAACCTACTGCAAGCCCCTTCCAGTTTCTCCAGAAGATGTAATGGGTCTAATTTCACCATCTGGAGAGAAGACAAACCTGTTATGTGTCAGGTACTTTTACGTTCACTATCTCAAATCTTCTTCCTATTCCCTCTTTCCAGATGAGGAAATAGAGGATCAGAGATGTTAAGTAACTTGTCCAAGGCCACACAGCTAAAAAGTAACACCAGGGCATGACACGCCAGGTCTACCTGTGTCATACAAAGGAGTCCCTTCTGGATCTTCCTTGTCACACACCAGGGCTCAAGACAAATTCTACAATATCACATGGGACAGGTTAAGATACTTTCTTAGAGAGAGGGGGCACTCATATGAGCCAATGGTCAGTGAAAAGTGAGAAGACAGGGAGCCCCTCAAACCTCCCATCAGTCCCCAGAGAGGAGTGGCAGGGCCAGGGCACTGAGGCAGAGGTCAGATTGTTGGTGTCGAGAGAGCAGAGGGAGAGAGTTGGGCAAAGCCCTCCTGGTGAAGGGCCTGGTGGGGAGTTGGCATTTTCTCAGGATTTGGTAGCCAGCCATTGCAGGGTTGAGAGCTGACAAGTGAGGAGATCTCCTATACCTTATTTATTTATTTATTTTACTTTTTTTTTTTTTGGATGAAGTCTCGCTCTGTCACCCAGGCTAGAGTGCAGTGGCACGATCTCGATTCACTGCAACCTCCACCTCCTGAGCTCAAGCGATTCTCCTGCCTCAGCCTCCTGAGTCGCTGGGATTACACGCACGTGCCACCATGCCTGGTAATTTTTTCTATTTTTAGTAGAGACAGGGTTTCACCATGTTAGCCAAGCTGGTGTCGAACTGCTGACCTCAAGTGATCCACCTGCCTCGGCTTCCCAAAGTCCTGGGATTACAGGCGTGAGCTGCCGTGCCTGACCCCCATACCTTTTAAAAGCTCACCGTGTGAGGAAATATTAGACAAGCCGAGATGGAGGGAAGTGCTGTAAAATCATTGGACTGTATTCAAAATGCCAAGGTTGTGACAGGTGAAGACAGATGAAGGTACTGCTCCCAGGTAAAGGAGACTGAAGAGGCAGGAGGACAGAAGGTGATGTGTGAGCCAGACGCTCCTTCTGGGAGACAGGCAGCAGTGAACAGGGCTGCAGGTCTGCTACCTAGACCGTGTCACAAGCGCTGCTTTTGATCACCGTGCTGCAGTCATGTGAGTGTCTTTGTGTGTCGAAATGTCCCACTAGAGTATTTAGGGGTAAAGGGGCATCATGTTTGCAACTGACTCTAATGTTCTAGAAAAAATACATCTGTAGATAGAAAGAGACAAGCAAATGCAGGGAGTAGAGGGAAGGCTGTGTGGGAAGGCTTTGTACTATTGCCATTTTTCTGTAAGTCTAGGATTTCTGTTAAAAATTAAAAGAAAAAGGTGAGGCTTCTGTGTGGAGAGCTGACTGTAGAAGGGGCGAGAGTGAGAGCAGGGAGCGTGGGGAGGGGTCTGAGCAGCAGAGAGCCAGGAGCATTGGGGGTGGGGGTGGACCGTTGCGGCGGCAGTGGAGGTGGGGATGGGTGAGATGGGAGATACATGCTGATGATGGAGCCATCAGGACCTCCTGGTGGGTTGGACTTGGGGGCTTGGGGGAAAGACAATAATCAAGATCTTTTAACCGGGTGCAACAAAAATAGAAAGGGTGAATAAGACCTACTATTTGATAGCACAATAGAGTGACTATAGCCGTAGTAACTTAATTGTACATTTTAGAATAAGTTAGAGTGTAATTGAATTGTAACTCAAAGGATAAATGCTTGAGGGGATGGATACCCCATTCCCCATGACGTGGTTATTTCACATCGCATGCCTGTATCAAAACATCTCCTGTACCCCATCAACATATATATATCTACTATGTACTCACACACACACAAAAAAGATCTTACAGCTGAATGGAGGTCCTTTCCCAAAATGGGAAGGGCTGGGGGTGGGGGTGCCATTTAGGGTAATATCAAGAATCTGTGACCAGCAATGGCAAGGGTGTCTGGTTTCAAATGCCGACTCCAGAGCCGATGTCATGGAACAGTGTTTAATGCTGTGGAAGAGGACAAGCCCATCTAGGGAGTCGATGCAGGGTAAACAAGAGACGATGGAGTCGCCCATATTTAAAGTCTCTTAAGAGAAGAAACGGGTTCATTTTAAGCCCTAGGGGTGAGTGATTTACAATGATGATTTATTAAGTGCTTCCAGGGTACCAGGCACTGAGCAAGGCATTTTCGATTTAATATCTTTTCCTCTTCTCCCAATAGCCTTGTGAGATGAGCATCATTATCCCATTTAAAACATGATGTTACTAAGGCTCAGAGAGGTGAAGTAACTTGCCCAAGGTCACACAGCCAGCAAGCAGCAGAGCTGGGCTTTGAACCACATCCATCCCCTGCTAGAGAACCGGCCTGGGAGTTCCTGTTTTCCATCATGTCTTGCTCTGTTTCCCCATAGGACTGAGGTCTCACTTCTTTGAAAGGAAGCCACACAGCTGTTTTTTCCTGACAGCTGTGAGGCTACTTTCCAAGGGAGGGAGTCTTTTGTTGCCAATCCAGCCCCTTCCAGGAAAGAGTCCCTGAACTGCAGGATTCCACCCACCCTTGCTCCTCTGACATACAAAACTAGACCTGGCCGCTCCCAGGGCAAGCCCTTTGGCTCCCTGCATTTTCTGTTTCTCCTCCTCTGAAAACAGCTCCCAAGAGGGTGAGGCCCAGCATCCTGGGGCCCTGGTCCATTCTGTGGATGGATGCAAATTTGCACTCCTATACTTGTGTCATGTTGTTAACAGAGATCAATAGCAATGGCTATGAGTCATTGAGAACCTACTGCGTGTCAGGCTTTCTCTGTACATCAAGTCTAATTTCCCCAGGACCAGGTAAAATTGATATTCTCATCCTCACTTTCAATACAGGGAGCCTGTGGCTCAGAGGGTTGAGGGGGCCTATCTGAGGTCACAAGGCTGGGAAGAGTAGCTAAGCCAGCATTCAGCCCACAGCACAGAGCTGCCCTACTCGTGCTCAGTAATGACTTCTTCAATGGACTCAAGCTTTCTGGAGGTTCTGACCACAAAGCTCCATCCAGCTTCTGAGCTTCAGGGTCATGAACACAAGCCAAGCCAAAAGGCAAAAAAAGGTTTTGCTCCCCTGGCTCCAGCCCCTGCTCTAGGCCCTGACTTTCCAATATCCATGCCTTCTGCCTGCTCTCTGTGTTCTAGCACGGCCTCACCCCGCCACACCCAGCCCAGCCCAAGCCAGACTTGGTCTGCAAAACACTCTGTTTCTCATCCCACCTTGCGTCTGCTTCTCCTCTGGGCAGCCCCAGCCTGGAAGGAGGAAGAAGTGGGCGGTAGGGGCTGGGTGCAGCTGGGCCAGAAGAACAAAGAGAACTCCTTCTCAGAGGGCTGGAAGGCTCGGCAGCCTTGCTGCTTTGGGCCCAGACGCATTCCTTTGCACACTGCACAGCCCAGGAGAACAGGCCCGTTATGTCCAATTCCACAGCTGGGTACAGAGAGTCCACCACATCAGTCAGGGCTGTCTAACTGCTGTGGTGAACGGCCCCTCATCTCGGTGGCTTAGCATGATAAAGGGTGTTTACCTTTTGATTTTGTTTGCCCTTGTGCATGATGTCTGGTAATTACTTTACAATACTCCAGCAAACAATTTAAAATGGGGTCAGAGGCCAGGCGCGGTGGCTCACGCCTGTAATCCCAGCACTTTGGGAGGCCAAGGTGGGAGGATCATAAGGTCAAGAGATCGAGACCATCCTGGCCAACATGGTGAAACCCTGTCTCTACTAAAACTACAAAAATTAGCTGGGCGTGGTGGTGCGTGCCTGTAATCCCAGCTACTCGGGAGGCTGAGACAGGAGAATCGCTTGAACCCGGGAGGCGGAGGTTGCAGTGAGCCGAGATGGCACCACTGCACTCCAGCCTGGTGACAGAAAGAGACTCTGTCAAAAAACAAAACAAAACAGAAAAAAGAGTGCGGGGGGTGGTGGGGGTAGTTGAGTGGTGTATTAAAGAAGACTTGGAAAAATGTTGATAATTTCTGGAAACGGAATGATAGATGGCTAGGATGAGTTATTATAGTGTGCTCTCTGCTTCTTTTGTATATTTGAAGCCTTTACGTATGTTTATTTCTCCCTCATACAAAGTCTAATGCTGTGTTCCTGGCTTGTGGCTCTCATGGGTGGTTTTCCTCCAACGGTTGCCCTGAGACACAGGCCGCTTCTATCTTGAGGATCCTCTACCATCCTGTGGCCCCAAGGTTGTCCTGGTGTCATCCAAACAGCCAACTGGGAGAAGAAAGAGAAGATGGCATAGCCACTACTTAACCCCTCATCCTGACAGCACCTGGATCCCTCTGCTCACACTGCATTGCTGAAAACTAGTCATGTGGGAAGCAAGGAGTACTGGGAAATGTAGTTCTCGGCTGAACAGGCACCTACCAGCCAGCGCCACAACCAGACAGATGGTGTAAGGGGAACTTGACCTCTGTTGGTCAGTTGATCTTCTCAGCTACATCCACTGTGTGTTGGATGGGGCCATGTCAAGGGTGGTGCCCTAGGGAAGTGGCCTGGGCTCCTGTGAGAAGATGGCAAAGGGATTGGTAGGGGGTTGATAGGATGAACTTGTGAGTTGCGTATACCAGGCTTCCCAAACTTGTTCCATGATACACCTATGAAACAGTCTTGGCTCACAGAGAGAGGGAGGGTGATGGGGAAGGAGGCAACTCTCACCAGAGCTCTCTGGGCATTTCTCCTTCAACATACTGGTGCCCACCCCCCCCCACCACCTCCTCCTCAAAAGCGGCAAAGGAATCATTTTACAAAATGTGACCATTGGGGCGAAATAGGCACAAAGCACAAGCAGTCTCTCTGAGTCATTTCTTATGACTGTGAATCTGCAATTATCTCAAAATTTTTCAACACAAAAGTAGGGGAGTGGCCGGGCACGATGGCTCATGCCTGTAATCCCAGCACTTTAGGAGGTCGAGGCGGGCGAATCATGAGGTCAGGAGTTCAAGACCATCCTGGCCAACATGGAGATACCCCGTCTCTACTAAAAATACAAAAAAATTAGCTGGGTGTGATGGTGGGCACCTGTAATTCCAGTTATTCAAGAGGCTGAGGCAGGAGAATCGCTTGAACCCGGGAAGCAGAGGTTGCAGTGAGCCAAGATCACGCCACTGCACTCCAGCCTGGCCGACAGTGCAAGACTCTGTCTCACACACACACACACACACACAAAATAAGTTGGGGGGAGTGGCACAAACAAGACCCTGGAAGACCCCAAGGCACTGGAGAGTGCCCTAGGATGAACAAAGGGCCTCTTTCTCCAGTCCCCACCCTTCCTCCCAGGTCCCCCAGGGTGGTCGCTTCAAAGTCCAGATCGGCCTGACTACTCCGCTGCCCTGCTTAATTCTGTGGCTTACAAGATGGTGTCCAGTCTCTGTCACAATGCCTCATGGTCTGACTCTTCCCAAACCATCTCTCCATCCATAACCTCTTCCCTCTGCATGTGCACCCCATCAATCACTCCAAGCCCTAGCTGTTATCCAAACCCACTGTGCTTTCTTCCCCTTGGTCCTTACCACGTGCTGTCCCTTTCAGCCCCACTCCACACGTGGAAAATGCCCATACATGTTCCGAGACTCCCCTGCCCTGCAATGTCACCTCCTCTGGGCTCTAGGCTCTATGTTCATCTTCAATCCCAGCATTCAGTTGTCTACCTCAGTTTGTGGGTCTTTCTCTCTTGCTAGACTGTAAGCTCTTTGGGTGCAGACACTGTGACCCACTCATTTTGATGTCCGTAGTTCTCAGCATAAGGCCTGGGAAGGACTAGTTCTCACTAAAATGTTAATGACTGGCTATATGGAGAAATGAATGAATGAATGAATTAATTAATTAATCCGTGAGGGAATGGGGAAGATAGCACTATGTCTTCTGCTTGTCTAGTAGGGTTGTTGGCAAGTTTAAATGGTCCTCAGAGGGGATCCTGGGATCACTCTCAGCTGCTGCACCACGCTCCCATCCCACCACCTACCCACGCTTCACTTAACCCGCCAGATCCTTCTAGAGCCTGGCCAGGCATTGTAGTGTAGTGGGAAGACAAGGAGACCTGCAACTGGACAGCCATGGCCTCAGAGCCTGACTCTGCCAATTCCTAGCTGTGTGTTCTTACACACCCTAGCTCAAGTTTCTGGGCCTCAGTTTCCTTCTCTGTGAAATGGACACAATCACTGCTCCTCCCAGAGTTGATATGAGGATTACAGGAGGAGTGTATGTAGGAACACCCAGTACAGCTCAACGAATATTTGTTCCCATCCGAAAAAGCCCCTCCCCTTGCCCATTAGCGACCCTTCTTACCTTTCAAATCTTTGATGAATGAATGGTGAGCACTGCACAGCCCATGACTGTTAGTCCGGGATCCCCAGGTGGATCATTAAAGCCTTGAAAGCAAGGGCCTGTGGGGACTATTTCCTCAGTCACCCAGAGGACCCAGCTCAGCAGAAAGCATGTATTGGGTTCAAGCGGGAAATCAAAGCATCATTATGATCATCTTGCCCTTTCCTCGAGAAACACCCTGGAGGGTCACTGTGGCAAGATGACCAGCTCCCATTTTTAAGCACCTACTATGTGCTTTGCATTTTACATTTATTTTTACATTTAAGCTTAACTATACAACAATTTGAAGGAGGTACTCTCATTATCATCATTTTTAAAACTATTAATATTTATTTTCTACTACATAATTTAATAACGTTTCAAAAATTAAAGGAACACAGTGAGAAGTCTCATCCTGCTCCTATTCTCCTCGTTTAAAGAATCATTTTTATTAGTTTCTAGTGTATTCCCCGAGAGTCTGTTTATGTAAATACCAGAACATATTCTTAAATCCCCCTTTTCTGGCTGGGCGTGGTTGCTGACATCTATAATCCCAGCACTTTGGGAGGCAGAGGCAGGAGGATCGCTTGAGCCCAGGAGTTTGAGGCCAGCCTGGGTGACACAGTGAGACCTTGTTGCTACAAAAAATTTAAAAATCAGCCAGGCATGGTGGTGCACACCTGTAATCCCAACTGTTTAGGGGTCTGAGGTGAGAGGATTGCTTGAGCCCAAGAGGTCGAGGCTACAGTGACCTATGATCATGCCACTGCACTCCAGCCTGGGCAACAGAGCAAGACCCTGCCTCAAAAAAAAAAAGTTCCCCCTTTACTTATACAAAAGGGAAACACTGTCCTACACTTTGCACTTTCCCTCTACATTTTATCTTAAAGGTCTTTCTATATCAATACATAGAGAATCTCTTGACTTTGCCCCACTGTCTGGAGGTAATTTTAGGCTGTAGGAACCAAAGCTCAGAGAGGCAAAGCTACTTGCTCAAGGTCACACAGACAGGAAGTAAAAAGAAGGACTTACTCCCAGGTCCCCAGGTCCTGCCCTTCTCTCTCTCTCTCTCTCTCTCTCTGTCTCTCTCTCTCTCTGTGTCTCTGTAGAAACAGGGTCTCATTCTGTCACCCAGGCTGGAGTGCAGTGGCATGATCATAGCTCACTATAACCTTGAACTCCTGGCTTCAAGTGATCCTCCCGCCTCAGTTTCCCCAGTAGCCAGGACTATAATAGGCATATGCCACCACACCCAGCTACTTTTTTAAAATCTTTTTTTGTGGAGACAAAGTTTTGCTGTCTCCCAGGCTGGTCTTGAACTTCTGGGCTCAAGAGATCCTCCTACGTTGGCCTCCTGAAGTGCTGGAATTATAAGCATGAGCCACGGCGCCCAGCCCTCCCCTCCTCTTTTCTTTTCACACCTAGAGAAGCTTCCCCAAGTCTCTCTGGAAAACACAGTGCACACAAGAGTACATTTTGAAAAGGGGCTGCTTCACTCATCAGCTTCCCTGGCTAAGAAAGCTGGCTCTGGGCACCTGGAAATACCTGAAGAAGCTGAAAAGACCTGGATCCCAGCATCAGCTAGGTGATCTGTAATGCTGGTCCTAGAGAGGCTGCCTGGGTTCCAGTCCAGGCCCTGCCACTGAGTGGCATATGACACTGGCCATGAGACCAAATTTCTCTGAGCCTCAGCTTCACCATCTGTAAAATGGGAATGACTGTTGTATTCGTCAGGGTTTTCCAGAGAAATAGAGCTGATAGGAGGTAATGGATAGAAATGTAGACTTATTTTAAGGAATTGGCTCATGTGGTTGTGGGGGCTGGTAAGTCCAAAATCCGTAGGGTGGCCCAGCAGGCTGGAAACTCAGAGAGGATTTCCTTACTACAGTTGAGGGAAAATTGTTCCTTCTTCGGGAAACCTTGGTGTTTGCTCTTAAGGCCTTCACCTGACTAGGTGAGGCCTACTCACATTATCAAGGGTAATATTTTTTACTTAAAGTCAACTGATTATAGATGCTAATCAGGTCTCACTCTGTCACCCAGCCTGGAGTCCAGTGGCATGATGATAGCTCACTATAGTCTCAAACTCCTGGCTTCACAGCAATATCTAGACTAGCAGTGGACCAAACCACTGGGCGCAGTAGACTAACCAAGGTGACAAAACCATCACAGCAGTCATACCCCACAGGAAAGTGGTGAGAAGAGGGTTGGGCACAGCATGGAAACAGATGCAGTCAATGCAATTGAGTGCTAGCTGCCATATTGTTCACTGCGCTACCGTGGGGTGTTTCTGTGTTTGAGGAGGCATGAGAGCAGTTACACAGGGTGCCCTGAGCCAGGCCCTGGAGGGACAGAGGTGATGAGGTCAGGGTATGAGCCCCTGAAGAGCTCAGAGGAGGGGCTGAGAGGGACAGAAACGCAGAAACTCAGACCACAGTCTGTGGCAACACTGAGAGAATGCCTCTGACTGGACAGCACGCAGAAGCCTGTGGAACCCCAGCCAGTAAGAAGTGAGCGAGGGACGGCTTCTCAGAGAAGGGTACAAAAATGACTTGTTTTAAATTATTTTAAAAATAAATAAAGCAGGCAGGGGCACAGTGGCTCATGCCTGTAATCCCAGCACTTTGGGAAGCCAAGGCGGGCGGATCACGAGATCAGATCGAGACCATCCTGGCTAATACAGTGAAACCCGTCTCTACTAAAAAAAATACAAAAAATTAGCCAGGCATGGTGGCGCATGCCTGTAATCCCAGCTACCCGGGAGGCTGAGGCAGGAGAATCGCTTGAACCTGGGAGGCAGAGGTTGCAGTGAGCCAAGACTGCACCACTGCACTCCAGCCTGGGTGATGGAGCGAGCCTCTGTCTCAATAAATAAATAAATAAAGCAGAATTAGCCAAGTGAAGAAAGAAGAAAGGGCAAAAGAATAGAGGAACATTCCAGGCAGACCAGCAAGCACTAAGCCTTGGAGGTGTGAGAGAGGCAGGGAACTGGCGTGATGGGGGGCCAAGTGCTGCGGCTAGAGAGGGCTGAGGGACCCGGTCACTCCGGCGTGGTGGGCCAGGCCGAGGAGTCGGCCTTCCTCTCCACAGTAACACAGCTTGCACAAGCACTCACTATGTGCTAGGCACGACACTGAATAGGCCTCACAGGAATTGCTGATTTTCACCCCTGCTCTCATAGGAGGTAGGTGCTATTAGCATCCCTGTCGGGTCATTGCAAAGCCACGCAAAGCTAGAAGTGGTGGGCTGAGATTCAAGTCCACACCACTGGCTCCAGAGATGAGGGGGGTGACAGGGGGCTGGGGGTGAACATGGGGATGCTGGGATGGCTGGGCAGGGTTTAGATTGCTTTGTTGAATTTCAGGCAATGGGAACAACCGAGGTAGAGGGGTCAGTAGCACTTGGAGACGCGAATGCTGGAGACACAAATTCAGACCCACCATCAGCAGCAGAAGTTGGCCATGCTCTCAGCAATGCTCACCCAGCACGTACCAGCCTAAATCCTCCCCAAATCCCTGCAGAAGGGGTATAATCATTTTCATTCCAAGATGAAGAGACTGAGGCTCTCACCCAAGCCACCCCTGGCTATAAAGGAGGCTGGGAATACAGAGGGCCCCAGGCTGTCTGCATCACCACCCTGAGTAGAATCAGGGTTCTGTAGGCAAGGATGACTTGGGAAATGGGTATCGGGTTGGAAATTGACAGCATCTGCTCCATGGAGGCTCAGAGAGGTCAGATATTAGCCCAAGTGACACAGCTGATACATTTCTACCGGGGTTTAAACTCTGTCCAATGTTGTCTGTGCACCCCTTCCCCGGACTCAGCTGCCTTCCAGGAACTGATCTGCTCAGCATTGCACTAAAGCCAACCATTCACTCACGCATCCCGGCTCTTTCATTCCTTCACCCCCAGCACTGCCTGCCAGCACTGGGCTCCGGCCATCTGCCCTTGATTCTATGAGCACTTCCTGCCATGGGCTGTCCTGCTACAACGGCTCTAAAGCTCCCTTGGCCACAGTCCATGCATGCCCAAAACTCTGATTCCTGTTTTTATCTGTCATTCTTTCCAGGTTCTCTGTTCTCCAACCCTTCCTCCCCCACCCCTTCTTTCCCTAGAGGCTTCCTCAGCCCCAAAGACCACAGAGAATGAATGACATCATCTGAGCTCAGACCTCGCTGGGCCCAATTATCAGGCTATAAGTGGAAGCGCCCTACATTTTCCCACAGGAAAGTGCCCTCCCACACTCCCGACTTGCTGCTCCTGGGGACCTTGGCAGAGTCCACAGGCTCTGGCCTGAAGAAAACCGAGCCCCTTCCCCATGGGCACACTGTTCAGGTCTCTTTTCTATCCACTGGGCTTTGGAGACATTCTCAAGCTCCCAACCTGGGCATGAGGCAGCTTTCTGTAGAAGGGAGGCAGTACCATGGGATCATTAAATCAGCCGCGTGGAAGCCTTTTGGACCTACCTACACTGGCGTCCAGCTCCTCCTTTTTCCACCTCTGTGACCTTGGCCAAGTGGCTTCAGGGTTCTGGGATTCTATTGTCTCATTTTAAATTGGAGAAAATAACAGATATCATATCATTAAATCCTTTTAACAGTCCTCTGAGGTACACATATTATTCCCATCTTAAGATGAGTAACTGTATTAGTCTGTTCTCACGCTGCTAATAAAGACATACCCGAGAATGGGTAATTTATAAAGGAAAAAGGTTTAATTGACTCACGCTCCACATGGCTGGGGAGGCCTCACAATCATGGTGGAGGGCGAATGAGGAGCAGTCACATCTTACATGGTGGCAGGCAAGAGAGCATGTGCAGGGGAACTCCCCTTTATAAAACCATCTGATCTTATGAGACTTATTCAGTATCACTAGAACAACACAGGAAAGACCCACCCTCGTGATTCAATTACCCCTCATCAGGTCTCTCCCATGACACATAGGAATTATGGGAGCTACAGTTCAAAATGAGATTTGGATGGAGACACAGCCAAACCATATCACTAACCAAGGACAAAGAGTTAGACAACTGTACAAAGCCACAGTTTGTCAATGGTGGCACCAGGGCCTGGATTAGAACCCCTGATATCAGGAGATTTCTGAACTGCCGAGGAGTGTCTGGAAGCTCATTCACTGGTGAAGGTGGGAGGGTGAGGGGGGAAGGTTCTTAGCTTCCAGACTTGGCTTGGGGCAGAGGGCAAGTTACTTTCTTGGGGACTCAGCTTTTCCAGCTGTAAAATGGGGATGACAGTCCTTGCTTCAGAGCTGCCGTGAAGACCTCAGGAGGTAAGGCTTCCTGGATCTCCACCATTCCTGCATTGCAGGCCAGTTTTCAGCTCCCCTGTGTTATTCACTGATGACTTTTTCTTCTTTAAATAGACTAAGATTTATTATTCAAATATATGTATTGAAATGAAATTCCCTATCACTACCATAAAAAGAAGACCAGGCACATTCACTGTAAATAACAGGTAACCATGAAAATAAATACAGTGAAGCCAAAAGTCGGGCTTTCCAGCTGCAAAAGAGTGTTAAACGGGTGTTTAAAGACCTGATTTCACTGACCTGCTGACCTGACCTGCCCTGGGTCCCCTTCCCACCCCTTCCTGACTCCTGGTTGGTGCTCAGAAATGGAAATGTTAGCTCCCCTCTTCCACCCCAGTCCCTCCCAGAACAGGCTACTCACGGGAAGAAGCTGGCCTTCCTCCTCCAAAGGGCAGAGCAACCACAGCAACAAGCAACAACCTCCAATTACACTCAGATGCCATCCCTACCATCACTTACCGCCTTGAAAGAGGGCTGAGGTTTACTGCTGACCATAACTAAACGTGGCATGTGGCGTGGCAGACCATGGCACGTTGTCCCCAGCAACTGTCCTGAGCTTTCTGACACTGGAGCTAAATGGCTCTCATGGGTGCTGGGAACCTGCTGTGCTCTAAAACATCTTTGGCTCCCCACTGCCTGGAGGAACAAATCCACCTCAGCCCTCCAACTGTATCCTCATTGTCCTCGGGGTATATTCTCAAGACTCCTTCCCCTAAATCTGAACCTTCCCTTGACTATCTTGTAGGCTGAATGCCCTTAGGCGAAGCACTCAAACTCTCTGAGTCCCAGAGCTCCAGGAGGGCAAGATCCCCTATTTCATTGGCTCCTCCAGAGGCCCTAAGAAGAGAACGTCCCTAGGCAGCAGTGCCTTGCTTTCCATGGGGCTGTGATCCCTCTGGCAATGTTAGCACGTGGTTTTCCAGTCTGCACTGGCTTCCCCAGCTGGGCCCTCTCTGCTCACAGTGCTTGTCCTCTACTGCCTGTGACCTCCCTCATGCTTGGCTCTCAGCTTAGGGTCACCTCCTCCAGGAAGTCCTTCCTGACTTCAGACTGGCTCATGTCCCTGTTACTGCTCCAAAAACAAGTGTCCCCTTCAGAACACCACTTTGATTATCTAAACTGCAGTCCCTGCTCCTAAGCTCCATGTAGCCCAGAGCTATGTCACTTCTGTTGCTCCTCTGGCCCCAGCACCTCTTCCAGAGCCTGGCACAGGATCAGAGCCCAAAAATGGATCCTGTCATTAGAATGTTGGTACTCATCAGCCTGGGGGAAACAGGTGGTGTGTCCACCTCTCTATCTTACTCCTGTTGTCTGGATGGTGCATGTCCTTCTCCTTCTTTGTTTTTTTTTTTCCTTTGGTTTTTTTTTTTTTTTTGAGACAGAGTCTCACTCATGTCGCCCAGGATGGAGTGCAGTGGTGCGATTTCGGCTCACTGCAACCTCCGCCTCCCAGGTTCAACCAATTCTCCTGCCTCAGCCTCCCAAGTAACTGGGATTACAGGCACCCGCCGCCAGGCCCGGATAACTTTTGTATTTTTAGTAGATACCATTTTTAGTTTCGCCATGTTGGCCAGGCTGGTGTCAAACTCCTGATCTCAGGTGATCCACCCGCCTTGGCCTCCTAAAGTGCTGGGATTTCAGGCGTGAGCCACTGCACCCAGCCCTTCTCCTTTTTCTCTGCCAGTACACACCCCTATCCCATCTTGTCCCATTTACAAACCTTTTTTCTTTGGATCCTCACAGCCTCCCTGTGAGGCAGCAAAGCAGATTTCCATTGGATTTTAGACACAGAAACTGAGGTCCAAGGAGCAAACATGACTTGCCTGAGCTCCCAAATCTAAGAAGTGTCCAGACCTTGAAGCAAACTAGAACCCCTATTTTGAAACTCAGCCCTGAGTTCAGCTTTGAGCTCCTGGGCTCAAGTGATCCTCCCACCTCAGCCTCAGAGTAGCTGGGATTACAGACTTCAGCCACAATAGCAGCCTAACATCTAGTTCTAAATGGCTCCAACTTCATTCTCACTTTAAAGAATCCCCTTTTCCATTCTCACGGGTGCTCATCTAGTAAGGAGTCAAGAAGGTGCTAGAATGCAATTTCTCACCAGAGACTCCCTGGTCAGCAGGGCTCGTAGTTCCCTATTACAGGCTGATAGTGCTAATGGCTTCACAGGTTGTCCAAGGTTCCTGGAAGACCCAGAAGCCAGAAGAAGGGAAGGGGCGGGGGTATAGCTCAGGGGTAGAGCATCGGACTGCAGAAGAAGGGAAGCTGGAGACGCAAGCATCCATGGATAAAGCTGGAGACGCAAGCATCCGTGGATAAAGCTGGAGACGCAAGCATCCGTGGATAAAGCTGGAGACGCAAGCATCCGTGGATAAAGCTGGAGACGCAAGCATCCGTGGATAAAGCTGGAGACGCAAGCATCCGTGGATAAAGCTGGAGACGCAAGCATCTGTGGATAAAGCACACCACTGCCTCTTCAGGGAGGGGTTGAGAGGCTCGTGGTCTGGAGGGGGTCCCAGCTGCAGACATGTGAGAGTCCTCAAAGACCTGCCCTGGGCTAAGAGCATTGTCTCAACATCTGGCTCCGGTCTGCTCCGCTTCCAGCTGTGTGGACTTGAGTAAGCCTGGCCTGGCTGAGCCTCAGTTTTCTCATCTGTCATGTAGGATGACAGTATGTGTGCCTCCTCCCAGGGCTGTGGAGGGGCATACGGTAAACAAGATCATGTGCATATCTCTCAGGCCAGGCACAGGGCATCACACTGAAGGAATGACAGGAGGCCAGGCGCGATGGCTCATGCCTGTAATCCCAGCACTTTAGGAGGCCAAGGCAGGTGGATCACCTGAGGTCGGGTGTTTGAGACCATCCTGGCCAACAGGGTGAACCCCCATCTCTACTAAAAATACAAAAATTAGCTGGGCATGGTGGCGTGCACCTGTAATCCCTGCTACTGCTACTCGGGAGGCTGAGGCAGGAGAATCGCTTGAACCCAGGAGGTGGAGGTTGTTGCAGTGAGCTGAGATTGCACCACTGCACTCCAGTCTGGGCGATAGAGCGAAACTCAGTCTCAAAAAAATAAAAGAGAAAGAAATGACAGGGATGAGGCAGAGAGCGGTGGCAGCAGCTCTTCAGGTGTGTGAAGACAGACTTGTGGGCCCCTCACCCTTTCCTTCCACAGGCTGGGAGTCCTCGTTCCTCCAGTGGTTCTTCAGGAGGGAAGGAGACCAGGAAATCTGGAATGATCTGACCTGGAAGGGAAGGAGGCCATCTCGGGCACTCTGCGGCCTCAGCATCTCATATTCCTCCCAAAGTCTCTTTCCTTACTGTGGCCTCCAAGGGCCCCCACCTCTGGTCCCAAGCCCCAATCTAACCCCATCTCCTACCACTCTTCATGCCCTACACCAGACCAGCCTCCTTGCCGCACTTCGAACACACCAAGCAGCCTCCAGTCTCCGGGCCTTTGCACTTGCTGTGATCCTGCCTAGAATGTTCTTCCTGGACCTTTAAAGTTCAGTCCCTTGCTTCGTTTAGGCCTCAGCTCAAATGTCACCTCTTCAGAGAGGCCCTTCCTGGCCACCCCATCTAAACTAGCAGCCCGTCCCTGCTACGGGGGTTTTTCTGCCCACTGTCCCCAACCCCAGGCTGCACAGCAGTCAGGTAAGTTGACAGACCCCATTGCGGGGATGACCTGTGACAGGCCTAGCCACTTACAGTGCCCATGGCCCTGCATGCCATCTCGTCTCTTATCTTCTCTTTTCCCTCAGCCCATCCGTTAGCACTTATCCTTCCCTAAAATTATTTCATGCATCTATTTACATGCTTGTTAATTGTCTGTTACCTCAGAAATAAAATATAAGCCCCACAAGGGCAAAAGCTGTGCTTTGTTCACTGCGGTACCCACAGCACACAGAGCAGCAGTGGATGCCCAACAAATACTGACTCCCCTTCAGATGAGCACATGCCTTTCATTCATCCCTAGTTTGGCCATTTCATAGCAGTGAGACCTTGGAAAAGTCACTTCTCCCTGCCTCTCAGTGTTCTTATTCATACAGTGTGGCTAACCACCCCTTACGTGCAAGAGTGTCACCACTGCAGGACGCAGCTGTGGGAAGAAAGGCCCTGTGCTGTGTACAGCAGGTCCTGCTTGCCCCGCCTTCAGTGCAGATCCTCTAGGAACAGGTGACACGTGTCACCTCAACGCTTTTGCTTAGCTCGGGGAGGGAACCTGTATAGAAGGGCTTCTCACCATCACCCCACCCTGCTCCCCAGCTGGGCTTTTTGCACGGGTTCCTGCAGACCTCATGAATAACTGATGATGCGTGGGTCCCTTTCTGATCTTCTCATAGTCCCTAGGGAAGAAAAGAAGTCTCTGTCTTGTTTTGATCCCTTGACTTGGCCTCCCTGTCTGCAGGTGAGTCACCCTGTCTTCATCCTGCAGCTGCTCCCAGCAGATGACCCGAGGCCTCCCCTTGGAACCCCAGAAGCAGGGCCGGGAAAAGAGCCTCCCCAGAGTGTGGGTGGCCAGTAGGCAGCCGGGCCTCAGGAGCAGCATGCCCAAGCTGGCCTGGCATTCTAGAAGCAATTCCTGCTCACCTGCAGATGCCAGGCAGAATGCCCATTCCTTCCCAGGCACCCTCAGGCCCAGTCCTGAGACTAAGCCAGGAGCTACCTGAGGAAACACATGTGCCTAAGGATGGACCGTCTGTGCCCCTGTGGGGAGCCATGCACAGTTCCTGGGTACTGACCAGGGACAGCCACCGTGTTGGACGCTTCACATCTTGTCTCATTCCTTCCCCCAAGCCCCCTAGAGAAGCAGGGTGGTTGGTCTCATTACACACCTGAGGAGGCAACAGAGAGGTGAAGTAACTTGCCTAAAGTCACACAGCTGGCAAGTGGCAGATCTCTCTGGCTCCATATCAGCAGGGAGACATGCCACACATTTCGGGAGAGCTTCTGGGACTGCCCACTCTATCAGGCCAGGGCCTAGAGTCATGCTTGACTAGCGAGGGCCCAGCTAGTTCCTTGACAGCCCCCACCACCCACCCCAGGACACAGAAGAGACATTGCAGGAATGACCCCCGCCATGGCCCATACTTCACCCACCTCCACTTAGGAGCATTTATTTACCCCTGCCTCTTGCAATGAATCACACGCCTGGCTGATCACTCCCCTAAGCTGAGCACTCCCCTGGGAGTCAAAACCCCTGAATTCTGCCATCAGCTCTGGCCCCGAGCTGCTGTGTGACCTGGACAAGTCATAACTTTCCTGTTTCCTCGCTCATAAAATGATAGATTTTGATATTCTCTCTTGGGAAATCTAGGTTCTAAAAGCAACAATCCCCGTGGGGTGATTTTTATTTTTATCTTTTTTGTTGTTGTTTGTTGTTGAGATGGAGTCTTGCTCTCTTTGCCTAGGCTGGAGTGCAGTGGCACAATCTCGGCTCACTGCAACCTCCGCCTCCCGGGTTCAAGTGATTCTCCTGCCTCAGCCTCCCAAGTAGCTGGGATTACAGGCGCCGCCCTCATGCCCAGCTAATTTTTTTAATTTTAGTAGAGACGGGGTTTCACCATGTTGGCCAGGCTGGTCTCGAACTCCTGATCTCAAGTGATCCGCCTGCCTCGGCCTCCTAAAGTGCTTGGAATACAGCCATGAGCCACCACACCCGGCCACCACAGGGTGATATTTAAAGCACTGGGGTAGTTGCACCTCTCCCCCCAGGTCAGGTAGCCCGACTGTGGGGTGCGTGTGGACGCAGGAGCCTCCATCCTCACCTATGATCCGACACCCGCTTCATCTTCCAACCTCGCGGGCACACGGAGAAGGCTCCATGTTCCTGTTGCCTCAGGGGCGCAGGGCTTTTGCCGCCCACTGTCCTTGAGGCAGTCAGGGAAATTGACTGACCCCACTCCACGGTGGACTTGTGACTGGCCTGGCCACCTCAAGTGCCTATGCCCCAGCTGAGCTGGCCCGCTCCAGGGAGAGCCTGTGACCCTAGATGACCCATCAGAAGGAAACTCCAGGCTTTGCTGGGAATGCTGCAGAGAGGTGCCTGTTCTTCCCACTCGATGCGAATGAAGGAAGATGTAGCTCTGGGTGCTGCTGGCAGCTGTCTTGGGACCAGAGGGAAGGTCAACCCAACCACAGGGGCCCCGCTGAAGAAGCCAACCCCTGAAATGGAGAGAAACTGAGAAGTCCTGGAGGATGCTGCCTTGGACAGCAGAGCACATGAGCTTTTACTCTGTCATTTGCAACCAAAGAACCCTGATACTGACTGATATGGTTGGGATTTGTGTCCCCGCCCAAATCTCATGTTAAACTGTAATCCCCAATGTTGGAGGAGGGGCCTGGTGTGAGGTGATTGGATCATGCGGGTGGATTCCCCCTTGCTGTTCTCATGATAGTGAGTGAGTTCTCATGAGATCTGGTTGTTTACAAGTGTGCGGTACCTCCCCTTCCCTATCTTCCTCCTGCTCCGGCCCTAGGATGATGCACCTCCTTCCTCTTCACCTTCTGCCATGATTATAAGTTTCCTGAGGCCTCCCCCTAGCCATGCTTTCTGTACAGCCTGCAGAACCGTGAGCCAATTAAACCTCTTCTCTTTATAAATTACCCAGTTTCATGTATTTCTTTATAGCAGTGCGAAAATGGACTAAGACACATGCAGATGATCAACACATATGAATCAATGAAGTTTATTCCAGAACTCAATACCTCCATCTTACATGTGGTAGGGCCCTTGAAGAGCAGGTGAGCTGAGGCTGGCTAAGATCCTGCAGTGTGCTCAGGACACAGCCTGCTACTGCCAGGTAGGAAACATGAAGTGCTCAGAGTCAGGAAGTGTTGAGCCCAGACTGGGGCCCACGCTGACCTGAGCATAATTCCACAGAAGCACGGGAAGTGGGTTTTCCTATCTCGTTTGGTCAAGAGGCCTATTCATATCTAAAGATGGTCTCTTTTTCCCTTCCAGACTGGTCACCAGTTCTACTTTTTCCACATGGTTGGGATGTCTGATAGACTTCTGTTGGGGAGGGCATCAGCAGCTTCCCAGTGGCTGTGATCCAAGCCCCCAACATGGGCCTCCCCACTGAGGACCCTCGAAGGCCCACTCCCACATCACAGCTCGCCATTTCTTCCCAAGGGAAGTTCTGAGGAGTCCCAGCCCTGCCCTCTCCCCTCTGGATTTCCACAAAACCTTCTCCTCCCGCTTCTCTTCTCTCTGGGGCCACACGGCCACCCAACAAGGCTCCGATCTCCAGGGCTGTCCCTCCCAGGAGTGCCTCTGATTGGCCACTCCCCTCTCGGCCGTACCCCCAAGCCTCCCGTCTGAGGCACTGTTAGGAACAGAGGCTCGTTCAGGCGTCTGACACCGCAACAGAGTGCCAGTCACGAGGCCATGCCTGGAGATGGAAGCCAGGCAGACTGGGGACCTCGCAGACACCTGCCATGCACCAGGCAGGGGGAAACCATGAGGAACAGGACAAAGATGGAATCACCACGCGGAGTTTACAGCCCAGCAACCGCAAACTGTCATCACCCCATGCATACAACTGGCTGCGGTCATGTTTAACCCTCCTCCACACACACCACCATCACAGAGTTCTATGAGTCCAAGTAACTCCATATAAACACCTAGGAAAAGGTTTGGAAGGATCTGCACCAAACTGTTAACAGTGGTTACCCCTGGAGGGGGGGGCTGTTCAAAGCGACTTTAGCCCATCTACGGTGCTTGCTTTTCTTCCTGAACTCCCTTTCCCATCGTGGAGAATGTATTCTTATTTTATTCATGCTCCTAAAAATTAATTTTGAAAAACTAGCAAATATGCAAACATTGTTAAATAATGAAAACTGTGCGTTTTTCTGGGAAGAGCGTGTCCAGGGTGCTGACTGCTTATCTCAAGACAAAGAGTGGGAAGTGACGAAGCGGAAGCACCCCACGCTCTGAAGAGGGACGCAGGGGCTCCATCCCTACCTCTGATCGCTTCTCTGGGAGGTGATGCACCCCCACAGGCCTTGCCCCCAGGGCTCGGGAATTTCCTGGAAGCCTGAGGCATCATGAGAAAAAGCATCTTCTCATGGCCTTCCTTCGGGCAGAAGGAGTTGAGTGAATGTCTTTTAATTAGCATTTTTATCATTTTTCTGTATTTTATAAAATCCAGTGTGTGGTGGGGGAGCGGGAGCAGGGTGAGGCTTCAGAGAGGAGAGGCCAGGGTTTCACAGGGTTTGATACCCAGGAGAGAAATGCTTTCTGGACAAATCCAGCCTCAAGGCCAAACAAGCCTTTGGAAAACAATTTTTAAAAAATATTATGTATCCTGTGTTTTAACGACAAAAGTAACACATGAAAAGGTTCTCTTAACAATTGGAACAATCCTGATGAAGTGAAGGTCCCCTGCCCCACACTCCCCATCCCGTCCCCTCTGAAGGTTGACCATCCTACTCCATTTGGCTAACATCCTTCCAGAACTTTCTCAAAGCCTTGATAGCCATACCTGGACCTACTGAAATAGGAAATCTTGCTTTGCCTCTGTTTTTTAATAAGTACATGCTGTACACGTTCTCTTACAACTTCTTTTTCTCTTAACAAGTCTTAGAAATCTAAGTTGGTTCACACAGATCTTTTTTGTTTTTTTAAATATGACAAAGGACTATAGTATTAATGTGCCATACCTTATTTAATACTATTTAATACGGTATTAATAATAATTATTATTATTATAAATATAAGTATAAATAATAATATTTAATACGATTAATACTATTTAATACGGTGATTATTTAAAACAAAATGCTTCACTGATTTACAAAGAAAAGAAGCCTCTGCCCCTCCACCACACTTGCGTCTCTCACCTCAGTTTTCTCACCTGTGAAATGGGGGCATTTGCCTAAATGATCTCTATGGCCATTTGCACAGCCTGTGATTATAAACATTTTCCCTGCCCCATACAGATGCCCCTGTTGAAGTTCCCCCTGCTGTGTCTGGTTTCCTCTGGGACCCTGGCTTTCCCAAGTCTGTCTGTGAGTCAGCCGAGGACCCCTCCTCTCCTTGTCCTGCCCCCTCTGCCCTGACTTCCAAGCTCACTCCAGCAACTCTGACAAGCCTGTGACAGGAGAACACAGGCGCGCCCTCCGAGCTCCCGCAGCTGCCTTAAAATAGCAGCTTTGTCTCACTCCATGCTTTTCTGACGCAGCCACGCTTGGTCCTGTCTGGAACTGTCTGGAAACAGAGACAACGGGCCCATCACCGTCACCAACTCTCAGAACATGGAGGCCTCATACAAAGGACAAATCTTCTGCCCCAATGTCCTTTCTGATCAACGCCAAGGGGCGGGGGACTCAGGCAGAAGAGAGAGGCTGGAACAGGCCTGACTGCACGCTCCCACCTGCAGTAGGGGATGGCCAACGCTCTTGTCCTTCTGCCCTCCAAGAGGGTTGTCTAACCAAGGCACTGAGTTTAGGTTTGACTCAGCACAGCTCTGCTTCCCACGAGATAATAATATATTCTATGAGCCCATTTAGTGACACAAAAACCCCATGAGGTAGGTTCTGCTGTTGCCTCTACTTGGCAGATAAAAACACTGAAACAAGTACCCCAGGTAAACACAGCTATTCAGGGGCAGAGCCGGGCCCAGGCCCAGGCAGTCTGTACTCCAATTCACTATTCTATATGTTCTCCATAACCTTTTGGAGGGATGGAAAGGACTTTTCAAATTGAGAGTGGTGGTAATAAAAGGACTTACCTCAGAGGACCATGGGGTATGATGAAAGAGCCATTTATGGAGACTGGGTTCCAATTGCAAGCTTCTTCTCACCACAGGGCCTTTGCATATGCGGCTTCCTGTGCCTGGAACATCCTTCCCATCCTACTCACCCTTCTGCCTATCCTCCCTTTGCCTAACTTTTCCAAGGCTAACTTCCTTTTATCTTTTATGTGAGGCAGCAGCCAGAGTCACTCACTCACTCATTTCATTCATTCATTTGTTCATTCATTCACTCACTCACAAAGTATGTATTATGCACCTTCTATGTGCCTGGCATTGTGTTATTGACAAGATAGACACAGCTCCCGCCCTGGAGAGGCTTATGGACCACAGCTGATTGGAAAGTGCTCAGCCAAGAGACTGGCACATAGTAGGTCTTCAGTAAACAAATGCA
Source organism: Homo sapiens (assembly GCF_000001405.40). Classification (NCBI taxonomy): domain Eukaryota; kingdom Metazoa; phylum Chordata; class Mammalia; order Primates; family Hominidae; genus Homo; species Homo sapiens. The sequence goes on along the minus strand of NC_000005.10, from coordinate 172,485,689 downwards.
GACTTGGAGTAGTTATGGCAATGCACAGTTGAGGACATGGAAGTGGGAGAACTCTGTTCCTGGGAGAGCACTCTTGTCACCTCCTCACACCCTGCTCCATGCTTCTGGGCACCGTCTTTCCAAGATGGTGAGAATGGAAACTGCCTTCCACTCCCCAAGCCATTTCACAGAAAAATTACTGCAAAACCTCCCAGATCATCAACAGGACCCAGGCTGCTCTGAGTCCTCCATGCTACAGTTGTCATAGCAGCCAACCGGGTTCTCACCCACCCCAGGATCCTATTCATTTTCTTGATTCCACCAAATTCCCTGAGGCCATTCTGTGACAAGCCCCATGCCAGGTCTCAGAGTTACAGAGGAAATTAGACACTGTCTTGAATCCAGAGACAACCCAGTAGGAAGGAGTCTCAAAGAAGATTGGTGGACTTGATCCCCCACACACATGCACACACACACGAGCATGCACACAGCACACACATGCACACACACACGAGCATTCACACGGCACACACATGCACACACGCACGAGCATGCACACGGCACACACATGCACACACGCATGAGCATGCACACAGCACACACATGCACACACACAAGCATGCACACAGCACATACATGCACACACGCACTAGCATGCACACAGCACACACATGCACATACAAGCATGCACACAGCACACACATGCACATACAAGCATGCGCTCACACACACAAGCATGCACACATGCACGAGCATGCACACAGCACACACATGCACACACGCACGAGCATGCACACAGCACACACATGCACACACACACGAGCATGCACACAGCACACACAGGCACACACACACACAAGCATGCACACAGCACACACAGGCACACACACGAGCATGCACACAGCACACACATGCACATACACACGAGCATGCATAACACAGCACACACATGCACACACGCATGAGCATGCACACAGCACACACATGCACATACAAGCATGCACTCACACACACAAGCATGCACACATGCACGAGCATGCACACAGCACACACATGCACACATGCATGAGCATGCACACAGCACACACATGCACACAGCACACACATGCACATACAAGCATGCACTCACACACGCATGCACACTCGCACGAGCATGCACACATACACACACGAGCATGCACACACACACAAGCATGCACACATGCACACTCCAGACCCCCGTGCACAAGGAAGTGGAAAATCAAGCCACTCACAAGCTTGTAGAGGGAACAGACGAACATAGATTATGAAACAATGCTCTGATGGCAATTTCAGGGGGCAGTGGAGTGCACCTCGGCAGCCACTGTTGTTTGCCAGCTGTATTAGTTATCTACTGCCACATAACAAGTTACCCCCAAACTTGGCAGCCCAAAACAATAGACGTCCGACATTTCATGTGGTTCTAAGGGTCAGGAATCCAGAAGCACTCAGCTGCGTGCCTCTTGCTCATGGTCTCTCGGAGGGGGTGGCAGTCAAGCTCTCAGCCAGGGCCACAGCCTCTGAAGGGGCTGGGGATCTGCTCCCAGGCATGCTAGTATGGCTGTGGGCTTCAGCTCCTGGCCACATGGGCCTCTCTGCTCAAGACACGGCCTCCCCCAGAATAAGCAACCCAAGGGGAAGAGAGAGCACACGAGTTAGCAAGAGAGAAGCCAAGATGGAAACCACAGTGCTTACAACCTCATCTCAAAAGCAAAATACCATCACCTCTGCCCCATGCTATTGGTCACACAAACCAACCCAGTGCAAGGTGAGAGGTAGCAATACAAGGCTGGGCATCGCAGCAGGTGGAATCGTTGGGGGCCATCCTGGCGGCCAACGACCACACTAACTAATAACCTTTCCCCCTTCTCTCTTGCTAATAAAACCCCAATTTTGATCAGATGATTCCTCTTTAGCTCCAAAGAGAGAATCTGATTGGTTTGAGTGAATCATGTGATCCCATATTCCTTATCTGGAATTAGTTTAGAATGTGCCAATGACCCAATCCTGGCCATGGAAACCTGAGGGGAAGTCTGCAGACGGGCTCCTGAGAAAGCTTCTCCTCCCCGCTATGGAAAACAAAGTACCACCCCTCTCTGGATGTCATATGCAGATTTGTCTGGAGCTGTGGCAGCCATTTTGTCATCATGAGGGGAGTCATCACCAACAACCTAGATGGCAAAGAAGAAAGACCTGGTTGTGGCTGGGTGTGGTGGCTCACGCCTGTAATCCCAGCACTTTGGGATGCTGATGCGGACTGATCACCTGAGGTCAGGAGTTCAAGACCAGCCTGGCCAACATGGTGAAAACACCATCTCTACAAAAATAGAAAAAGTAGCCAGGCATGATGGCGGGTGCCTGTAATCCCAGCTACTCAGGAGGCTGAGGTAGGAGAATCACTTGATCCTGGGAGGCAGAGGTTGCAGTGAGCCGAGATCACACCATTGCACTCCAACCTGGGGGACTAAGCAAGACTCCATCTCAAAAAAAAAAAAAAAAGAAAGACCTGGTTGTCCCTGAATCAAACAATCTTGGAACTGTCCTACCTCCAGGTTGCTTGTTAAATGAAATGATCGATTTCTCATTGCTTAAGCTTCTTTTAGTTGAGGGGTCTGTTACATACTGCCAAAAGCACACCAATAGAAACAGGCACCTCCCCAAGCATGGGGAAGTCAGGGAAGGCTTTGAGAAGAGTCATCTTTAGGTTGGGCCTTGATGAATAATTAGGAGTTCACCAGGTCAACCAGGGTGGAAAGCACTGCAGACAGTGGCAAGAGCATGACAAAGACCCAGAGGTCTGGAAGAACAGGGGCTGCCGGTTCCGGAGCGTAAGACATATGAGCTTGAGCAGCAGCGGGAAGAGGCGATGCGGGAGGGTGAGTAGGATCCGGGTCATGAGGGACCCATCAGGCAAGCAGGCAGGCTACAGTGGCCTGACTTTACCTAGAAGGTGATGGAAGCCACAAAGAGGAATGTGGTGAAGCCCTCTGGAAGGACCTCTCTGGAGGCAGCATGGAGATGCCGGGGAAGCCGGAGGCAGAAGGAAAGCAGGGCCTGGGTGTGCTGCATGCGTGGACCTGTCCCAGGCCAGCAGCGTGGCTGGCTGCCAAGAGGTGAACACCAGGCAGCACCCAGGACCCGGCTGGACGCACCTGCCCCACCACCCAAGAGGCTGAAAGGAGGGATTTCACTTGCTAGAGTGTGGCAAAGTGGGATTGCATCACGCTTTAAAACCATCCACTGGTTTCCCATCACACTAAGAGTAAAATCCAAATTCCCTCCCTGGCCTCAAAGGCCCCACATCGTATTTCCTCCACTATCCCCAGATTCTAGTACTACTCATGGCACAACAGTGGACACAGAGGAATGTCTGTTCAGCTCATGCCCACATCTTCATCTTCATGTGGAATCTGAGGCCACTCAGACAGAGAAGAAATCAGCCTCATCAGCAGGAAGATACCCATCAGTTTTCCCATCTTGCTGTTATGTCTAAACTGATCTCTGGCAGATTATATAAGAAACTTAGAGGGCAGAGACTGTGACTTTTACATGCACAGGGTCTGAGTGCAGTCCTCCAGCTAGGTATTTAACAAGCACTTGCTGGTCGTGCAAACCAATGATGATGATGATGATGATGATGATGATCAGTCTGACAATCATGGAACAGCTGGAGATTGTGAAAATACAGAAAGCTAAGGTGGGGCCCTAACCTTGAACAGTTTATAATCGAAACAGACAAGCCACACAGAATGCTGATGATAATAGCACACACAGACAAAGGGCACAGGCTCCGGAGTCAGACAGGCTTTCATTTCAAACTCCAGCTCCACTGCTTGCTGCTGTGTGACCTGGAAAAATCCTCAACCTCTCTGTGCCTCTTTGTTCTCACCTACAGATGAAGATAGTCACTGTTACCTCAAAGGGCTATAAAAGCGTGGCTCAGCACACAGTAAGTCCTCCACAAATGATCATCAGGATTACAATTATAATCCTGATTACAACAGTTATGTTGTAAAAGAAAAACCTTACCATGTGGAGCAGCCATCCCCAACCTTTTTGGCACAAGGGACTGGTTTTGTGGAAGACAAAATACACGGTCCAAAACCATGGACAGGGCGGGGAGAGCAGGGGATGGTTTTGGGATGATTCAAGCACATTACATGTATTGTGCACTTTATTTCTATTATTATTACATTGTAATGTATAATGAAATAATTACACAACTCACCATCGTGTAGAGTAGTGGGAGCCCTGAGCTTGTTTTCCTGCAACTAGACGGTCCTATCTAGGGGTGATGGGAGACAGTGACAGATCATCAGGCATTAGATTCTTATAAGGAGCCGCAACCCAGATCCCTCACATGCGCAGCTCACAATAGGTTTTGTGCTCCTATTCAAATCTAATGTTGCCACTGCTCTGACAGGAGGCAGAGTTCAAGGGTAATGTGAGCGACGGGGAGCAACTGTAAATACAGATGAAGTTTCCCTCACTCACTTACCCACTGCTCACCTCCTGCTATGCGGCCTGGTTTCTAACAGGCCACAGACCCACACCAGTCCATGGCCCCAGGGTTGGGGCCCCCTGTTTTAGAGATACATATTATAATAGTTACAAGTAAAATTGATGAAACAAGAGTGGCCAGAAGTTGAAGACATAGCTGCAAGATCAGTACATTGGACTTCAAATTATATTATTCTCTATGTTTTTATTTGTTTTTGAAATTTTTCATCATAAAAAGTATATTAGGCCAGGTGTGGAGGCTTATGCCTGTAATCTCAGCACTTTGGGAGGCTGAGGTGGGAGGACTGCTTGAGTTCAGGAGTTTGAGACCAGCCTGAGCAATATAGCAAGACCTCGTCTCTACTAAAAAAATAAAAATAAAAATAAAATTAGCCAGGCATGGTGGTGCGCATCTGCAGTCCCAGCTACTTGGGAGGCTGGGACCGGAGGATTGCTTGAGCCTGGGAGGCAGAGACTGCAGTGAGCTTGATCACACCACAGCCCTCCAGCCTGAGTGACAGAGTGAGACTCTGTCTCACCAAAAAAATAAAGAGTATATTAGCCAGGTGCAGTGGTACACACCTGTAGTCCCAGCTACTTGGGAGGCTGAGGCAGGAGAATCACTTGAAGCCAGGAGTGCGAGGCTACAGTGTATGAGGATCATGCCTGTGATTAGCCGCTGTACTCCAGCCTGGGCAACATAGCCAGATCTCATCTTTAAAAAAAAAAAAAAAAAGCATATTTAAAAAGTTCTTCAAAGAACATGTAAGAAAGATACTCTAATTTCCCTGTTTTTCAGATGAGAATATGAGTCTCAGAGAGGTTAAGTTATTTGTCCAAAGTCACACAGCTCATGTGGCAACGGAGCCCGAATTCATACCCAGGTCAACAGGACTCTAGAACCCAGACTCTAACCATAACACCAGTCATCAGGAAAAAAATTACAAGACAACCAAAAATCGGTGCACATGTTCACTGAGAGATATATTTAGTCAAACAACTAAAAAAAGAACTGCTTTTAAAGGCCCAAACTGAAATGTAAATTGAAGGGAAACTTACTTCTTTCAATGATTCACTTGGGAGGAAAAAAGAAACTCTGCTCCTCTTTACTCATTTTCTTCAGTGCCTCTTTTTCTCTAAGGATCAGAGTTAGAGAGGGTGGTAATAAACAGTAATAGCAATACATGTGTCCTATCTTGCCACAAGGCCGGCCACTCTCCCTGCGTCTTCCAGAGGCTTCCCGCACAGGCCTGGGCACAGCATGGACGCTCCACAAAAGGCTGCCAATCTAAGACTGGTGGTGGTGGGAGGGGTGCACCCCACCATGGTTCCCTGGAGCCCCACAGTCTGGGTTCAAATCCAGTTTGCCCCTTGAGCTGTGTGACCTTGAGCAAGTCACTCTCCCGCTGGGACTCTTGCAGGGCCCTGAGCACTGTGCTGGACAAGTAGGCCTCACCGAGGAAGGGTTCCCCCCACCACCACTGCTCCTCCCTCTCGCAGAAGCAAGCCTTGCTGAGTAACACGAAGCATCAATCCAGCACCCTGTGTGAAACCATCGTAAGTTGTGAATGAGTGGAAATTGACTTACTAAGGCTGGGGCTGAATCATTCCCTGCATCTTCCGCATCTGCGGGGGCTCCCGGCGCAGAAGGCAGATGAATGGGCAGGGCGTGTGTCCCTGACAGCAGCAGCTCCAGCGTCTTCAGGTGCCACACTGCCTCCAGACGGCTTCCCTTTCACGGGGAGTGCATGGCGGGAGCTCACCTGTGTGCCTGGGGCATGTTCTTTGGAAGGCGGGGTCCCCAGCAGGGTGTTGGGAATGGAGGCAGTGGTCCCAGCCATGGGCAGCTCAGAAAGATCAGCTGTCTGTCCCCTCATTTCACACGAGGAAGCAACTGATTGAGAAACAAATTAGAATCTGAAGGGTTTGCCATTCATCCAGGACTCCCTCTGTCTGTCTGTCTGTCTGTGTGCCTGAGGATCGTTTGAAGGGCGGTGACAAAGCCCTCTGGTGGCGAGTCAGCCCGCTTCTCAGGGACGTCCACTGAGCACACGAGGAATAAGAAGGCAGTGAGTGCCCCCATCTGGCAGGAGTCAAGAATGTAGGACTCCTGATAAAAGATCCTAGAGGAATGACAATAGCCCCAAGGTGACATCATAGCAGGTTTAATGAGCACCTACTGTGTGCCAGGCTCATTTCATATGCTATCTCATTTAATCCTCACAATCACCCCCACGAAGCCCCATTTTACAGAAAAGAAAACTGAGGCTCCAAGGGGTTTACTGCTCTGGCCAAGGTCACTCAGTTATTCCATAGCACAACCACAATCAAACTCCGGGTCCAGGCTTTATTTGCCAGAGGGAGAAGGAGAGACGAAAAGAATGAAAATAACATTTATTGAGCATCATCTGTGTCCCACTTCTATGGACTGAATGGTGACCCCCCAAAATTCATGTTGAATCCCTAACACCCAATGTGATGGTACTTGGAGATGGGCCTTTGGAAGGTAATGAGGGTTAGACGACATCATGAGGGCAAGGAATTAACACCCTTGTGATGGAATTAACACCCTTATAAGAAAAGATACCAGAGAGCTCCCTCTCATTCTCCATCTTGTGAGGACACAGTAAGAAGGTGGCTGTCTGCACGTCAGGAAGAGAGTCCTCACCAGGATCTGAATTGGCCAGCACCTCCAACTTGAATTTCTAGCCTCCAGAACTTTGAGAAATAAATGTCTGTTGTTCCAGTCATGCAGTCTATGGTATTTTGTTACGGCAGCCTGAGCTGATAAGACAGCAGATAGCATGGCCCTCATGATAAGAGCAGCCCACACTTACTGAGTGCTTACTGTGTGCCACGCATGCAGTGTCTGAGGGCATTACCCAAACCACTGGTTTTCATTAATCCTCACAATAACCCTGCAAAGTAAGTACAATACATATCCTGATTTAGAAATGAGACACAGGGAAGATAAGTAACCCACTCCTGATAAAAGATCCTAGAGGAATGACAATAGCCCCAAGGTGACATCATAGCAGGTTTAATGAGCACCTACTGTGTGCCAGGCTCATTTCATATGCTATCTCATTTAATCCTCACAATCACCCCCACGAAGCCCCATTTTACAGAAAAGAAAACTGAGGCTCCAAGGGGTTTACTGCTCTGGCCAAGGTCACTCAGTTATTCCATAGCACAACACAGAAGCCAGAGCCTGTGTATGTAAGGGGCAGATCCGGCAGACAGAAATTACTGGCAATGCTAAGTGTGATCATGTGGTGTGCCAGTTCAGGTCCTCCAGGAAGTGGATGCCAAGATAGGATTCAATGTGCAAGAGAAAGAGATGTATTGGTGGAAACACCTGTGTAGGACAGAGAGGGAGCAGAAGGCAGCAGGGAGAGTTTGGGTGCTGTGCACATTTAACACCTAGGAAAGGAGAGCAAGAGGGAAGGACTGGGGAGGAAGAGCGCCAGACAGCAGCAGAATTCCGGGAATGTCTTGGCCAGGCTGATAGGGAGTTCCCAAGTCAAGGCGCTGATAGAGGAATCCCACATAGGGCAGGAATGGCCTGGTTCTAGTATTCCCACTGTGTTCAGTTGTGGCTGTGTCAAGTGTGACAGCAGAGTAGACCACTGGTGGGTTAAAAGTTACGGCCACTGAACTGTCCATCAAATGTGCTTCCCACAGTGGGTCCTCTTGAAGGGAGAGCTGAACAGAGCACCTTGGTGGCTGTCATGCTTGGTGTAGGTGGCATCCACCAGACCGCCCGGCCACTCCATTGTACCCTATACCTATTGTGATTGATCTCATGCATGGGACAATTCTTTGAGACCATGTGAATATTCTATACTCCAACAACCTATCTGTCTATTGGTTTTAGCATTTACTGATATGATCTTTGAACCAATTATGGGTTGCAAGATGATGATTTTCTGATCCTTTCATGGCTTTCGAATGCATTAGTTCTGTTGTTCTGTAAGACAGAACTCCCTTCTGCCTTTTTTAGTGTCACCATAAACTCATGGAGTTTTTCATTTACTATGTGATAAGCCATTCCCATCACTCTTCTTTCAATATTTCAGTTGTTCCCGAGTAGACCATCGGAGCCTCGTCCAACAGATCCTGTGTCCTTTTATTAATAGTTTGTCCACATCAGTCTTTGAGCCCTTCCTTTTGCTCCAGACTCACCTTGTATGTTCCCTGTCCATTACTTTGAGGAGTTGGTGAGGAATGGTCTTTAGAAACCAAGATCTGGGGAAAGGTGTCCTCACTGCTGTTTTAGTTAAATTTTAATTATTAGCTTACAATGATTGTTCCAAATCAAATTCAACACCCCAGGTTTCTCCCACGCTTTCCTTATGCCATACTTTTTTTTTTTTTTTTTTTTGAGACAGAGTTTTGCTCAGTCGCCCACACTGGAGTGCAGTGGCATGATCTCGGCTCACTGCAAGCTCCGCCTCCTGGGTTCACGCCATTCTCCTGCCTCAGCCTCCCAAGTAGCTGGGATTACAGGTGCCCGCCACTACGCCCGGCTAATTTTTTTGTATTTTTAGTAGAGACGGGGTTTCACCGTGTTAGCCAGGATGGTCTCGATCTCCTAACCTCATGATCCTCCCATCTGGGCCTCCCAAAGTGCTGGGATTACAGGCGTGAGCCACCATGCCCGGCCCCCTATGCCATACTTGAACCTCTCTTCTTCCACAGTGAGAACTCTGGCTGACAGTAACATCCATATATTAACTCCACTTCACAGTGCAAACGAATAACTACACCAATGCCACTACTGACAACTGCTCTACCAAGTTCATGGTTTAGTGGCGGTTATTTCATCCTTAAAATATAGCCCACTAAGAGTGTGCACGCACAGTCCTGGAATTACTTCCACTGTCAGTGTGGTTGCTATCAATTTGACAGGCAAGTTCGTTTGTTTCTATTGCTTTTCCCATCATTTGGTTTTTCTCTTTTTTGAGACAGAGTCTTGCTCTGTCACCCAGGCTGGAGTGCAGTGGTGCCATCTTGGCTCACTGCAACCTCCCGGGTTCAAGTGATTCTCCTGTCTCAGCCTCCTGAGTAGCTGGGATTACAGGCGCGTGCCACCACGCCTGGCTGATTTTTTGTATTTTTAGTAGAGACGAGGTTTCACCACGTTGGCCAGGCTGGTCATGAACTCCTGACCTCGTGATCCACCCACCTCAGCCTCTCAACGTGCTGGGATTACAGGCGTGAGCCTGTGGCCTCCCATCATTTTTATTTAATTTTGTATTCAGTAAATCATTTATATGGCTCAAAACTCAAAAATTGTAAAAAGATAGTGACTCTTTCATCTCTACCCTTTTCTCCCCATTTATTACTTTCATAGGTAATCATTTTCATTATTTCTGGACTTACTCTTCCCACATTCCATTTTTATAAATTGTAATGGTTTTACAAAAAAAAAATGGAACTTTTTTGCACTTAAAAATATATTTTGGAAACAACTCCATTCGGCTCATAGAAATCCTCTCAAATTTATTTTTTCATTAAATTTGAATTACTCAAGTAAACACAACTCTCATCTTTGTTTTTTAAAAGTTGAACATTGCATGCAAGGCTGAAGGCCTCTCTCACTGCCCTCCAACCTCCTAACCCTCCTGGAGCCCTCCTAGAGCTTGGTCTTCCTCCTCCAGACCTTTCCCCATGCAGGTATAAACTTCTATTTATTCTTGGAGGTTTCTTTGCATAGATGGTATCACATTATAAAATTATTCTGCGCCAGGCACGGTGGCTCATACCCGTAATCCCAGCACTTTGAGAGGCCGAGGCAGGTGGATCACCTGAGATCAGGAGTTCCAGACCAGCCTGGCCAACATGACGAAACCCCATCTTTACTAAAAATACAAAAATTAGCCAGGCATGGTAGCAGATGTCTGTAATCCCAGCTACTCTGGAGGCTGAGGCAGGAGAATCTCTTGAACCTGGGAGGCAGAGGTTGCAGTGAGCTCTCACTGCACTCCAGCCTGGGTGACAGAGCAAGACTTCATCTCAAAAAAAAAAAAAAAATATATATATATATATATATATATATATAGCCTTACTGTATTTTTTATCTTAATTAGAGTCTTAGGGGGGCACCCCTTTTAATTTTGCATCTGAGACAAATATCTTACTCAGCTCACCTTAATCCTGGCCCTGCCTTGTGCAATTATTTAACTCTTTTATGCCTCAGTTTCCCCATCTGTGAAATGGGAGGAATAATAGCACCTCCCTGACAATGTAAATAAGCTAAGATATGTACAGAGCTTCAATCAGAGCTCAGCAGGTGCTAGTTAAGTATTATCTATTATTATGATGGCCATCATGCCAGGCACATAGCACACAGTTAATGTTGGACAACAAATGAAAGCTACAGTAGCTACTGCATGCCTAAGAGTTGGTTCAGATCTCTTATAATCATCACATCAAACAAGATTTTGCCATAATTCTCTAGGAAATACCATGTACTTGATGTTTCTTTTTGCCCCACAATGATTTGTTTCCAATGTAATCTCACAGTTGTTTTATGAAGGATAAAAAGTTCCTCACTCCAATCATTCAGCATTCTTGTAAAACCCCATTATCGCTAGCCACAATTACATCTCGCCTCTTCCTGCAAGCTCTCTGCTACTCCGGGATCCCTGTCTGGACTTCAGTTACAAATGCATCTCAATTGCCTGTCAACACGGCCTTCACTGCCTGCTTTCCTCTACATTCAGTCTAACTCACAAAACACATTTACACAAATGTTCTTTCCACTACTTACATTTCCTGCCAGTGTGAAAACCTAAGCAGTGCGGGGCAGTCCTGCCTCCCTCGTTACTTACCACCTTTTAACTCAGTCATCCATCTTTCAACTCTTCATTCGATTTGTTACATTGTCTGTCTGTGCTAGCTTGCTTTAAAATACAGTTTAATCACTTTGGGAGGCCGAGGAGGGTGGATCACCCGAGATCAGGAGTTCAAGACCAGTCTGGTCAACATGGTGAAACCCCATCTCTGCTAAAAATACAAAAATCAGCTGGGCATGGTCGCGGGCGCCTGTAATCCCAGCTACTCGGGAGGCTGGGGCAGAAGAATCGCTTGAATACAGGAAGCAGAGGTTGCAGTGAGCCGAGATCGCACCATTGCACTCCAGCCTGGGCGACAGTAAGACTCCGTCTCAAAAAACTAAATAAAAATAAAAATTAATTAATTAATTAATTAAATAAAAAACAGCTTAATGATTAATCTTTCTCTTATTAAATTGTTCCTTTTCCCTTTTACTCTAACATATTAATTCTTTTTCTTCCATTTTTCATGCCTTTTCTACTTGCTTTCCATTCTGTATCTTGATGTTCTATGCCTGATTCTATTCTCTGGTCTCCTGGCCCATTCAAATCAAAGCAACACATATTGATCTCCATTTCCATTTAGGACTTCCCAATTATCCCCAGTTCCATTTCACGCATCCATTTGTAAAGCCTATATCTTCCTGGATCCACTTTCCTTTTGATCAACTTCACAATGAGGGCCACTGCCACAGCCACAGTCACTGTCGCTCCTGGCCCCACGCCCAGGCAGCCCGTCTGCTTTGGACTTCATCCCCAGATCCTCCTGCACATCTCAGCACCTGCAGGAACCTTCACATCTGTCCTTAACTCTGCTAAGAAAAGAAGACAGCCCTAGGGCAGCCAGACGCCAGTGAACAGAGGGACCTCTAGGCCCTGGGATCCTAAGCAGAAATGCCAACAGCTTCTTAATTACAATAAGAGTACATTTACTGATTTCCTCTTGGGTCCAAGATCCATTTAGAAGAATGCTTTTGATGTTGCTGTTGTTTTTCATTCCTAAGTAGCTGGGTTTTTTGCTTTCAACTTAAACTGTGGTATACATATCTTGATTTCATTGCTTTGTGGTCAATGGACATGGACAATACACTTTCTGCCTTTTGTATTTAATTTGACTTTTCTTAGTGGCTTCAGATAGAGTCCATCTTTGCACCTGGCCCGTGGGCACCATAAAGATTTATTCTTGCCGGGCGCGGTGGATCACGCCTGTAATCCCAGCACTTTGGGAGGCCAAGGGGGGCGGATCATGAGGTCAGGAGATCGAGACCATCCTGGCTAACACAGTGAAACCCCGTCTCTACTAAAAACACAAAAAAAATTAGCCAGGCGTGGTGGCGGGTGCTTGTAGTCCCAGCTACACAGGAGGCTGAGGCAGGAGAATGGCGTGAACCTGGGAGGTGGAGCTTGCAGTGAGCCGAGATCGCGCCACTGCACTCCAGGCTGGGCAACAGAGCGAGACTCTGTCTCAAAAAAAAAAAAAAAAAAAAAAAAAAAAGATTTATTCTTTATTTGCAAAGTACAAAATTGAATGTGTGTCTCTTAACTCCACCTTATAGCTCCAATGGTAACAGCCACCATCCACTGAGGGCTTGCTGTATACACGGATCTATGCTGAGCCCTTTCCATGAATTCTCTCATTCAGTCCCCGGGACCCTGCAAGATATGTCTTTTGTGATCCTCTTTTTACTGACAAGGAAACTAAGGCTCAGAGATGTTCAATAACTTGCCTACAGTCACACAACCAGAGGCATGGGGCTTGGATTTCAATTTAACTCTGATTCCTAAGCTTGGGCTCGTTTATAATTAAAGTCCTCCATTTCAGGGGCTCTTCCCTTGAGATCCATGGAGCTCATAGCAGTGTAATAAACATCCCAGTTGTGCGCAAAAGACCGACAGACCTGCAGATGTACGCTGGGCAGAGGAGGGCCCATTGAGCTCATTCACTGCTCTAAAATGGCCAAGAACATTGCTCCATGCTTGGATTTATTTCTTGTCTATTTAGCAAAGAATGGGATGGAGGTTTAGCAAGCTGCCCCCCTCTTAGGTTTATTTCCATGTCTTTCTTCTGCTTTGCCTATTTTGTTGCACTGTTTTTCAGCACAGAAAGGCCTGTGACTGACTCACAGCATCAGTATAAATGATACTATCCTCCTTCTCAGCATAAAATGACTCTCCTAAACTAAATAACTATGTTTTGGAATCCAGGTTTAGCCCTTGCTGGCTGTGTTACCTTGGACCACGCATTTCCCTTCTCTGAACCTTGGTTCTCTAGTAAGGTCTCCCATTCCTGACATTAAGGCCCTGGTTAGGCTTAGCAGAAACCATCTAAGCCCATGAGGCCAGAAACACATGTCTACACCTGAGTTCCTGTTTCCTCCTAGCAGAAATATTTTTCTCCCCACATTCAACCAGGGAGCTGACTCTGGGCTTCCCTGCCCCTGGGAGATTTGAAGCAAGACTTTTCCTTCTTAAACCTAAGCCCCCTGAGGAGAGCAGGATTTAAAGAAGAAAGTAAAAGAAAAAAGCAGTCCTGGCCAGGCGCGGTGGCTCACGCCTGTAATCTCAGCACTTTGGGAGGCCAAGGAGGGCAGATCACCTGAGGTCAGGAGTTCACGACCAGCCTGGCCAACACGGTGAAGCCCTGTCCTTACTAAAAATACAAAAATTAGCCAGGCATGGTGGCAGGAGCCTGTAATCCCAGCTACTTGGGAGGCTGAGGCAGGAGAATCGCTTGAACCCAGGAGGCAGAGGTTGCGGTGAGCTGAGATGGTGCCACTTCACTCCAGCCTGGGCAACAAGAGGGAGAATCTGTCTCAAAAAAAAAAAAAGAGAGAAAGAAAGAGAAAGAGAAAGAAGCAGTCCTGACACCAAAAGCTGGTAGCTGGCCTCCTGCTTCCAGCCAGGCTGTGCCACGGCATCCTGAACACACACAGTTTCACAGAATAGCAATGTCAGATGAGGACACTGTGAAGGTGAGGACACAGAACAAAAAAAGACCACTCCTTAATTGTGCCCTGCAGAGACAAAAACCAAGACCCTGGGCAATGCCCTAAACAGCACGTATTCCCCTCCCGCCCAAGCTGAGCAATTGGGCTCTTTTCCCCCTGCCTCCTAGATAAAAAGTATTACTAGACTCTGAATTATCCCTGCTTCCTGACAGCAGCCCATCCAGGGCAAAACCCCACCTCTTTGACTCCTCTCCCAAATCCCCCAACGCAGCCCAAGATCTAAGAAGTCCCTCCTAACGGTTCAGGGTTTCTGCGTGTATGAGAGATGGAAGCAAGGCTGGAGTATACATTTGGCACACAGAAGGTGCTCAATCAAAATGGTTGTCATTTACATGAGGGAGCGGGACAGGAAGAGAAATCAGACAGAAAGCTCAAACAAGTTTATGTCAGGGAAGATAAAATAGTACTTATCAATAATTCAAAACCTCAGACCTACTGTTATCTAGCAGTAGCTTGAATGAACAGGGAATTAACTACTAGTGCTTCCAAAATAACAAAACAGTAAGAATAAGAATGCTGGGCCAAGCGTGGTGGCTCACAGCTGTAATTCCAGCATTTTGGGAGGTCGAGGTGGGCGAATCACTTGAGGCCAGGAGTTCGAGACCAGCCTGGCCAACAAGGTGAAACCTTGTCTCTACTAAAAATTAAAAAAAAAAAAAAATAGCCAGGCATGGTGGCACATGCCTGTGGTCCCAGGTACTCAGGAGGCTGAGGCAGGAGAATCATTTGAACCCAGGAGGTGGAGGTTACAGTGAGCCAATTTTGCACCATTGCACCATTGCCTGAGCAACAGAGCAAGACTCTGGAAAAAAAAAAAAAGAGAGAATTGCAACATCTCTTTCTCCTCTTGACCTTTATTTGAGCACTTACTGTTTGCTCTACACTTTCTGTGCCTCATCTTGAATCCTCCCAAGAACCCAGCAGGTGAAGTAATCATTTGAGGGTTTCAATAGGTACAAAATGAAAAGAACCTTGTTCTAGAATTTCCAGAAAAATGGAATAAATATGTTTTTCCCTCTTCTTCCCACTAAATACAAAAAAAAATCCTAGATATTTGATATAAAACAAATGTAAGAAGACTCTGGAAGGTGGAGAGAAGAAGGCAGACCAGCTGGAATGTTAGGACCCAACTAACAGCAGGGTGGTGGGCTCTCTGGGTTGTTCCCAAACTGAATACTAGACAAGCTAGAAACCCAGAAACGTCAATGGGTCGACTGAAGAAGCTCCAAGAAGAGCCTGCACTCTCTAACTAGAAGACCGGACAAGGGGCAGCTTGGCAAGACAGGAAATGTTTAGATAATAACCACTCTGCTCTAGCCCAGCTCCACAGAAAACACTGCCCATGCCCACGAAGGCCAAGGGGAGGGCCTGGCCTTCCACCCTGGCCAAGCTGTAGCAAGCCTCCCCTACTGCACCACCAGGGCAGTGTCGGAGAGACCCAGAAGGAAGCTGGTGGTCCTGAGGCCTCCTCCATTGTGTCAGTGGAGACTATGGGGGAGTCTGGACTCCATCCAGCCCACCCGTGGTAACAAGGTGCTCCTCGACCTCCCTACCGGGGTGGTGTCAGAGGAGACCTGAGGAGAGTCAGGACATTTACCACTACTCAGCAATGACGAGACCACCCCATATACACAGTGGCAGTGGAGGCCACATGGGAAAATGGAATTCCCACCCTGCCCAGCAGTAACAAGAAGCCCCCTGCTTCAGGCATAAACATAAGCCAAGTGGAAAACCTGGACTTCCACCCTCACTTGGCAGTAACGAGGAAGAGGCCCCTACATCCTCTACAACAACGTCAGAAAACGCCTGCTAAAACCTACAATTTAAATAAGATCCAGAGTCTTATGATACCCAAAATGTCCAAGTTTCAATCAAAAATCACTTATCAGGCCGGGCGCAGTGGCTCACACCTGTAATACCCAGCACTTTAGAAGTCAAGGCAGGTGAATCATTTGAGGTCAGGAGTTCGAGACCAGCCTGGCCAACATAGTGAAACCCCATCTCTACTAAAAAAAAAAAATT
Source organism: Homo sapiens (assembly GCF_000001405.40). Lineage (NCBI taxonomy): Eukaryota > Metazoa > Chordata > Mammalia > Primates > Hominidae > Homo > Homo sapiens. The sequence goes on along the minus strand of NC_000005.10, from coordinate 172,469,323 downwards.
AGTCAGGCATGGTGGTGCGTGACTGTAGTCCCTCCCAGCTACTTGGGATGCCGAGGCAGGGGAATCTCTTGAACCCGGGAGGTGGAGGTTGCAACAAGCCAAGGTTGCATCACTGCACTCCAGCCTGGGAGACAAAGTGAGCCTCTGTCAAAAAAAAAAAAAAAATCAAAATCACTTATCATACCAAGAACCAGGAAGATCTTAAATAAAATGAGAAAAGACAATCAACAGAGATACCAACATCAAGATGACACAGATGTTCGAATCATCTGACACGGATTTTAAAGCAGAAATCCTAAAAGTGCTTCAACAAACAATTAAGAACACATTTAAAATCAAGGATAAATTAGAAAGTCTCAGCAAAAAAGTTGAAGATATAAAAAAACAAGTAGAAATTTGGGAACTAAAAAAATACAATAACCAAAATTAAGAACTCAATGGATATCTCAACACCAGAATGGATATGACAAAGGAAAGGATTAGTAAACTTGATGATGGAACAAAAGAAATGACCCAACCTGAACAACAGAGAAGAAATAAATTGGGAAAAAAATGAACAGAGCCTCAGGTACATGTACAACTGTAACAGAAGAGCTAACACTCATGCCATTGGAGTTCTGGAGGGAAAAGAGAAAGAAACGGAAAGGAAAGGATAAAGAAGGTTGTGCTGAAAAAGGATTTGAAAATGTTTCAACTTTGGGAAAAAAAAAAAAAAGTCTACAGATTTAAGAAGTTGAGAAAACCCCAAATAGGATCAATCCAAAGAAATCCACGAGAAGACACACATGGTCAACCTTCTGAAAGCTAAGACAGTCTTGAAAGCAGCCAAAGAGAAGCAACACATTGCCAGTTGGGGGGGTGGGAGGGAATTCAAATGACAACTTCTTTATCATCAGATACCATGGAGACCAGAAAGAAGTGGCAAAACATTTTTCAGATGCGAAAACTGCCAACCTAGAATTGTAGGTCCAGCAAATAAAAAAAATCCTTCAGGAATAAAGGAGAAATCAAGACATTCTTAGATGAAGGAATACCAGGAGAATTTGTCACCAGCAGACCTACCCTAAAAGAATGGCTAAAAGAAATTTTCTAAACATAGGAAGTGACAAAAGATAGAATCTTGGAACATCAGGAATTTAAAAAAAATAGCATGGAAACAGCGAATATATAGATAAATAAGATAGACTTTCCTTCTTCTTTTGACTTTTCTGAATTATGTTTGACTGTGAAACAAACATTATAACACTGTCTAATATGATTCTCAGTGTATGAAGAGGAAGTATTTAGGCTATTATAAGTAGGGGAGGAGAGAGGACATAAAGGGAGATAACGTTTCTATACTTCATTTGAACTTATAAAATGTTAACACCAGTAGACTTTGATAAGCTTTGAATATATAATGCCTAGAACAACCACTAAAATAAGCTATACGAAGTTATACACTCAAAAACATTATAGATATTCTTTTCAACACATGGGTCTCAGACAACTGGATAACCACGTGTAAAAGAATGAAACTGGACTCTTACCTCATACCACATACAAAAAATTAATTCAAGATGAATCAAATGCCTAAATATAAGGAGTAAAACTATAAAACTCTTAGAAGAAAACACAGAAATAAGTTTTTATGACCTTGAGTTTGGCAATGGATCCTTAGATAAAACACCAAAAGCAGCAACAAAAGAAAAAGTAGATAAATTGGGCTTCATCAAAATTGAAGACTTTTATGCTTTATAGGACACTATCAAGAAAGTGAAAAAACCAACCTACACAATGTGAGAAAATATTTGCAAATCATAATGTGCTAAGAGACTTGTAACTAGAATAAAAAAGAACTCTTACACTCCATACCAAGAAGACAAACAACCTAATTCAAAAATGGACAAAGGACTCGAATAAACCCTTCTCCAAAGAAGATATATAAATGGCCAGCAAGCACATGAAAAGATGCTCAACATAATTAGTCCTTAGGGAAATGCAAGTTAAAACCACACTGCGATATCACTTCATACCCATTAGGATGGCCATATCAAAACAAAACAGTAAGTGTTTGCAAGGAAATGGAGAAACTGGAACCCTCATACATTGCTGGTGGACCTGTTACACGACACATCCACTGTGGAAAACTATTTGACGGTTCCTCAATACGTTAATTAATGAATGACCACGTGACTCGACAATTCCACTCGTAAAGAATTGAAAATAGGTATTCAAACTAAGACTTAGACACAAATATTCATAGTGGCACTATTCACAATTGCCAAAAGGTGAAAACAACCCAAATGGCCATCAACTTCTGAGTGACTAAACATTCACAACGTTATAGCCACACAGTGGAATATCACCACACACCTATGAGAACAGCTAAATTAAAAATAGTGGCAATATCGAACACTGGTGAGGATGGAGAGAAATTTGATTTCTCATTACATTGCTAGTGGGAATGGAAAATGGTGTAGCCATTCTGGAAAACAGTTGGCAGTTTCTTAAATAGGTACAAAACTTACCAGACTCTAAAGATATTTCAGTATTCTTGAACTGAAAGATTCTAATGGAAAATGAGACTGAAGAAGTAGTTAGAAATCTGGGGATACTGAGCAGAAATTTTGCAATAGACCTTCCCTCTTGCAGGGAAATGAGTGGAAGTAGAAGACAGCAAGCTATGGAAATTTGCTCCAAGGAAAAAGAGAGTGACATCTGGCTGCACCCACCTCACTTTTTGCTCGGACCTGAGCTGGCTGCCTGTACCTGAATATTAAAGGAGCAGAGACTCATTAGGGGACAAGCAGGATTTGACTCCACCACTGTCTTCAAAGCCACTGTCAGGTCTCTGGAAAATCTGTAGCTCTTTCTCCCTGAAGCTTGGTAAGGCCTTCCAGACTTTGTCCCCTACTAAGGCCCTGTCCTACCCACTCCCCGGCATCTGTCTCTATGCTTCCCCTTATACCCTGCTCTGAAGGTCCACTTCTTGGCCTCTTTCCAACAGGCATGGCCGGGCACAGAGCCCTTGGAGGGCACTTGTCTTCCGGCCATGTGCTTCCAGGTGGCTCCAGCCCAGCCACGTTCCCAGCCCGCACTTGACCCAAAGGAACTGCTGGCACTTTTGCCTGGCCAGATTCTGGAAGTGAGGCCACTGTCTTCTGAGTCCTCTCACTTGGCTGTGCCCTCATGGGTGGCTCCAGCCCACCATGGCCCTCCGTTTTCCAGAGCACAGACAGAATCCAGTGGCTTTGGCTCCACCCCCGCCCCCAATTCCCCCCTCCCCCGCAATGAGCATCCACGCTACTGGAGCCCTCCAGGGTCTGTAACTCAACGAACGTGGGGTGGATTGGAGGGCAATGACGAAAGTGTCAGTTTCCCTGCTGGCTGACTCCCTACTTTCTACGAGCAGTTGTCTTGAAGGCCACCCCTTTTTTGATCTGCAAGAGGGAGGGAGAGAACCAAGAGAAGAGAAAGAGAAATGTATCACCCCAAAAACTCTCTTCAAAGAAATCCTCACCCCAGTGATCTTAAGCTTTCTCTGGTGTGACCTGGGGTGACGGTGAACTAAGAGTCACAAACCTCTTTTACCCCAGGGATTTAATTCTGCTTTAAGGCCTAGGCATACACAGTGTGGGCCTATTTATCTGACCATCACTGCTCTCTTAAAAATCCTCTAAAGTTGGCCAGGCGCGGTTCCTCACGCCTGCAATCCTAGCACTTCGGGAGGCCAAGGCGGGTGGATTGCCTGAGCTCAGGAGTTTGAGACCAGCCTGGGCAACATGGCGAAACCCCGTCTCTACTGAAAATACAAAAAGTTAGCCAGGCGTAGTGGTGCGTGCCTGTAATCCCAGATACTCAAGAGGCTGAGACAGGAGAACTGCTTGAACCTGGGAGGTGGAGATTGCAGTGAGCCAAGATCATGCCACTGCACTCCAGCCTGGGTGACAAAGCGAGACTCTGTCTCAAAAAAAAAAAAAAAAAAAAAAAATCCTCTAAAGACTTCTCAGGGACCTTAGGATAAAATCCAAAACACTGAATAAAGCCCACCTCCACTACATCCCTGCCTTATCTTACACCACACTCCTCCTCTGAGGCCTTCTCACCATTCCTTGAATGGCCACCTCAGGACCTTTGCACATGCTGTTCCCTTGATCTGCCACCCAATCCCATGATTAAGTCAGTCACACTTACCCATCAGTTCTCCACTTAAATATGACCTTTTCAGGGCAGCCAACAGGCCGGACTGGCCTCCTATGCCTTCACAGCACCCATCACAGGTTGTGAACATAAGTTTATAAACAGCCAGGGACACAAGTGCGTGAACTCTGCAGACTGCTTTGGTTCAAATCCTGGTTCTGCCACTTACCAGCTTTCGTGAGTATTGAATCTCTCTGTACTTCATTTCCTTGTCTGCAAAATGGGGGAAAAAATAGTACCTACCTGATAGTCCTGTCGTGAGGATTGAGTGGTTATATGTAGAGTGCTTAGAAGTATCTGGCCCAGGCACAGGGTAAGTGCAACACAGTATCTGTTTAAATAAGCAAATAAGCCTGGGTGCAGTGGCTCATGTCTGTAATCCCAACACTTTGGGAGGACAAGGCAGGAGGATCACTTGAGGCCAAGAGTTTGAGACCAGCCTGGGTGACAGAGTGAGAACCTGTTTCTAAAAACTAAAATAAATAAGCAAATAAATAAAAATGCATATATGACACTAATGGTAGATTATATAGTAAAATAAGTAAAAAGGCTGAAAGATATTTTTTAATGTCCCCAAATCATCAAAAAACTCACATTTGTGTCCCCAGGCAAGGAACCCTAATTGGTGACCAAAGAACTCAGGACCAGTTTTCACTGGAGGCATTTGTCAATCTGACCACTTGAGAGGCTGAATTGCCCTCTTGTCAGCCTCAAAGTGCTAGGTGGGCACAATTTAGAACTAGGGACTGTCAAGGGCTGAGATCTTAGTAAACCACCTCCACCTTTTGGGCTGGGACTCTGGCAGGCTGCCTTCTAGAAATAAGGGCAAATCAGAAAGAAGCCAGCCATGGAATAGACTGTGGTTTGGTTTTATAGCATCAAGCCTGGAACTTAGGCCATAGGGTCCCAAAACCCTTTCTGAGGGAAGATAATGTCATTAGGCCTCAAACTATTTCAATAAATGCTTTTTCAATAAAGTATCCAGGAAAAAAAAAAAGATAGAAGACAAAATGAATTAGAAACAGCAGAAACAATAGACATTAGAAACAGGCCTATAGAATTCCAGAAGTTGGAATTCTCAGAAAAACTATGAAACAGTGTATTTTATCAACTTCAGTGTATTTTTATCAACTTCAGCATGCCAGGGAAAGAACCACCTTTAAAGATTACAGCCAAATCCTCAAAAAGCTCACACTTGGCCAGGAATAGTGGTTCTCTCCTACGGCAAGAATGGGAAGGTCATAACTCATAACTCACAGGGCATCAGTCAGATTACTCAGAAGGATCTTGCCTCAGTAGTGGGGAAAAGTTGGCCCTAGATTAAATGCAGCTCTCATCTTGCCTAACAAAATATAAAGAGAAGATCCGAAAGAATCAAGCCATTTCCAAATAGCTTTACTGCATTCCAGAACAAAGCTCGAGAATATTTATATGACTATAAAAATATCCAGCATCCAACAAGGTAAAATTCGTCATATCTAGAATCCAGCCCCATCTCAGCATCTCCACTGCTAATGCCTGGTGTGGGCCACCATCATCTCTCAGCTGGACCATTGCAGTAACCTCCTAGCAGGCTGCCCCGTTCTACGCTTGCCTCTAGCAATCAGGATAGGATAGGCTAGGCTGCAGTAAAAAATAATATCAAAAGCCCAGTCACTGAGCCAACAAAGGTTTTGCTCACACATTCGGCACATGTCTGCAGGGGGCTTCTGTTCCTCATTGTCCCTCCCAGACCCAGACTGATGCCATCTGGAGCACTGCCAGGCACAGAATAGAGGCAAAGTTGCCCATTGGGTCCTCCTGCCTGGAGGGGAAGCACTTTGTTTCTCTTCACATTTCAGTGGCCAAGCAAGTCACAGGACCCACTCAGAGTGGTAGGGGGTGGAAGACTGCGATCCAGGCCCATGCCCAGGAGAGCTGGCATCTATCCTAGACGGAGCGAGCTCTCCAAAACAGAAGTTAGGTCGTCCTGCTCCTCACGCTCCAATTCCCTCAGAGTCAAAGCCAGCGTTCCCACGATCCCTGCAAAGTTCCACGTGCCCTGGTGCCTCTCTGTCCCCGTATGTCCTGCTTCTCTTTCCTCTTGTCACTCCACTCCAGCCACACTGACCTCCTTTTTCTTCCTCAGACCTGCCAGCCACATTCCCACCTTTGGGCCTCTGCACTGACTGTTCCTGCCTTCTGGAAGGCTCTTCCCCCAGGCGCCTGCTCGGCTCACTCCCTCACCTCCTTCTAGTCTTTACTCAAATGTCACCTTCTACCCTATTTTAAGCTGCCTCCTATTCTCCCCACCCCAGCCTCCCCGTCCCCCTTATCCCTGCGTCGTGTTTGTTGCGTTCACAGCGGTATCGTGTTCATCACCTTTTAACAGGCTGTTCAATTTCCTTATGGGTTATATTTATCGCTTATTGCCTGACTTCCCTGTTAGAATGTGAGTGCCACAAGAAAATGAATCTTCACCTGTTTAGTTCACTGATGTATCCCAAGCACCTCACACAGCACAGTGCCTGGCACGCGTCAGGCACTCTGTAAAGACTTGCTGACCTGGCGAACATAATTACTGCACTTTTGGATCATGTTCCGAAGCACTTTCTCTGAGTAGGAAAGGCTGAACCATAACCCTTATAGTCAACGGAACAAACTCATGGGGTAACAAAGCAGTTAGATTCCCCAGGAAATGCGGGGCATGGGAAGCACTGGGGAGCAATTATTAAACATTAATTGTTGCTCCTTGCGGGAGGCGGTGCCATGGCGGCCATGGCAGGCTGCCACCTTGTGGCTGAATAAGGAAATGCACCCAAGCCGCTCAAAGGTTGGTAACCTGTATCTTTTTTTTTTTTTTTTTTTTTTTTTGAGACGGAGTCTAGCTGTGTCGCCCAGGCTGGAGTGCAGTGGCGCGATCTCGGCTCACTGCGAGCTCTGCCTTCTGGGTTCACGCCATTCTCCTGCCTCAGCCTCCTGAATAGCTGGGACTACAGGCGCCCGGCACCACGCCCGGCTAACTTTTTGTGTTGGTTACCTCCATCTTTCAAGCACCCTTAGTCTTTCTGCAGGTATCTCCAGGCTTCTGTGAACAAGATGAGAGTCACCAGGCTTGGACACCGCAGAGACTACTGGAGTATATGCCCATTGACATGAAACATAAGCCAAAACTCTTTTGTGATCAATATGATCTTTCATACGTGCACACGTCCATTCATGATTTTCTCATTCATTCTTTCACCCATCCATCCATTCAACAAAGATTTGCTGAGCACACCAGAAACCAGATACTGTGGGATAGAAGGGTCCCTGCCCTTCTTGTGGAAAAGACACCCATCCACGTATTCAACAACTATTTACTAAGAGCCTGCTGGCACTGTGCCGGCATTGGGTGATAAAAACTAATGAGACAGACTGGACTGCCCTCAAGGGGAGTTCTAGTTGGGAGAGAAACAAGAAAAGGATGACAACAGCAATAAGTGCTGTGAAGGAAATACACAGGGAGGTCGGGGAGCTACTTTAGGGAAGGCCTCAGAAGAGCTGACATTTAAAGGAAAGCTTGAAAGATAGAGTGTTGGTGGGAACGCATTCCAGGAGGAGAGAACAGCATGTGCAAAGAGATGTGTGTTTTAAGAATAGAGAGAACGGCCGGGTGTGGTGGCTCATGCCTGTAATCCTAGCACTTTGGGAGACCAAGGCAGATGGATCACCTGAGGTCAGGAGCTCGAGGCCAGCCTGGCCAACATGGCGAAACCCCGTCTCTACTAAAAATACAAGAATTAGCCAAGCATGGTGGCGGATGCCTGTAGTCCCAACTCGGGAGGCTGAGGCAGGAGAATTGCTTGAGCCTGGAAGGCAGAGGTTGCAGTGAGCCAAGATCGTGCCACTGCACTCCAGCCTGGGCAACAGAGCGAGACTCCATCTCAAAGAAAAAAAAAAAAGAATGGAGAGAAGGTCAGAGTAGCTACAGGGGAGTGTGCCAGGGAGCAGGATGTTATGAGGTCAACAGGTCACGAGAGGCTAGTTCCTGCTGGGCCTTGGAAGCTGTGGTGAGGACTTTCTCTTTATTCTAAGTGCAACAGGAAGTCACTGGAGCATTTTAAGCAAAGGTGGGGTGGGGGTGGGGAATATGATCTGACTTGCCTTTTCGAAAGACCCATCTGGCTAGTGATAGAGAACAGCTTAGAGGACAGGGGCTGGTGTCTTCCTAGTTTTGTATTCATTCCCACCTACATCATGGAGGACAGTGGACACTAGTCCCTGTCCTCAAGGGAAATCTTGCCTCCATGGAAAGAACATAAGTCAAGCAGCCAGACAGATCTGAGTTCAAATCCCAGCTCCACAATTTTCCTGTGTTACAACCTTGGGCAACTTCTCTAAGCCTCGATTTTCTCACTGGAATGGGAAAAATACTATGCACACTGCAGACTTCTTGGGCATATTAGATACAGAAACTGATATAAACTATGTGGTGCTATAGACAGCGATTGGTTCGTGCTCAAGAAAAGCTATATTACAACACGCACATCCCTTTGAGAAGTGGGGAAAAGAGAGAGAGATGCAAAATTTTTTTTTCTTTTTTTGAGACAGAGTCTCGCTCTGTCGCCTAGGCTGGAGTGCAGTGGCACAATCTCAGCTCACTGCAACCTCTGCCTCCCAGGTTCAAGTGATTCTCCTGCCTCAGCCTCCAGAGTAGCTGGGACTACAGGTGCGTGCCACCACACCCAGCTAATGTTTTGTATTTTCAGTAGAGACAGGGTTTCATTGTGTTAGCCAGGATGGTCTCGATCTCCTGACCTCATGATCCACCCGCCTCCCAAAGTGCTGGGATTATAGGCGTCAGCCACCACGCCCGGCCAAGATGCACAATTTATAAACACAAAGTAGGTACACATGACGGGAGTACTGAAGGAACAAGGTCATGGAAACCTTGAATGCCAACCTAAAGCTCATGAACACGTGTGAGTGGTAGGAGCAAAGTGAGAGTTTCTGAGCAGGGGAGGATCCACAGAGCTTCCCTTTAGGAAGATACAATTGGCAGCCAGGAAAGAGAGAGAAGATGGAATGAAGGAGGCTGAGGTCTCTTTCTCCCTGTCCCTGAGCTATCACATCACTCAACCTCCTCCCCACCCACAAGGCTCTGCCCTGCAACCTGGGCACCTGGAATTTTGCCATAAGGCCTGCTTTCTTATAGCCTGTGGTCTGTTTCTCAGGACCACGTGTGCCGGGCCACTGAGCATTAGAAAGCGTGGCCACATTAGTTATGACCACCCCGCAATGCCAGCCAATCAGACAGCAGTCACGGAGGGAATCTCTTTCCAAGCCCAGCTTCTTCCCAGAGACTGTGGATGGAGAAAGGAAAAGAAGGAGCAGACCTCAGCTCCCTGGGTCTGGCTATCTGTCCTGGGGACTTGGGATTTGGGAGAAGTGCAGCCTGCCAGCCAGGCAGACGCCGAAATCATGAAAAGAGCAGAAGCTGATTCAGGTCGATGGACTCAATGCCCCTTGAACATGTGGTCCTGATCACAAATAAACCTGCCATGTGGAATTCTGCGGTCCGTTGGCTCCAGCATTGATTTTCTATGGTCTACAGCTCTCGAGCCTGCAAAATGCACTTCTAGAACAGAAATTTAGAGGAATGAAGTCAGCTAAGGTGGAATATTTACCTCCTTTTCCACCTTCTACACTCCACACCTCAATCAGGGGAAGTGTCAGTGCTCCCAGAACAGTGTGAAACAGGGAAATGGCGTGAAGAGGTCTGGGGAATGGGCAGGGGCAACAGCAAGCCTGGCCCTGGAGGTTCAATTAATGTCCCTGAGGACTTAGGTTAGAGTTCATGAGATAGAGATGAGTTCATTCAGCCCACAGCATCTCTTTGGGGCCTCTCTTTGCTAATTCTGTGCCAAAGGTGGGAAACTTGAGACAAATAAGGCCATTCCGGCTCCTTGGGAGCTTGGAGTCTGGCAAAGGAGTTGGATATTAAGAAAACAATCACAGCCCAGAATGACAGCTGGGACAAGGCACAGTGGCAGCTGGGTGGGGGGGAGACAATTACCCATCTGGGAGTCAGGGCTTCCTACAGGAAGTGATATTAGTGACATTCAGTATGGACTTTGAAGGCTGAATGAGAGTTCACCAGCAGACAAGGTGGGGAAATGAGCAGCTTATGCCAAGGCATGTCGGTGATGTTACCGGAAAAGGTCTCGATTAAAACCTCAAGAGAGGGTTCTTGGACCTCATGCAAGAAATAATTTGGGGCAAGTCCATAGAATAAAGTGAAAGCAAGTTGATTAAGATAGTAAAGGAATAAAGAATGGCTACCCCATAGGCAGAGCCCTGGCATGGGATGCTCGAGTCTAAGTATATTTATGGTTATTTCTTGATCACGTGCTAAACAAGGGGTGGATTATTCACGAGTTTTCTAAGAAAGGGGCAGGGATTTCTGGAACGAAGGGTCCCTCCTCTTTTTAGACTATATAGAGTCTAAAAGGAATCCTTGTCCAAACCTAAGGGAGAACTCGAATGGAAGAGAAATCCCACTTGGAATCCTATTTGAATTCCAAGTGGGATTTCTCTTCCATTCGAGTTCTCCCTTAGGTTTGGGCTCCCTGATGAACTCGAATTTGCAGAAGTGTTTTGTGTTTGTGACAAGGAACTAGTCCAGTTCCAGTGAATTGTAGTGACCATCTGGGTTGAGATTTTTATCAGCAGATAATCTGCAGTTCTCCCAAGCAGAGCCTAAATGGATCTTTCCAGTCTGAACAGCCAGCCTAAACTGCATCACCAGCCCACAATTCAGTTCTCCAAAAACTATGGTGGACACTCAGAAAAGCCCAAGTTGTCTAGGAGGTAAATGGGTGATATAGAAAGGTAAGAAGAAAAAAACCAATAACACAATTTTAAAATGCACAAAGGACTTGAATAGACACTTCTCCAAAGAAGATAAACAAATGGCCAACAAGCACATGAAAAGATGCTGAACATCACTCATCATTAGAGGAATGCAAATCGAAACCACAATGAGATTCCATTTCACATCCATTAGAATGGTTATTATCAAAAACAAATGAACGAATAAAGAAATAAAAACAGGCCAGACACAGTGGCTCATGCCTGTAATCCCAGCACTTTGGGAGGCCAATGCAGGAAGATCACTTGAGGCCAGAAGTCCAAAACCAGACTGGTCAACATAGTGAGATTCTGTCTCTACAAAAGGAAAATTTTAAAAATAGCCAGATGTGCTGGTGGGTGCCTATAGTCCCAGCTACCAGGGAGGCGGAGGCAGAGGATCCCTTGAGCCCAGGAGATCAAGGCTGCAGTAAGCCATGATCAAAATCACTGCACTCCAGCCTGGGTGACAGGATGAGACCCTGTCTCTTAAAAAACAAAACAAGGCCGGGGGCGGTGGCTCATGCCTGTAATCCCAGCACTTTGGGAGGTTGAGGGGGGTGGATCACCTGAGGTCAGGAGTTTGAGACCAGCCTGACCAATAGGGTGAAACCCCATCTCTACTAAAAATACAAAAATTAGCCAGGCATGGCGGGCGCCTATAGTCCCAGCTACTCGGGAGGCTGAGACAGGAGAACTGCTTGAACCCAGGAGGCAGGGGTTACAGTGAGCTGAGATTGCGTCACTGCACTCCAGCCTGGGAGACAGAGCAAGACTCTTTCTCAAACAAAACAAAACAAAACAAAACAAACAAACAAAACAGATAATAACAAGTGTTGGCAAGGATGTAGAGAAATTGGAACCTTTGTGCATTGCTGAGGGAATGCGAAATGCCACAGCCCCTGTGGAAGACAGTTTAGGGGCTCCTCAAAAAAAAATTAAACATAGAAGTATCACATGATCCAGCAATTCCATTTCTTGGTATATGCACAAAAGAATTGAAACCAGGGACTTGAACAGATATTTTTATACCAATGTTCACAGCAGCATTATTCAGAATAGCCAAAAGATGAAAACAACCCAAGTGACTGTTGACAGATGAATGGATAAAGAAAAAGTGCTATATACATATAATGGAATATTATTCAGCCATAAAAAGGAAATTCTGACACATGCTACAACATGGATGAGCTTTGAGGACATTATGCCGAGTGAAATAAGCCAGACACAAAAAGACAAACATTGTGTGTTTCCACTCATATGAAGTACCTAGCATAGTCAAACTCATAGAGATGGAAAGTAGAACAATGGTTGCCAAGGCCTGGAGGAGGTTGGGGGGCAGTGGGGGGGGACTCAGTGTTTAATAGGGACAGAGCTCCAGTTTAGGAAGATGAGAAAGTTCTGGAGAGGGATGGTGGTGACAGTTGCACAACAATGTGAGTGTACTTAATGCCACTCAACTGTATGCTTTAAACATGGTTGAAATGTTAAATTTTATGTTATGTATTTTTTACTACAATAAAAAAGTAAAACAAAGGAAAGATACGTAAAGATGCAGGGATAGCATCTTCTGCTACTGGTGGTTGTGGGGGGACCTTTGTCTTCCCCAGACAGAGGAGACGGACACAGCCAGCAGGACCCACCTCTGCCACCCATGGTGTGGCTGGGGGCAGGTCTCTCTGCCTCTCCGGAAAAACCCAGGAAGCTGGCTGATTCAGAGAGGGCCTCTAGCTTCTGCCTTCTTAGGAAGGCTTGGCTCCTAATAAGGCAATGCACGATGTGGCAGGGACGGAAAAGCAGACCTTCACTTCTTTGGACATTTCCAATGAGGCCTCAGGACCCTCTGGCTTGGGACTGTACTTCAGAAGAATGTGCCTTACAGGAATTACATGAGTGAGGGTCCTGGCACCGAACAGATGCCACCCTCAAGCTGGGTCCATGAAGACAGTTTAGTAAAGGGTCAATGTATACGGGTGTGGGCGGGGCTAAGGAAGCACCGAGGATGGCGTAGTACCCAGGGCTTGCAACAGCAAGACTGTCACTGTCCTGAGCAGAAAAGTGGCTTCAGGAACCCTGAGAGAGACCATGTGAGAAAGGGCACCTTTGGTAAAAACAATCGGGGAGGAGGGGCTTAGGGATTAAATACCCAGACCTCCCTCTCTCCTCTTGCCCTCAATCTCCTGCCAGGCCCTTCCACTGGCCAAGCCAAACAGGAAGACCAGGACAGAGAGCTGTCAGTGAAATCCACACAGGCCAGCCTCTGGGGCTGGAGCAGGATGGTAAAGTCTGGCAAGGAAGTCAGAGGAGCAAATGGAGGGGCGGATCCAAAGTGAATCAGCCCAAATCATCCACGTGGCCTGGCCGAGGCTGAGAGCCGTCCTACCCTGGATAAGCCCACCCTTTTCCAAAGGCTGATCCTGGACCGGGGTGGGAAGTAGCTCTGTCGTGGCATGGAGAAGAGTCGTACGGTTTGTTGAAAAGAGCCCCCACTTACTGGCTGTGAAAACACTGGCCAGGAGCCTAAACCTCCCATCCATGCATTATATATTCATTTATCCATTCATTCAGCCAACATCTCCTGAAAGTGACTCAGTGCCCAGCCAGTGCTAGGAGGCACTAGATGAAGAAACGAGGAGCTGCCCCAGCCACGGCAGCTTCAACGTGTGAGATCCACCTAGAGCCAGGCAGTGACGGGCTCCATCCACCGGCTCCCTGACTCTGGACCTTCACTGATGTAATTCCTGTAAGGCACATTCTTCTGAAGTACAGTTCCCAAGTCAGAGGGTCCTCAGGCCTCATTGGAAATGTCCAAATGTCTGGAGGCCGTCCTCTGTAAAAACACCTTTTCCTCCTAGAGTCTGCCTGAGGATGCAAAGACAGCATTTGTGAAAAGCAGGGGCCACGGGGCCCAGCGAGCAGTTAAGTGCTCCGCAACTGGAAATCGATGGCCTTGCTAACAAGCACCCAGCTGCCCCTCACACATAGTCACCACCCTTTTATCCCCTTTTGTTGCTTCCATGGCAATTACATTGCACGTATGCGCATTTGTTGCAGTTTTTCTCTCCCTCACTCCCCATGTCCCAGACTGAGGCTGGGGGAACCTGGTCACGGGTCTCTTGCTCCTCCTGAATCACCAGGGCTTGGGGTGGCTTTAGGAACGCCAGCACTCATACCATGGACTGCACTGCGGAATGGCTTCACATGCACTTAATCCCGGGCGCAGCACCGGCAGGCAGGCGGTACTACTGACACGTGCTACAACATGGATGAGCCTTGAGGACATTATGCCGAGTGAAATAAGCCAGACACAAAAAGACAAACATGGTGCTTGTACTACTAGGCTCATATTATAGACGAAGAGACCCAACCCAGAGAGGTTAAGCAACTTGCCGAGGGCACAGAGTGGAAAAGCGGCAAAGCCGGGATTCGAACCCGGGTGTCCGGCTCTCCAAACTGGCGGTGGATGGCGGCTGCCGGAGCGAGAGTGCTGGAATGAATCGATACGTCAATCAGTGAACGGGCGACGGGGTCAGTCCAGTCCCCTCCCCCGGCGCGGCGGCTCAGCACCGGGACAAAGGCCGGGCGGGGGCCGGACGTGGCCGGCGGGGTTCGCGCGCGGTGGGCGGGGGTCGGGGCCGGGCCCTTTAAGGGGGGCGGGCCGGCGGCGCGGGGGGCGGTGCGGGGGGCGGTGCGGGGGGCGGTGCGGGGGGCGGGCCGGGGGCGGGCGGCGGCGGCTGGGCCCGGCTGGAGTGCGCGCCGAGCGAAGGGCGGCGGCGGTGGCGGCGGCGGCTCGTGCTCGGCCCCGGCTGCGATTGCGCTCAGCTCCAGGTTCCCTGCCCGCGGCGGCGCGCCCCCAGCGCTCCCTGCACCCCGCGCCACCCGCACCCGCGCTCGGCCCGCTGCGGGCGGAGGAGCGGCCATGCCGCCGCGGCGCAGCATCGTGGAGGTGAAGGTGCTAGACGTGCAGAAGCGGCGGGTGCCCAACAAGCATTATGTGAGTGCGGCGCGGCCCCCACGCCCCCTTGAGCCCGCGCCCCGTCGGGGGCGACCGAGGGCCCCCGGCTTGGAAAACTTCTGCCTCCAGCGCTTCCCGTCCCCTCCTCCCCTGCTCTCCCCTCGGCTCTGCGGCGGCGCTGCCCGGGTCCCTCCCGACTCCTCCTCCCTCCCTCCCCTCCCCTCCCCGCTTTTGCCTCGTTCTCCCCCTCCATCCCTTCCTCCCGCCTCGCCCCCCTACTCGCCTCCCTGCGGCTCCTCTACCCCTTTCTGTCTTCTCCGTGTCCCCCCAACTCCCGTCCTGCTCATCTGTGGAAAAGTCTGGCTCCAGCCGGTGAGGGGTCTGAGACAGAAAGCGGGAGAGACAGAAGTGCCTGTTCTCAGGCCGCCCGCCTTGCCCCTCCTTGTCCAGAGGCGCGCAGACCCGCAGTCCCCAGCCACAGGTAGCCCCTCTAGGGTTCGCCGAATTTGACTCCGTTCTTTGGCAAGAGCCGGCCTGGGCGATGGAGGAGATCTCTGGGAATGGATCATTTGAGTGGCTACGCCTTTAAAGGGTTAAAAACATCCCCTGCCCCCTCTCTCCAGTAACTTCTGTTTTAAAATGTACGAAAGTTTTCTCCTGGCATCTCCCTCTGGAACATGGGAATCTTGTTTGGAGCTGGCAAGGACTTGAGAAAATGGGACAGTAGCGTCGTTTTGCAGATAGGAAGGCTGAGGCTCAGAGGTTGCAGGTCCTGGAACATAGAGCTGCATTCGGGCTTCCCTCCCTCCAGCAGGGGTGCCTGGGGCTGACGGTGACCTGCAGGTGGAAAGTGGCTTCCGCAGCAACCTAGGGGACACGTCTGCAGATTCAGGAGGCCCTGGGACCACCTCGCAGGTTCTAGGTGGAGATAAAGGGGATGTGGGGTGATGGGCCCACATGAGGCCTTGGGGAGGGCCTCATTACAGCAGGGAAGGGGGCTATAGTGTCTCTGGCGGTGAGAAGTGGGCAGTGGCGGAGCCTGGCTGCAGAGAAGTTAACCAGGAAGGGAAAAAGAGTAAGAGGGAGGGAAAAAATCCTAACAAAGAAGTATAGAACAATGAATAGAAAAGGGCGTTGGCTGGCTAAATTAAGCTCCTTGGCCTCCCTGGAAGTCGTCTTCAGATCTTTTTTTTTTAAGAACTAATTCTTACAAAGTAGATCTGCATGCCTTCCGTGAATAGCCTGTGAAATTCTGAAAGGAGATAGCCGGGAACCCACTCCGCGCTCTCCACAAGAAAGGGTGTGCTGTGTGAGTCTGTATTGTTATTGGCTGGGCAGCCAGTTATTCAGCCCTTAGCCAGGCGGTGGGAAGCTATTTCCTGGACCTGTGGCATCTTTATATAGAGTGAAGTTTCCCTTGATTCCAGAGCTGAGCTAAATTGTCTTTTTTTTTTCCTTCCTTTTTTTATTTTTTGTTAACTGTTTTCAAATGCTGCCAAATCTTAGTTTCTTGTTTGAGCCTGTTAGCGTGTAAGTGAGTTTGCCTCTTTGGCATGAAGACAGTTTTCACCAACATGGCAACTGGAGGAAGTCTGGAATTCTCCATGCCACCTCCCACCAGGTCTGTGAGCTGGCAAAAACGAGAATAGATACTGCCACCGAGGCCCGGCCATCATCGTCCACGCGCCCTCTTCTGGCCTCTCCTATCACGCCCATATCAGGCAGAGGGCCTTAAGCCCATTTGACAGATGAGGAAACCAGGGCTCAGCAAAGTGAGGTCCCACGCCTAAGGTCACAGTCAAGAGCCAAGCAGGGATGTAGATCCAGGCCCGCTGGACCCCAAAAGGACCACACCACTTCCCACATCCGGTACCCCTATAGTTTCTCTGAGCAAAGTCCTCTGAAAAACTGGGAAATCTCTCTTATCATTAGTGAAAACCTGGAAGCTTTTCATTCTCTGCTGTGTCAGCTCCATCCTTGCCAGTTTTTTGAAGGTTTTGCGCTTTGAGAACCGTCTTTTGAAGCTTTCAGCCACTTTTTGGGGGCCCCCTGAGACAAGTTTCTATGTTAAAACATAGATTGGGATTCAGATCTTGGCCTCCCAGGTTGTAGCTGTGTCACCTCAGCCTCAGTTTTTTCATCTGTGTAATGGGGATGGTGGTGTCCATTTCCTAGAGGTAGCAGCCGCATGACAGGCTGCCTTAGGGCATTCCTAAATGCCCTAAAGGCATAGCTCCCTGCCTGCCTGTCCTGAGGTATCTTGTCACTGATTGGGAACATGCCAAAGTCACATGGTAGGGGGATTCATCAAGAACTTGTTTTTCTGCATGTGGCTTTAGTCACTCATGTGATTCAAGAGGCCCTCTCCCTTCTAGCCCAGGCTTCTGGGTTCATCAGATGAGGAGGGGCAATGGGCTGAACTGAAGCCTGAGTCATCCACAGGAACAGAGAACATTTACTGCCTTGATGGCAGGGGGGCCAAACCCAATGGAAACAGATCCCTGTGGTGGGCGACCGCTGCTGTTCCCAAGCTCCACCCCAACCCCTCACACAATCTGGAAAGAGCGGGCATGAAGGCAGCTATTGGCAGGCCTGGACTTTGACTCCCATTTGGTATCCCTTTTTCTGAAGCCACCCTGGAGAGACAGCATCAGCTGGGGAGTTGAACTTTTCTGCTGTGTGACCTCGGACTGGTTGGTTTGCCTCTCTGAGCTCTAGCTTCTGTGTAAATACTGCTACATCCCTCAAGGGCAGAGTTTCTCAAACTCAACACTTTTGACATTTGGGGCTGGATCATTCTTTGTTTCAGGGCTGTCCTGTGGATTGCAGGATGTTTAGCAGCTTCCCTGGCTTCTACCCAGCTAGTTATCCCCCTTCCCAATTGTGACACCCAAAAGGCCTCCAGGCATTGATTGCTGCATGTCCTCTAGGGGGCAGCACCACACACATTCCCACCCCAGCCACTGCGCCATAGACTATAAAGTCAGTTTTTGAGAGTCCTCTTCACTACGCCCCCTAATTTCCCACTACCCCTCTCCCCATTTGCAGCCATCTCGGCCACTACCTGCTCATCACTCACTTGCCTGTGAGGGACAGGGTCACAGGTGCTGTAGATGTCATTGGAGAACTGCACCCGGAGTTCAGGGCTGCCCATCAGGGCTGGGCCACCTGCTCCCTCTGAAATGGTGCCTTCTCCATGATCAGAATGGCGTCCTCTCCAGCCCCAGCCTCAGTCACCCGCAGGCAGAGACATCATCCATGGGCCCAGGGGCAGAGCCACAGGCCAGGTCTGGAGAATGCAGGGCCAGAAGCTCCAGGTGCCTGTGAGATCCTGAGAGGCTGATGACAATGAACCATGATATTGTTTGGAGAGCCTTTCCCTGGAGCCACTGCCCTCTGTTGGAAGCAGGGAGATGAAGATTTGGGGAGCTCCTGCCTTTCTCTGCCAGCATCTTTCCTGCACTAGAGCCCGAGGGCTTGGGGATGAATGGAGAGGGGCTTTTGAGGGTGACATCCTGGGAGACCCTCCCCAGCTAGCTTGTCTTCAGCTTGGGGGGAGGAAGAAGAGCTCCAGGTAGGATTTGTGGGTTTTATTTGGATCACCCCATTTCCCGCACTGGAGAGGGATGTACAGAAGCATTAGTGTCTCGGCAGCAGGAGCCTGGAGATGCTGGCCTGCTCTGTCTCAAGATCTTTAAATGTTAAGAGGAGCAGGATGGTCGGAATATTTATGGCAGCAAGAATAACAGTGGTCAAAGTGTCCTCGGTAACCTGAGCGGGGCACTGGGTCCCTTTCAAATGGGTATATTTTCAATATAGTAATACAATATTCTGCACATATATAGATACATAGAATAAAATAGCTATCTATATCTATATACCTTCCAAGTCTTCACATCTCTATATTTTGCCAATTTGTTTCAAAACTTTTTTGTTTTTATTTTTAAGAAATAAAGCATCGCAGATGCAAACCCCCCGGACGCCCTCCCCGATGCTGCCCCTCCCCCATAAAACCACTATCCTGCATTTGATGTTGATCATTCCCATGCACTTATAAAAAATAGACTAATAGATAGGATTTTTTTTAACAGCTTTCTTGAGGTATAATTTACATACCATAAAATTCACCCATTGTAAGTGTGCAATTCACTTATTTTTAAAGTAAATTTGCAGAGCTATGCAACCGTCACCACAATGCAGTATTATAACATTTCCATCATCCCCAGAAAGATCCCCCACGCCCATTTGCCATCAATCCCCTTCCCACCACAGCCCATGGACCTTTTAATGTTTTTCCCTTTTTAACATTCCCTAAAATCTTGTATTGTCGTGAATGTTTTAAAACTATAAATAAGCACTTTTGAGATCTATGTCGATCCAGCTAGCTCCAGTTCGTTTTAACTGTCGCTTACTATGGCATTGATGAACATGCCCCTGTTTTTTCAAGCTCGTGCCGGGAACTGTTAGGATGTTTCCAGCAGTTGACTTTCTTACAGCTGCCTCCTTGCACAGGGTCCCACGGTCTTGGGGTTTGTGTGTTTTCAACTTTGCACTTACATCCTCAGGGTTCCCTTTGCTCTCTGTTCTTGCTAACACTCCGTATCATCAGACTTTTCAGTCTTTGCCAATCCAATAGGTGCAAAAGTGGTGCTTGTTCACACCAGTGAGGTTGAGCAGCTTTTCATACCTTTATCGGCTATCTGAGTTTCCTCTTCCGTGAATTACCAGTTTTTGTCCTTTGCCTGTTTTTCGATATATTGGGTTATTTGTCTTTTATTGATTGGCGGGATTTATTTATACATTTGGGATACTAATCCTTCAGGTAATTACATTAGTTTTTTGTTTTCCCCTGGAGGAGTCTGCAGATTCAGAGAGGTGGAGGCATGTGCCTGAGGTCACACAGCAAGGAGTGGCTGCGTGGGAATTGGGCTACATGCCCTTGTGTCTGGGAGAAACATAGGGGGATCCTGTGATTCCACCACGGAGCTGACTGACCTTGGATGGGTCACTTAGGCTTCTGGACCCCGGTTTCCCCTTATATGAGATACTGGGGCCATCCCAGGCCCTTCTCTGATCTCACCATTTATTCAGCCCCGACTGAAGAAGTGCAAGCCACCGCCAGCCCTTAGTCATTCTCACCCCAGGAAGCTCTGGGTAGATGGTGCCCCTGGAGTGATGGCTCTGCAGGCTCTGTACTGCCAGCCCTGAAACCTCCCTCTTTGATTTGCCAGGCTCCAGAAGCCTAGGGGTCACTGTGCTGAGCAGCTGAGTTTGGAAGAGTAGATTGCGCCCTTAGTAGGCATTACTGGCATTCTCAGTCCCTTAAGGGGCCTCCAGCAGGTGAGCCCAATGGTCTAGAACAAACCATGGATCTGCTGCCCAAATTAGCTTCATTATCTTCTCCAGCCCCCAGTTTCCTCCCTCTCCTCCTATCCCTGGCACCTGTTTTGTGGGAACACAGAGGGCAGGGCAGCAAAGTTGAGTGGAAAGAACTCGGGTGTTAGAGGTAAACATCTGGGTTCAAGTTCTTCATGGCCTTGGACAACTGGCCGAATGCCCCCCCTTAGTTTTTACATTTGTAAAATAGGTGCAGTGACTTCCTTCTGGGACGATTGTGCAGGCTTTTGGTGATGTATGCACGGAATCTGTGCTCCAGCCCTGCTGCTGGGAAGAATAAAACTGCTAGCACATGTCTTTCCAACCCACCGTTACCTTCATGATGAAAAGACCTGGCTTTGAATTCTCTTCAAGCGCTCCTGAGCGGGGTGACCTTGCACTATGTGAGGATCTGTAAAATGGGAATAGTCATAGTACCTAGCACACAATGCTCAGCCTCATGGGTATAAAAGGCACTCAATAAATCACTTGAACCTGGGAGGTGGAGGTTGCAGTGAGCCGAGATTGCGCCACTTCACTCCAGCCTGGGTGACAAAGGGAGACTCTGTCGGCAAAAATAAAATAAAGGTACTCAATAAATGGTAGTCATGAAAAGTACTATTGATGATAATAATAGTCGTGATCTAAATTTCTGCACCGCTTTCCGGCCTGCTGCCCAGAAGGCACACTATGCAGTTTTCGTGGTCTTTTCATTCAAGAGGCATTCTGGGGGATACCTGCCCCAGGCTGGGCCCATGCTGCTGCTGGGATAGGCCCCCGGGAGCAAGGCAGAGCCATTCCTACCTATTGCACAGGAGAGTTCTTGTCCTCTACTGTGTCTGTGTCACAAGAGTTAGGGCCCTCTTAAGGCCCCTTGGGTAGGTTTTTCTTTAACGACTATTGCTTTCTTTGGATTGGGAAAAAGTAGGTGCTTGTCACACAGGCAAGCTATGTATGCCAAGTGAGTGGCAAGCAAAGGGCATTTCTGTGTTGATCTGGGATGCTCTGCTAGGGACCTGGTCAACCATGCTCCCCCATCCCATCCCCCACCCCACCCCATAGGTGCAATGCACCAGCCCCTCAGCTCACCTGGCCGGTCATCCTCAATGGGAGAAGTCCCAGCCTGCTCTGGTGCACTCTGTGCTGCTGCAGGTGTCTCAGGGTCAAAGGAGGTGGAGCAGTCATATCTTCAAATTATTTAAATGTCACTTTAGTTCAGACTTTGAATCAATGCCATTCTGCGCCTCTAGTGGGCTGAGAAAGTACATCAGACAGCTTGGGTTCAAATCCCTGCTCTGCCACCTACCAACTGTGTGACCTCAGACAAGCCTCTGTGCCTCAGTTTCCTCATCTATAAAATGAGGATAAAAATAGTTCCAATTTCATAGGGCTAATGTGAGAGTTAAAGGGGCCTAGCATGTAATTGAGGTTTGATAATGGTAAACTATATTAGGAGTGTACAAACCTAGTATCATTTATGATCATAAAAGGTTGGTAACTACTTAAAAGTGCATCAGTAGAGATGCAAAGATAAAACGTGCTATATCCATGAGCTAGAATACCATCAAGATGGTAAAACTGTGTTCCATCTTCTATCACAAGCATATTAAATAGCTAA
Source organism: Homo sapiens (assembly GCF_000001405.40). Lineage (NCBI taxonomy): Eukaryota > Metazoa > Chordata > Mammalia > Primates > Hominidae > Homo > Homo sapiens. Next base: position 172,447,322 of record NC_000005.10, on the reverse strand, counting down.
AGCTGGTTTGCAAAATAGCATGCTCAGGCTGATTTTCACCTGATTACAAACGAAGGATGAAAATATGAGTCTGTGTAAGCTCAGAAATACAGCTGATAAAATGTCATTCCTTTTTTTTTTCTGCTTGTCTGTGCTTTTCTGTGCTTTTCTCTTTTCCGAATGTTCTGCAATGAACACATATTCTTGTTTTTAGTAAAAATAAAAAAACAGCAAATGCTCATTTTTAAAAAGAAGCTGCGTCAAGCTGGGGCAGCTCCAGCCAGATCCCCACATCCTGCTGCCCCATCCTGTCCCAAAGGATTCTCCTGTCCTCCTGAGGCAGGCACCAGCCTTCAGAGGCTCTTTCCCCACTCCTGCCACAGAGGGAGGTCTCTGGATGTGGCTTTCCAGTCCGTGAGCTAGAGAACTAGAAAGCGATGAGTTTAAAATACCACGAGGGAAGGTCTGGGCAGATGCTTTCCTAGTTAAAATGTTCCTTGCTCAGCAAGTCCAGGCCCTTCCCCATCGTGCTTGCAGCCAAATAGGGTTGGGAAGAATTGTAGGCTCAAGTTCTGCAGATCCAGCATGGTCTGTACCCTAAGGTCACAGGGCACCAGAAACGTCATCCAGGTTAGAGGTGTGCCCTACAGCCCACTTCCCTGGGCGTTTCATGCATCCTCTTGCCTCCCACCGGAGGTGCAGGCAAGTCGGCAAGCAGCCCAGTTATCACACTGCCAAACAAGGAAGGCTAGAGGGACTGTGCCGTTCCCGCCGTGACACTCACGTCCTGCTTGCAAATTGTGCATCCTTTTTTCCTCGGAGAAAGAGCTGTGGTAGCGGGAATGTCAGGGGAGCAGTCTTGCTTTGCATGACTCAGTTTTCCCCTTCCTCTTGGCGATGAAGCCAGCTGTGGGTCCCTGCAGCTGCAGGAAAGGGAGCCACTGCCCCCCGAGCAGCCTGTTAGTCTGGTGGGTTCAACCAGGGAGTTGTGAGCACCCACAAGTGGCCAAAAGAGAAGACAGGTTTATTGAGAAGGCCATGTGGCTTCTGCAGGCAGGGCCTGGGTTCTAATTTGGTTCTGTCATTCACTCACTGTTGGCCCTGAGCCTTCTCTGGGCAGTAGGGGGCTTTGTTGGGGAGATCCAATGAGCTTTTATGCAGAATGCCTGAGGAGGGGTGCTGCTGGCCTGGGTAATGCCCAGAAGCCGAGGCTCTGTGGTCCCTATCCTAGAGCCCTTGTCGGGGGGGTCAGCTGGCCCCTGGGTGGAGCTGGCATCCTTTGCCCACTGACGTGACACGGGAACCAGCTGACATGACAGACTCAGGAGGCTCAGTGCCTCCAGCAGTGGGCCGGGGGCAGGGCTCGTGTGGCTGCCTCCTCCGGACTCTGCCTCTGCAGAAGCCTGCGGACCTGAGCTCCGCCACAAGCCATCGGCCTCTGCCCCATTCTCCAAACTGCAGGACTTTCTCCTCCCTTATTTGCTGGCCCAGATGCACACCTGCAGGCGGGCATGACTCTCAGCCCAGGGTCTTCTTCAGGTGGTAAAGGGAGGAGGGGCTGTGGGCAGAGCTCACCTGCCTGCTTCTGCAGCCCTGTCTCAGGCTTTCCCAGGGCTGAGGGTGGCCAGAGTTAGCAAATGAAAATGCAGAATGCCCAGTTCAATTTCGGTTTCAAATAAACATGCAATATTTGGGACATATTTATGAGAAACAATTATTTGTTGTTTATCCGAAATTCAGATTTTACTGGTCATCCTATTCTTTATCTGGCAAAGCTGCCAGAGCTACCACTTTGGAAAAACAGCAACCACCACCAAGAAGCCTTCATTATAAGGGCTGGGCATGGGAGTTCACGCCTGTAATCCCAGCATCTTGGGAGGCTGAGGCGAGAAGATCGCTTGAGCCCAGGAGTTCAATACCAGCCTGGGGAACATAGTGAGACCTCATCTCTACTAAAAATCCACAAAATTAGCTGGGTGTGATGATTCTCGCCTGCAATCCCAGCTACTTGAGAGGCTGAGGCAGGAAGATCGCTTGAGCCCAGGAGATGGAGGCTGCAGTGAGCCATGTTTGCGCCACTGCACTCCAGCCTGGGCGACAGAGATGACATGTGGATAGACAAAGCAGGGATTGAGACCTCAAGAAGGTCAGTGTCCTGACAGGCAGACAGGTGCCCTGGGCTTCTGGGGGACCTGGTCCTGGGGAAGGCAGCACTGCAGAGGTGACCTGAGGCCAGTCACAAAGCATGGGAGGGATGCTGCCAAGTGGGCAAGGGTGAAGGAGTTACAGGTAGAGAGAACAGGAGGGCAAAGAAATGGAAACCCTGGCACATGGCGTGTTTGAAAAAGCAGAAGAGGTTTGAATAATGGAGATGAAGCTCTGTGGGTAGAGGGGCCAGAAGGACCTGGGGGCTCCTGGCTGACCTGAGAACCACAGGAGAGAAGGCATGGTCCCCCCCCAGGAAGGCCATAGCTCCAGTACAGCACACGAAGGCTGAGGCCAGGGCTCGGGGCCAGAGGCAGTCACTGGAGTAGCGGGAGGAGCTGGTGCTCAGAAGCACTTCCCCAACTTGAGGGGTGGGTAGAAGAGCCCTTCATGGGTGAATCCAGGGAGCAGAGCACAGACAGACCCAGGAGCCCCTGTCCAAATGAGCCATGTGCAGACAGTGGAGATGGAGGGAGAGAGGGAAGGTTATTAGAGGGGACTCTGCAAGCCAGTAGTAATCCTGAAATTCCAGGGCAATTAAATAACTCCAAATTTGTTTTGTTCTCAAGATTCAATAGTAATTTTTTATTCTTAACAGTATAGAAGAGCTATCATTTGTCTAAGCGCTTACTATGTGCTCAAGGCTTTTCATGCTTTATGTCTTTGAATCCACATAGCAGCTCTGTGAGATAAGGAGTATTAGTCAGGATTCTGGGATTGCATGTGACAGAAACAGACCTGGCTAACTTAAGCCAAACAGAATGTATTGGAAAGGTGGGGCTGTCAGAATCAGGGGGAAAGCTCAGCACCCAGTCTTGGAAAGAACGTGGGCAGCTGGAGCCATCCAGGGAGTGGGAACTCCAGTAGGTATTAGGACATCACCAGGCAGGCAGCTGATCCATCCATTTTCAGACCTTTTAGCCACTCAAGAGTCCAGATCCAGGAGAGACTCTGACTGGCCCAGCCGGATTACCTGACCCTATGGGCCAGGTGTGAGTGGGATATTAAGATCGACGGTCCCACTGAAATCACTGGTAGTGAGAGGGATAGTTGTGGAAGGAGATTCAGGGCGCTGTTGCTGGGAGAAGGGGGCATGGAGCTTGGACAGGCAAAAACAATACATGTCTGCTACATGGATGCTGTTATTAGCCCATTTCACAAATGTGGAAACTGAGGCTTAGAAAGGTGAAGCAGTTTGCCAGGATCACTTTTGGCTCCCCTGCCTATCACTGACTGGTAATAAGGGGATAGTCACTTTCCCAGCCCCGACCTCCGTCCTGAATGGAAAAGTTGCCTTCAAGCACATAAGCATGGTATTTTCTGTTTTGTTTAATTAAGCAGAATTGCATGGCCCCCCGCCCGCTGTGCTGGCAAAGAAAGCTAGAACCCACGCGTTGGCGTCACCATTTCCTCCTCCTCAGCCAAGGTGTGAATCAGCAGCCTGTGGCTTCAGGCCACTGTTGGCTTCCAGTCAGTTCCACAGATGTGGGTTTATTGTCTGCCCTGGGCCAGGTCTGGCCCAGAGCCAGAGAGAGGCTAAGATGACCAAGCACAGTCTTGTCCTCACAGAGGTCACCATCTGTTCAGAATGCATCTCCATAGGATAAGGGCTGCGACAGGGCCTGGAGTACCCGTTCCTGCTGGGACAGAGAGGTGCACTGTCAGCTGGGTTCAAAAGCAAAGGGGTGTTCAGGGGCTGGGAAAGCTGACTAGCAGTGGGGTTCTTTACATGGGTGGAATTCAGAGGGCCCTTGAACGTAGAAGGGGAAGAATTAAATCTTAATTTTCACTAACCTCCGACTGAAATTTAGCATTGCCTTCTGTGATGAATGAAGGCAGCAACTCGCGGTGATAGTAGTAATACATGTGACTTTGTCACAAATAGCGATTCCCTTATTTTCATCTTACTTGACAGTCGTTGCGTGGATGCCTGGAGAGCATCTATACTCCTTACTATTTCCAAGTTACGGTGTCATTAGACCCACCACGAGGTTCTGTTATTTGTGGTTTTAATAAAAACGTACATATAGTCATAATTTTGTTTTTTGAAACATTTTGATAACTATAATTCAGTATCATTAGTTTCATTTGGGATCTATGTGTTTTACTCATTTTAAATCATTCTGAGAAGGGGTCCGTGGGTTTCCTCAGATGCCAAAGAGATTCATGGCTCCAAAAAAAGATGAAAGACCCCTCTGGGTGGAAGAGGTGGAACTTGGGAGCCAGATGGCATGGGCTGGACCTGGCTCTGCCATGTGTGATCTTGAGTCAGTGACTGAACCTCTCCGTGCTTCAGTTTCCTCTTCTACAGAATGAGGCTAACAAGAGTATCCACTGTGGATTATTCATGTAGAGGGTTTAGAGCCCTTCCTGGCATGTAGAAGTGCTGAATAAATTACCTGTTATTATTATCTTTACCATCATCATCATCATCATTTATCTGACTAGTGATGTGCATTTTGAGTAAGCAACCTCAAATGATGTGACACGGGCCATCTGGAATGACCACATATTAAGAAACAGACTCTAATTAAGGATGTACTCCTTAAAATTTGTAGCTGTTTTCTCCCAAAGATTTATATATTTGGATATTCAGCAGTATGGTAATTTAAACAATGTTCAAAGTAGCCTAAATGTTTATCACTGGAGGCATGATTAAATAAATGATATATATAGCCTTACAATGAACTATAAAGGCATCTTTAAAAGTGGTTTGTCCAAAGGATGTTTGATGAAGTGGAGAAATGACCGCCATCTCATGCAAATGAAAAAAACCAAATCATATATATAGTGTGATCATAATTTTGAAAAATATTTCTATGCATAGGAAAAGGGTCTGAGAAGAAGCATGCCCAAAGCATCATCTCTGATGGTGGAAACATGGACAGTTTTTAAGACCTCTGACCGTGCAGTCAGCCTGTTTGATTCCTAGGTTGAACAAGTTACCCAACCTCCTTGGGCCTTACCTTTCTCCACTGCAGAACGGAAATGATAGGGTAGTGTGACCTCATAGGATTGCTAAGATAGAGCACATTAAGCACATTCTAGACTCTTAAATGTTGTTAGTGATTACGGTAAATTGTCTACATTTTATTTACTACCCAAGTTTTCTCTACAGGAGAGAGGACAGTGTAGGATGGCAAAGAAGTCCACATAGGGCTCACATAGGGACAGGGGCAGGGATTAGTCTCTGGCAGATTAGGAGCCCAACAAGGGAGGGGTCCAGGAGTGGCCAAGGGTACCCACAGAATCTGGCCTTCAGAAACCACATGTGATTTCATGGAGGAATCCCTTCTCCTCCCCTATGACACCCCTAAAAGGTGGCTGTCCCCAGGGTCTGAGAGCATACTCCCTTTACATTCCTATCTAGTTCTCTTCTCCTTGTCCTGACCCCAAGCTCAGCGGGAAGGGAGGATGAGGCTGGATTCGGTTGGGGCATTGTCAAGAAGGTATCCTAGACCAGCCTAGTTGGCCTGTTTCTCGGCAACCCTTCCGTTACCTCACCAGGGTACCCAGCTTTGACGTTGAGGCCCCAGTGGACCAATCCTATCATGACACGTACACATTGAGTTCATCATCGTCTAGGGTGTGAACCCCCCATTTTGTCTTCAGGGCCTGGCCTAGAATAAATGCCCAGCCCAAGTGTGTTTCTTGAACAAAGCCATTAACTGCTTGTACCCTCGCAGTCCCAAGGTCCCATGATTCTAAGGCAACGGCCACTGACGTCCTTGGTGCTGAGACACAATCACATGTGATAACGCCCTGCTGGCCCCAGGCCGAGCAGTCAGTGTGTCATCGTGTTTAAGCTGCAGGCTTTGGAGGCAGCCAGGCCCGAGTACAAACCCTGGCTTTGTCACTTTCCAGTTATATGATTTGGGCCACGTTACTTAACCTCTCAGAACCTCGGTATCTTCTTCGTCTCTAAATGAGGGGGAAGGAGGGTCATTGCTGTGCCTGATACTGAAGTGAAGAGTACTAACTCTTAGTCTAGTTTAGTGGACACAAATGAGATCCTCTAGCCCCTGGGATGCTGTTAGGTTGAACCATATGAAATTGTCAATATTTAACCTATAAAAATGGCAATTTCACTTGGTTCATCGTAATGTTTTAGGATTGATTTGGGCCTGTGGAGCTCACTCTTGCTTACGTGGAAGGGGGTTATAAGCCACCACTGTACCAGGGGTGTTACAGGCACAATCCCATTTATACTTCACAGCAGCCCCCAAGAGACAGGTTCTTAGCACCCCCCTTTTACAGATGGGAAAACTGAGCCTCCTAACTAGCTTCTCTAGGACCCCCACTTAAGTCTTGTAGTTGGGATTGAACCCAGGTCTGTCCAGTTCAGAGTCTGTCGCTTCCACCATTGCTGTCTTGAGACTTGGTTTCCTTTTGCGTGTGGCATGGCCTTGCCTCGCAGCTGGAAGAGCCCTGGACATTCTCTAGGACGCCTCGGCCCGGGACCTGGTGGCTCCCTACTGAGATTCCCCATGATGCAGCCAGTCAGAGCCCCAGTTTCCAGCCCTAAGTGGGAGCTCGGGTTTGAACTGTCTTGACTTCTGCAGTTTTCTGCTCTGACATTTTTGGCTTTGGTTGTGGGGCTGAAAGGTGAGAGGATGACATGTGTCAATTCTCCTTCTGCACTTTGGGGATGTTCTTCCTGAGCTCTCCTGCCCGCTCGTTAAATGCAAGTCCCGACACCTAGACTCCTGATCCAGGCACAGCATCCCCAGGTCTCACCCTTGCCCACAGCCCCATCGAGGCAGGGCCAAAATGGCTGCTGGAGGCAGGAGGTCAGACCTGGGGGATGCAGGGTGGAGTGGCAGAAACCCAGGCGGGTGATTGTGTAGGAGGACGTGCAGGATTGCTACTTTGCCATCTCGACCGCGTGCTCCTTGAAGACAGCTTTGATGCTACTGCCTTGCGCGTAGTGGGTGCTCTTGTTGGCGGCTCCATTCACTCTGGACAGCTCTGTCAACACGAGAGAGGCCCTCACTTGAAATCTTTCACCCAGGTCTGTTTCCTTCATTGCCCAGGCTCCTCTGAGGCCTGGCAGCCTTGGAGATCTCAACAAGCCCTAAGTGCTTGCCCTGGAGACTTTCCTAGAAAGCCAGCCTTCAGGTTGGTTCCGGCTGAGCCTGGGCTCCAGCTGCCAGCACCTCTGCTTGCCATTGGAAAGTTCCCCACGCCGCCTCGGGCCAGATGTGTGTGAGTAGCAGTGCGTGAGCTGGCAGCCAGAGGCCTGGGCTGGAGCTGCACGCCTGGAGCAGCGAGTGTTTCCACCAGCCCAGTGTCTCAGTCGTCGGCAAGAGTGGAGATGCCTGGCCTGGCCAACCCTGGAAATAGTTCCTGCTGCCCATGCCGCTGGATAAGATTCCATGAGTTAGGGGAGCCCAGAGGGTGGGCAGCTGTGTGTGTGTGTGTGTGTGTGTGTGTGTGTGTGTGTGTGCGCGCGCGTGCGCGCACGCACGCACACACATACCTGGTTTTTACAGCTTGACATTCCCGACTTTTCCTCTTAACATATCTCACTTTGCAAGATTTGAGTTGGCCCAAGGAAGATGGCTACTCGGTTGGGGCCTCCAGTGTCTAATCTCCATAATGGGTTATTAGTGATGGCCCTGGAAGCTGTCTGTGACCAGATGGTGTGCCAAGCACCTGACATGCATTAGCGCCTTTAGCCCTCAGCCAACCCTATAAAGTAGGTACTGTTCTCTCCATTTTCCAGGTGTGAAGAAATGGAAACTCAGAGCTGTGAGGTGATTTGCAAAGTCACAGCAGCATCAGGCTATAGAGGCAGGATTCATAGTCAGGTATTCTAAAGCCGATGCCTGTGGTTTTTTTTTGGGGTTTTTTTTTTGTTTTGTTTTTGTTTTTGTTTTTTTTTTTTCTTTTTTTTTTTTCTGTTTTTTCTGTTTCTGTGGCCCAGGCTGGAGTGCAGTGGCGTGATCTTGCCTCACTGCAGCCTCCACCTCCAGGGTTCAAGTGATTCTCCCACCTTAGCCTCCTGAGTAGCTGGGACTACAGGTGCGCACCACCACAGGCCGGCTAATTTTTGTATTTTTAGTAGAGACGGGGTTTCACCACATTGGTCAGGCTGGTCTCGAACTCCCGACCTCAGGTGATCTGCCCGCCTTGGCCTCCCAAAGTGCTGGGATTACAGGCATGAACCACCACACCCTGCCATCTTTTTTTTTTTTTTAATGACATTAAAGCATGATTGTTATTTTTAATTTTTTACTTTACGTGGATGCTGTAAAATTCCCTTTTGTGGTGTAACGCAGTAAAATTTTGTTTTTTGGTGTAGCATGTTATGATGTGCAGGTTCCTGTAACCTCCACTACAGAACAGTTCCAACACCTCAAAGAATTCCCTCAGCTTTACTGTCTCTGACATACAGTGGGATGAGGCATTCCCCCTGGAGTTTAAATCACTCCTGGGTATTCTGTTTTTTGCCATTACCTCTTCAGAGAAACTCTGGGGTGGAACGTGGACTTCCCTTTTTGGGTTGGGTCCCATGCCTGCATTCCCTCTGTGACAAAGCCAGCTCTGTTTCTGGTACCCTTGGCAATAGAGCTGTTCATTCAGCTATTTCACGAGCATTGTTACTCTCTGGACACAGAGAGCCTTGAGTGAGGTCACCTTGGTTTTTGACTGTGTGGCCCTGTTTCGGCTTTTTGTCTCTTTTACCGGGCATTTCCTGAGAGCTCATTGTCGCCAGGCACTGGGGGGACCATGGTGAATAGACAAACCCGGCCCTGCCCCAAGGGCCCCCAGGGCAGTGGGGGTGCAGTAATGCAAAGAGACCAGCACCCCTAGAGGAACAGGTTCTGAGAGAGGGTGGCCCTAGCCCTGTGGGAACTCAGAGAGTGGGAGCTAGACTGAGACTTGGGGTGTCCAGGAAGGCTTCCAAGGAGAGGTGACTTCTAGGCTGATGCTGGAGAAATGAAGAGGAGCTGAGCAGGGCAGGGAGAGGAAATGTTCCCGCCAGAGGCAGTGGCAGGCATTGAGTCCTGGAGGCAAGAGAAAGCCAGCCAGGCTGGAGCAGAGGAGGGGCAGACTGCACAGGCCCCTAAGCCCCACGTTGTGCCTGTGTGGTGTGTTTTCTTTCTCGATTGAGGCCCTTCGAGCAGAGCTTGGTGCACAGTAGGTCTCTGTGTATATGCCAAATGAATGAATGAATGAGCTGAAGAGTTTGAGGCAGGGGGAGAGAGATCAGATTCCCACTTTGGAGGCTACTCCTCTCCCCCTACTCCTGCCGCCATTTCCCCATTTGGCACACCTCTGCACACAGGGATAAGCGGAGCCCTCAGCTCAACCAGCCACCTGAGCCTTCGCTGCGTGCCCTGTGGACAGAGTGCAGTAGGAACACAGCCCTAAGTGTCTCATCTGACGCAAGACACCACAAGCACTTGTATTTTGGCCCTAATCCAAGCATTCACTTAATTGAAAAAATTGGGGGAAAAAAATATTGGCAGCCTGCCACCTCCAGTGTGTCACTTGCTGCAGAGCCTGAGCTTGGTGATTCCTGGCGCTGACGTGGGGACCGGAAAGCTCTGGCCTGGGGCCAGGAGACCCAAGGCCTTGGGATGCTGGGAGAAGAAAGTGAAGAGGCTTTGGAGGCTGGCAGGGCTGGGATTGGATCTCATGTCACCCACTTCCCAGCCTCTCGACCTCAGGCGCAGCATGGCTCTGTGCCTCGGTTTCCTCCTCTCCCCCTTCAGCACTTCTGGTGGTGATGCTGCCCTGGGGTGTTGGGAAATCAAACAAACTTTGGGTGCTGCAGTTCCAAAAAGAGGTTGGAGGTGCTGACCTATATAGGCCAGATGTTGGACACAAAGCTGGGGACAGTCAACAGATCAGAACCAAAGGGAACCCAGGGTCTCCACGAAGCGTGGCAGAGTCGGGTTTCCCATTAGTCAAGCCCGTGGAGCTCCATCCGACCGCCCTGCCCTCTCCTCGCTCTCCATCTCTCCCTTGCCCTTGTTGCTTTCCCTTCCCCAGCACCCACGAGGACCATACTTATCCACCTTGGGCCTGTGTGACCAAGACAGCATATTCCCAGAGCAAGCCATCTGCAACCCAGCCAGTCACTAACTCCCAAGCTCTTCCCAGGATCTGCCACCTGGGAACCCAGCCAGTGTGGGAGCTTGATGGAGGGAATCCAACCCCCTTCTTAACAGCTAGCTGCCTTCTGAAACTGGGGTCTGTGGATTCCTAGGGACCTTCGGACATAGTCCTGAACCCTTCTCTACAGGAAATGAATTCACCTGGATCTTGAAGCCAGCACTACTCCTCGAGCCCAGAGCTGCATGTGCTTTGGCATTTAAGCTTGCTCTGGCTGTAGAGCAGGACGGCTTTAGCAATCACAGCCTGATGACCCGCTGCAGAAGCTGTGTAGCCTGTGAGCGGAAGCCCTAGCCCCTCCGTGCACTGCATGAGAGACAGCATATTTGCTCCCTTCATCTCCACAGGCTTCTACTGTTTCGTAGGTATGAGAAACAGCAGTCTGGAGCAGAGGGCCCGCATTCTCAGCACCTCCCGATGGTAGCCCTGGCTTCTGGTTCCAGCTTTCCTCCCTGCTGGCTACAGGACCTTGGGCAAGTCCCTTTCCCCTCTGGCCTCATGTCCCTAACTATAGAACAAAGGATAGTCTAGAAGAGGGTTTTCAAATGTTTTAAAGGCCTGGAACCCTTTGTTGTCTGCCTGAAGCAGGCAGAATAGGGCTGTGGCCGGTGAAGGAGCCCGGGCCCTGTATAGAGGCAGTTCTGGTGATGATTTGGCTGCAGGCTGCTGGGTTATACCCTGTAGCATACACAGAAGAGCCAAAAGTGGCACTGCGCTATGGAAACTGGGGTGGATGGCCCAAAAGCCCACCCACGGGGCCTCTCCAGGATCCTGGGGCTTCTTGGAGGCCAGTTTCACTGCTGGCCTGAGTCACTTCTAAGAGCCCTCCAGATTAAAGCTCTCTGGGCAAGTCTCTTATGTAAGAGGCCCATAGGGGCACAAGGAACCTGCAAGGAAATTCAGACACTGTCATGGAAGCAGAAAGAGTCCACAGCTGAGAGTGTAACCCTAAGCAAGTCACTGCACCTCTTGGCCAGCACCTCCCTATCTTCATTTGTAAAATGGAGGGATTGATCTAGACCAGGGATGCCAAGTAGGTAGCGCCCATCTCACTAGCCCTCAGCCCCTGCCCCTGGCAGACATTGCTAATGGACCACAGGGTTCTGTCTTGCGGATGCTGCTTTCTCACAGCCCCTGCAAGGAAACAGCCCCGGCCCCATTTGTGCCTTCTCTTGAGATGTTGTCTTCAGTCACCCAATTTGTTCCTGGCTATCCACCAGGCTTGCAGAGCCAGGAGAGGGCTCTGACTTCAGAAAGGTTATAGCTGTTGATCTATAAAAAAACAAAACTTGGCTGTGCGTGATGGCTCGCACCTATAATTCCAGCACTTTGGGAGGCCGAGGCAGGTAGATCGCTTGAGGCCAGGAGTTCCAGACCATGCTGGTCAGCATACTGAGATCCCATCTCTACAAAAAAATTTGTTTATTAGCCAGGCATGGTGGTGCATGCCTGTAATTCCACCTACTCAGGAGGCTGAGGCTGGAGAATTGTTTGAGCCTGGGAATTCGAGGCTGCTGTGATTACACCACTGTACTCCAACCTGGATGACAGAGGGAGCAAGACCCTGTCTCAAACAAACAAACAAACAAATACCTCCAGATACAGTGAGAATGGCAAGGAATTCCACTAACACAGGACCATCCTCATTCTCAATCTTACCAGCACCATCATAATTTTTGACATATCCACAAACTCCCTACAGTATATATTCCTAATACAGTATTCTTCAAATTGACTCACATTTTTACTTAAATTACTTTTAAATGGAAATTTTAGCTGTCTACTATACCTGGGGAAAACCAGTAGTAGCACTTGCTAAAAATAGAAGGAAATGAAATTCAAAAGAAAGAGAAAAATCAATGTGTTAAGTTCTTCCTGGCTAGTGTCGCCTGTTCTGAGGTCTTCTGTGCCTTCTTTAAGAAAGGAGACCTGCTGTGTGTGGTGGCTCACGTCTGTAATCCCAGCACTTTGGGAAGCCAAGGAGGGTGGATTGCCTGAGCTCAGAAGTTTGAGACCAGCCTGAGCAACATGGCGAAACCCCATCTCTACCAAAAATACAAAAAATTAGCTGGGCATGGTGGTGCATGCCTGTAATCCCAGCTACTTGGGAGACTGAGGCATGAGAATCACTTGAACCTGGGAGGTGGAGGTTGCAATGAGCCGAGATCGTGCCACTGCACTCCATCCTGGGCAAGAGAACGAGACTCTGTCTGAAAAAAAAAAAAAAAAAAACCATTGGCCATTGCATCCCAGGACCAAAATGTAATAACTTTGTCATGGGACCAGTGCGGCAGCCCCAGCCCTTGTAATTAATGCCAGCCAGGAATTTCAGCTGGATTCTTTGACAACCCTAAAAACCCCACCAAATAGATTTGTAAAGGAAAGTAAGACTGGAGGACATTCCCCCATGCCTCAGAGATTTTACTAGCAGGGCAAAAACTTTTTACCTTGTTTTCCAGTTCACATGGTGAACACTTGGGAGCTCACAGAGCTCCGGAGGCAGGGGAAGCAGGGCGGCAGCTGTTTCACATCATCCGACCCTGGGGACAGCGTATCGATGGAGTTCTGGGGCCTTTCTAAGAGCTACAGCCCCTTGCAGAGATCTGGGCCAGTGGGTCGGCAAGGATGAGGATGTCAGCTAACCCAGGGGTGCCGGGGGCTTGCAGAGGTATCTTGGCCTGTTTATAGCCTGGCCCTGTTGTTTGTCAAGAGCCTCTAAGCTTGATACTGGCTTAAATCTTTTTATATTTTATTGATACATAATATTTGTCCATTTTCATGGGACATTTATGATATTTTGTTGCATGCATAGAGGGTGTAATGATCAAGTCAGGGCATTTGGGGTATCCGTCCCCTCAAATATTTGTCATTTCTATGTGTTGAGAGCATTTCAAGTCCTCTCTTCTAGCCATTTTGAAATACACAATACACTGTTGTTAACTATAGTTAGTCTACTCTGCTATTGATTGTTAGCACTTTATTCATGGAAGAGCTGACCCCTTGGCTGTTACTGCTTGGAAATGGTGCCCAAATTCTTGCATGCTTAATGGGGGCCCTCTGGACACTGGGAGTCCCCATCCCCTTAGACTGGAGTTAGACCCCGCGAGGAGGTGAAGGGTTGGGCAACATTCAGTGAACATTTGCCCTCAAGTCCCACCATGAGCAGAGATTCCAACCAACCAACATGGATTCCTTTCTAGAGATCTCTCCATTTCTGGAGAGCTTAGCTTGCAAGGTAGGATGGACCTTATCTCTATTTTTCAGATAACAGAGAGGCTGTAAGAGGTCAAGGACTTAACCTCACTCCCATAGTAAGTTCCGGGTTGGGGCCCATCTGCTGGCTTCCCGGCCGGTGAGCCAGTGTTCTCCCACCCCCACTCTGGGCATCCCTGTGCCATCGGCTGGGCTGGCACCCGGCAGGGGCTCCTTGGTGGCCCTAGGACTGAGCCAGGGTAACGGAGAAGATGCTGGCCTGGGGTTCAAGACAAGAAAGTGCCCCACAGACAGGTTTCTTTCAGTGCTCCTAGAAAGCGACATCTTTTTTTCTGATTGTAAAAGAAAATAAAGTGTAAAAAATCTGGAATATACAAGCATCAAGAACAGAATTTTTAAAGTCCCCCATATTCATACCACCCCAAAGCGAACCACTGACATATATATGCTTGGTCATGTGTCATTTAACAACAGGGATAGTTCTGAGAAATGTGTTGCTAGGCAGTTTCATCACGTGAATATCACAGTGTGTACTTACACAAACCTAGATGGTATAGTCTACTACACACCTAGGCTCTGTGGTATAGCTCACGGCTCCTGGGCTACAAACCTGTACACTGTGTTACTGTACTGAATACTGTAGGCAATTGTAACACAATGGTGAGTATTTGACTAGAATATACAAATACTCACCATTGTGTTACATAGAAAAGGTTTTGTAAAAATACTGTGTTATAATCTTACGGAACCACTGTTGTATATGTGGTCTGTCATTGGAAAACGTTAGGTGGTGCGTAACTGTGTGTGTGTGTGTACAGACACACAAACGCACATACATTTAGATATGGTACAGTCAATTCTTCCCCCCCCCCCCCCTTTTTTTTTTGAGACAGACAGAGTTTCACTCTTGTTGACCAGGCTGGAGTGCAAAGCACAACCTCAGCTCACTACAATCTCCGCCTCGCAGATTCAAGTGATTCTTCTCCCTCAGCCTCCCGCGTAGCTGGAATTACAGGCATGCACCACCATGCCTGGCTAATTTTTGTATTATTAGTAGAAACGGAGGTTCACCAGCCAGGCTGGTCTTGAACTCCTAACCTCAGGTGATCCATCTGCCTCGGCCTGCCAAAATGCTGGGATTACAGGCGGACCGCACCCAGCCAGTCAATCCTCATTATTCATAGATTTCATGTTTGCGAATTTGCCTACTTGCTAAAATTTATTTGTAACTCAAAAGCGATACTCGAAGCACTTTTGTGGGCATTTTCGGACATGGGCACGTGCAGAGCGGTGAAAAATTTGCGTCACCCAACGTGCACGTTCCCAGCTGAGGTTGAATGAGCGACACTCCCCCCTCATTTCAGCTCCCATACTCTTAACAAGAATCCTTGTCCTAGTCTATGAGTGCTGCATTTGTACATTTCTGTGCTTTTTGTTGATTTTGCTGTTTAGTATGGCCCACAAATGCTGTGCTAACATGCTGTCTGGTGAGCCTAAACGCAAGATGGCTGTGATGTGCCTATGGAGAAGCTTCATTCAGGCACGAGTTGCAGTGCTGTTGACTCTGAGTTCAGCGTTGATGAATTAACCATGCATATTAAATAAGGTTGTTTATTTCTTTGTTTGTTTGAGACAGAGTCTCACTCTGTTGTCCAGGCTGGAGGGCAGTAGCACAATCTCAGCTCACTACAACCTCCACCTCCCAGGTTCAAGCGATTCTCCTGCCTCAGCCTCTCCAGTAGCTGGGATTACAGGCGCCCACCCGCCTGGGTGATTTTTGTATTTTTAGTAGAGATGGGGTTTCACCATGTTGGCCAGGCTGGTCTCGAACCCCTGACCTCAGGTGATCCGCTCACCTTGGCCTCTCAAAGTGCTAGGACTACACGCGTGATCTAGGATTACGAGCCACTGCGCCCGGCCTAAATAAGGTATCTTTAAAGAGAAACACACACGCAACAAAGTTATGTATTGATCACTTGACAAAAACAAAACATAGGCTCGAAAGACCCTAACCCTGTATTTCTCCTAGAGTATTTGCTAAATCAGTGTTCTCAGTGACTTTACAGAACGTAACTACCGCAAACAATGAGCATCAGCTGTGTGTGTGTGTGCAATGGGTGTCTGTGTATATAAACACCCACACGCATTTATATACAGTTGATATCATTACAGAATTTTTTTGAGATTGAGATTACATTGTTTTAGCTTGTTCTTTTTACCTAAGATAATGCCTGAACTTTTCCCCTGTAATTCATGGAATTGTTTTAGTTGCACAAAAACCCTCATCATGCCAAAAGGAGAATTAGCTGAAAGGCCCAGGCCCCTGTTGTGCGTCATAGTAGCCTCCGGTGGGCGGGCAGGCCTGGGAAGCAGGAACTGGAATACTACCCGAAGCCAAGCCAGGCTCTCCCCGTCGCTCTTCTCCCCACACCTCTCCTTCACTTATCCTCTCTGCAGACCTAGTGTTTGGAGCACGGCTCCGGGTTGCAGCTCTTCTGGATGGAGCTGGCATGCTCAGGGCTGATCCCAGATTTCTGAGAAAGAAAGAACCTGATTGGCCGGGCTTGGATCACGTGATGGTGTCCATGAGCCAGTCAGCTGTGGCCATGGGGGTTAGGCAGAACAGGTGGTTACAGCCTGGGCGCGGTGGCTCACGCCTGTAATCCCAGCACTTTGGGAGGCCGAGGTGGGTGGGTCACCTGAGACCAGAAGTTCGAGACCAGCCTTGGGAACATGGTGAAACCCCGTCTCTATTAAAAATACAAAAATTAGCCAGGAGTGGTGATGGGCGCCTGTAATCCCAGCTACTTGGGAGGCTGAAGAATGAGAATCGCTTGAACCCGGGATGTGGAGGTTGCGTTGAGCCGAGATCGCACCACTGCACTCCAGCCTGAGTGACAGAACGAGACTCCATCTCAAAAGAAAAAAAAAAAGAAAGAAAGAACAGGTGGTTACTTCTCAAGTGGGGCGTTGGCCAGGGGTTTGGTTTTCTTTCCTGCCTTTTCAAAGTGGTCAAGTTTAAGAAAAGTGGCTTTTGGAGGCCCTGGCACAGGTTGGTCCTCAGAGGAAGAGGGTTATTCTGGCCCAGGCCACAAAACACCTAACACCATCCATGAGCAGTGTCACTCTTCCTCTCAATGTCAGCTCCTGGCAAGGTCCGGCTGACCTAGGACAGTTCTCAACCATAAGTGGAGGAGGAAAGCCAGGAAAGATGAAGCCTGGGCGCCAGTCAGGCTCTCAAGTGTGTGGCAGTTGGCATTTGGGTCAGATAATGGCTCCCTTCCATTCAGACTGAGGCCCAGGGTGGGTGGGGGTGTCAGGGCCTTCCCCACAGGCACCCATGGGGAGGGACAAAGCCCTGACTCTGGAAGCTGGGAAACCTGTGCCCCAGGCTCAGGCACAGTGGGCCTGTGTTCCCAGGACTATGGGGGCCATCCCCCTGCACCCCTGTGGGACCCAGAGAACAGAAAGGACAGGTGGAGAGGGCAGAGCCCAGGGAGATGGGTGTGGGCTGGAGAGAGGTGGGACGGGCTGTGGGAAGTTCATTTGTAGGGAGAAGGAGCAGGGACAAGGGTTCCCTCACCTTTGTGACCTTCTGCTCACAATGATGCTGCTGCTGACAGTTTCTCTTTATGGAACATTTACCATATCCAGGCACCAAGCGAAAGAATCTACATGCATGTTCTCATTTCATCCTCGCCCCAACTTTGCAGTTAGTAGTATTGCAGACCTCATTTTTTACAAATGAGGAAACTGAGTCATGGGGGTTAAGCCACTTTCCCAAGAGCACAAAGCTAGTTGAGAAGGAAGCAGGATATAAATCGAGGCCATTGTGACCCTAGAACTCCACAGCCTCGCAGAACAGTAGGATGATGTACTGGTCACTCTGACAGTTAGGAGGGTGAGCAGACATCTCCCTGCTGGCCCATGCTCCAGCTGCAGCCAAGCTGGGGCATGGCATGGCAGGATTAGAGGTGACCTAGGTTAGAGTCCCTGCTCTGCACGTCATAGCTGTGCAACTGTAGGCACTGTACTTCTGAGCCTCCGTCCTTTGCTGGGAAAACATGGGAAGTGTTAGCCTGGCCTGCTGGCTCGGGGATTTGGAAGAGACCAAGTTCAGCCATCTACCCACCTGCAAAAGGATCCTGGCTCAGCACACCCCACCCCAATTCCTCCCACCCTCCCTTCACCACCAGTTTGGCTTCTCGCTGACTTAGAGGAAGTGAGGAAACCCGGGACTTCTGTTCCTGGTGAAACTGGGTTTGCAATCAGGTTGGAGAGTCTGGACTTGGTTAGATCACACAGGCCCTGCTGCTGAGATTGTGTAAGAAGAGATTTAAAGGGTAGATGATTCCGGCTCAAATCCTGTCTGGGAACAGAAGAAAACCTCCGTGACTCTCTAACCCCAGTTGTGGTTTCTGTGCTTCCTTGTTCCTTAAGCAGTCCCAGCTGCTCCCCCAAAACATGTTGCTCCCAAGGGGCGGGGGTGTTTGCAGATTGTGGTGAAGCAGCACAGGGGACAGAGAGGAAAAGCAAGGGGGCAGGACCACCTCAGCAACATGGCCAGGGTCCCTTTCTACAGACCAAAGGCCTGCCAAGGAGAAGCACTCCTCTCTGTGAGGGCTTGGCCTCCTGGCATCTCATTTTCTTCCCCATTTATTCACGAAGCCTAGATTTTTCCACCCTGCCCAGTGCTGGGCATACAGCAGTCCATTAACAAGACAGGCCAGGTCCTTGCTCGCGTGAAACTTAGAACCCAGCAGGAAATCAGACACTTGAGCAATTTCAGTAAAGCGTTCATTGGCTTTGTGATGGGAAAGTGGGTGCTAAGGAGTCCTATAGCAGGGGCACCCAACCTCATACTGGTGGGCAGGGAGCGGTCACAGAGGGCTTTCTGGAGGCAGTAGCATCTGAGCTGTGCCCTGCTAGTTGACTTGTAGAACATTGCCCATTCCAGATCTGTCTGCTTCCTTATGATGTCATTTATCTTGTTCCTCTGCCTCCTATATTTGTTGTAAATTAGAACCTAGGTCAAGAGCTCGAGCTCAAGTTAAACATTGTTGGCAACAATACCAACAGCAGATTGTGTATACTTCACATTGCATCACCTGGAGGGCCACACAGTAACTGGATTGTCCCTCTATCCATGAGGCTAGGTTTGGTAACCTGGTTAAGTTGTAGAGTTACACATTTTTCCCCTGGCTGGGAAAGCAATCATGGGGTTATACTTTGATACCGTGTGAGTGTCCTGTTCAACAGCCTTTCACCTGGTGGTTCAGCACCCACTGAGGATCTTCCCAGAGTGGCTGTGGCATTTTGCTTCCCCACCAGCAATGCATGAGGGTTCCAGTTGCCGTGCATTTTCATCAGCACTTGTTATTGTCGCTATTTTTTAATCGTAGCCATTCCGACAGATGGGTAGTGGCATCTCCTCCTGGTTTCACTTTGCCTCGTTAGTGGCAGTGACCATATTTCATGTGCTTCCTTGCCCTCCATATGTCCTCTTGCATGAAGTGTCTCTTTAAGTTTTGTCCATCTTGTAATCTGGTTGGTTGTTTCCTTACAACCAAGACTTCAAGAAATGTATTCTGCATAGAAGTTGTTTCTCAGATGTGCAGCTCATGTTTTGAAGGCTGTGCCATGGAGAAAGTTTTAGTCATTTCCAGGGCACATGACATGCAGTATGTAAATCTCTGCAGGAAATCTGCTTTAAAAAATTTTTCTTTGGCCAGGTGCGGTGGCTCATGCCTGTAATCCCAGCACTTTGGGAGGCCGAGGTGGGTGGATCACGAGGTCAGGAGTTCAAGACCA